>NC_000024.10:7244455-7544864 GCF_000001405.40 Homo sapiens | reverse complement strand
CTTA
Source organism: Homo sapiens (assembly GCF_000001405.40). Taxonomy (NCBI): domain Eukaryota; kingdom Metazoa; phylum Chordata; class Mammalia; order Primates; family Hominidae; genus Homo; species Homo sapiens. The sequence goes on along the minus strand of NC_000024.10, from coordinate 7,544,860 downwards.
CTTTTTTTTCTTTTTTGGATCTGTTTTATTTCAGCCTTCTAAGAGAGTTAATTTTCTAACACTTCCCTTTGACAAGCTATCTTCTTCACTCCCTTGGTTGTCAATGTCTACCATTTTCTCTTCCACTAAATATTCACAGTACTTTTCCCCTTTTGTGGGGGCCAGTCCTAGTGATCTTTCTCAGCCTGACCTTTTTGTTTGTTTTCTGTTTATTCAGCATCATTTTTGGTTAGTGGAAACAGCTTAGGAACATTTATAAATGTGGTTCAACATTCCAATCTGTTTCCATAATCCTTTTTGATTTCTCTCAAATAAACAAGTGATGGCTAAGTGTTTCCAGGCCTGCAGACATTTTCCTGAGGATATCCTGAGGGAAATGTGGAATCTTCTTGGGCTTTTCCTGAAATTCAGCTCATGAGCTCCCAAGAATGCCTGCTGCAACCATGCACATGGAGTCTCCTCATCTGAAAATAACATGAGACACACTCAGACTGAATTGCCTACTCATGGAAATGTTTCATCTTCATCTTTGGCAGGAAACCAGGTGATTCACACAAAGACAGGTTGTAATTAATCATCAGCAAGACCCAATCTCTCTAGCCAATTATATGACTTGCCAATTATTTGGCTTTAAAGCCTTATAAATAAATGAATTTGCTTCTTCCCTCCTTCTTCCAGTTCCTATTTCTTCTTGCCTTCCTGTATCCTCTACACTTCTTAGGGAAGCCACTTTCTTATTGATTATACAATTCTGCGGAAGAAAAATCTCTTTCAATTAGTGTTTGAACATGTCTTCCATGCACATATCTGCACACATGTTGCTATTGGTTAAATGTGGAACTATCAGAATGAAGTCTGTAAACTACAGATTATCCTAACCTTGTTGGATATTTGAGTGTGTTTATAGGTGCACTAGCAAATTTTTATGACCCTGATACCATCAATATTAACATGTTGCCATAATTATTCTAACATGTGTAACTAACATGTTCCTGCTGCTACTGCTTCTGACAACCATAACCTTAAACCCATGAATTTGTATTTTTAAAGGAGTCTATGGATGTTTCCTGTATTGCATGACAGGAACATAGATGCTGTATCATAGCATCTAGTAAGCACTGATGGCAAGCCATGTCACATCCTTAGTTGCAGCTGTTCCTTGAACAGGGATTGGCTTCTCTCCAAATACTCCATGAGGAGAATATGCCAATACTCTTTTGACACTGAAGATGTCTCACTGCAAAAATATATATATATATATATACTTTTTATATTATATATTATGTGTGTATGTGTATGTGTGTGTATATATACATATATGTATACATATATTTACATATATATGTCCTCCACACACATTTCTGCACACATGTTGCCATTGGTTAAATGTTGTGGAACTATGAGAATGATGTCTGTAAACTACAGACTATCCTAATCTTGTTGGATAAGGACTCACAAGGAGTCCTTGCTCCTTATGAGAATATAATGCCTGATAATCTGTCACTGTCTCCCATCACCCCCAGATAGGATCGTCTAATTGAAGGCAAACAAGCTCAGGGTTTCCACTGATTCTACATTATGGTGAGTTGTATAATTATTTTATTTTATATTACAATGTAATAATCATAGAAATCAGGGGCACAATAAATGTAATGCGCTTAAATCATCCTGAAAGCATCCCCTACCACCCCTGGTTTCATGGAAAAATTATCTTCCACGAATTCGATTCCTGGTGTCAAAAAAAATAGGGGACCACTGCCATAAACCATTGATCTCCATTCCTGACAAAATGACATGTGTAAATCTCACAGCGGAAAAGTTTAGTTGTCTCTTTTCCCTCCTAAGATCACTGGCCAATCCACTTGATCAGCAAAGTTGATGAGCGAGGAAATATTCAACCTCCACCTCCCAACATCTCATTCCCTACATCTCATTCCCTACAAAGCAATGCTACAATAATCAATTAGGATGGCATGTCTCCTATTAAGATTCCATTCAAACTTTATACTTTTTGCTCTGTGTCAGGGTTTCCTTGTCAGTTCAATTTGAAAGAGGACATGTGTCCTGAAAGACTACTATGTGAGGCAGTACTCAAGTTTAGAGGCAGGACTCACACACCAGACCAAACTGAGGACTAGCTAAAACAGGGAAGGAACAGAAGCACCTTCCCATAAGACACACCCACCACTAGGCCATGTCAGTTCACTATTGCCATAGAAACACTCAGAAGTTACCACATCTTTTCTACAAATTTCTGCATAATGCACCCCTTGATTTGCACCCCTTGATTTGCATATGTACTTTTTTTTTTTGCAATGAGACGTCTTCAGTGTCAAAACAGTATTAGCATATTCTTCTCACGGAATATTTGAAGAGAAGCCAACCCCTGCTCAAGAGATTTTCTGTAATTAAAAGTGGGTAAAAATATGACTCCAGAATTGCCTCTGAGCTGCTACTCTCAGCCCACTGCCTCTTGGGTAGTCCTTCAGGAGCAGTAACAGAGCTGTAGCCAGAGCTGTAACACTGTAGCTGGAGCTGTAACACTGCCACTTCAATCAATTTGTTTTCTTACACTACCTGCTCACTGTTGAATTCTTCCCTATGTGAAGCCAAAAACTTTTCCTGAGCTAAGCCCCAATCTGGGGGTCACCTACCCTGCATGAAGGCCACGCTCCAGGTCCGCTGAATCTCTAAAAAACTGACGTCAATATAGCAGAAAAGAAGTAACTGGCATTCTTCTGGGCTGGCTGCAGCATTTACAGGTGGATAAGGTTGCTCTGACATGGGACATTGTTGACTGGGGATGTTTCTGGAGATGGAAGCTGAGCAATAGAACCCTGGTGATAAGTTATGGAAATCAATATCAGACAAAACTCTTCATGACAACTCAGTATAATAAATATGACTGGGACACACAAATGTGATTTTGTGTTTAGGAATTCATCGTGGCAGAAGACATGCTCACCATAGTGTCATTTCCATTTTTTTTTTTTTTTTTTTATTGAGACAGAGTCTAGCTCTATCACCCAGGCTGGAGTGCCGTGGTGCGATCTTGGCTCACTGCAAGCTCTGCCTCTGGCGTTCATGCCATTCTCCTGCCTCAGCCTCCAGGTAGCTGGGACTATAGGCACCCACCACCACACATGGCTAATTTTTTGTATTTTTATTAGAGACGGGGTTTCATGGTGTTGGCCAGGATGGTCTCCATCTCCTGACCTCAAGATCTGCCCACCTCGGCCTCCCAAAATGCTGGGATTACAGGTGTGAGCCACTGCACCCGGCCATGTCATTTCCTTTTTATTTGTATTAAATTAACATGATACAAAATGAACTTTTTTAAAATACACAATTGTCCAGGTGTGTGGTGCCTCATGCCTATAATCCCAGCACTTCGGGAGGCCAAGGCAGGCAGATCACTTGAGGCCAGGAGTTCCAGACCAGCCTGGCCAACATGGTGAAATCGCATCTCTACTGAAAATATAAAAATTAGCCAGGCATGGGGGCACACACCTGTAATCCCAGCTACTCAGAGGGCTGAGGCAAGAGGATCACTTGAACACAGGAGACGGAGGTTTCAGTGAGCTGAGATTGTGCCACTACAGTGTGACCTGGGCAATAGAGTGAGACTCTGTTTCAGAAAAAAATAATAATAAAGTGCACAACTTAGTGGTGTATATTACACTTGCAATATTGTAAAACCACTGCCATGATCCAGTTTCAGAATTTTCTCATCACACCAAAAGGACACCCCATACCCACTAAGCAGGCATTCTGCTTTCCTTTTGCTCCCAAGCCCTACGTACAACTACCACTCTGCCTTCTGGGTTTTGAGATTAAGTGATTCTTGATATTTCATGTAAATACAGTCATGTACTATGGGGTCTTTTGTGGCCAGCTTCTCTCACTTCTTGTAGTGTTTTGTGGTTCTTGCATGTTATACCATGTGTCAAGACTTCATTCCTTTTCAAGGCTGAATAGAATCCCAGGATACAGATAGACCACAATTTATTTCATTTTCTTACCTACTCTTGGTAGGGTGGCTTCGTCCTGGCTTTCCTCAGACAGTTCTAATTTACATCAATGCTCATAAAATTAATAAACACCACACCCCCCTTTAATCACCCACAATGTGGGTGACAAATTACAAGATTGCTGTAGTTTAGGGATATGTCAATGTAAAAATTACAAAACCACATGTACTTTTTTTATATCCTTGCTAACAGCTTTGTTCATAGACCATACCACTTTGTACATAGACCATGTGACACTCTTAATAAAAGAACATCAAAAAACAAAAATGTGCTATTTGGGGTTGCATTTGTAGGCATTGTATAATTCTGGGGTCACTTGAGGAATAAAATTTTCATTATTTTCTACAAAGCCTCCATGTCCAATAAAGGAAGGAACATGAGAGAGCTATTTGGTAAATTTGGGCAAGAAATGTCATCTCACCTTTGTGTTTATGAAAACGTGAAGACTTCTGTCTTGAATGAGGACTCTGTAGTTCATTAAGTCCATGTGTGTAGCATTCTGGTTTATGTCTTATCATGATGTTCATTCTCTTAGTAATTAGAGCATTTCAACCCTGCTGTCCTGGTCATTTTTCCCTGGGCATCTCATCAAGTGATAGGGCCAATAATTCCTCAAGCAGTCAGGTAATAGGCTGATTATAAGGCTCCAGGAAAACTTGGAAAGGATGAATCTCTGTTGATGTTGTCTTTGTTTTCATAGCTAAATCTCTGGGGCTTTCCCTACAGAGGCACAGCTGAGCTTCTAATTCCTTTGGAGTTACAAAAAAAATATTCCTTGTTTACTGTTGTTTTTACGCACACATTTACTGAGTGCCTGCTTTGTGTCAGGTACTATCCTAGGTGCTGGGAAAGCAAAAGTAAATAAGAAACAGACCCTGTAACCTCAAGAATCTCAGTCCTTGCAATGACTCTCTCTCTGGTGGGTTTTACAAATTGAACATAATTGCAATGACAATTCATTTTGTAATTTTATTCCAAAGGACCTGCTTAGTGCAAAAGGCTTGAACAACAGAATATATTCTTCCCTTTCTTATATACTCTTTTTAAAAAAACAATAAACTTATTCTGTATATTTAAGTTATACAGCCTGATGTTATGAGATACATTTGGATAATAAAAAGGTTACTATAATGAAATAAATTAGCCTATCCATCAAGTCACATAGTTACCCATTTTTTGTTCTTGTTTTTTGGCAAGAACAGCTAAAATCTACTGCTTTAGCAAGAATCCCAAATGCACTACAATGTTACTCCCTGTAGTTTTCACATGGAACATCAGCCCACTAGACTTGGTCATTCTATATGCCTGCTATTTTGTATCTTCTAACCCAGAGGTCACCAACCCCTAGGCCAGGGACCAGAACCAGTCCTTGGCCTGGTAGGAACCAGCCTGCACAGCAGGAGGTGAGCAACGGGCAAGCCAGAGAAGCTTCATCTTTTTTACAGATGTCCTCCATGGCTCACATTACTGTCTGAGCTCTGCCTTCTTTCAGATCAGTGGCAGCATTAGATTCTGTGTGAACCCTATCATGAACTGCACATGGAAGGGATCTAGGTTGTGCACTCTTTGTGAGAATTTGATGCCCGATGATCTGTCACTGTCTCCCATAACCCCCAGATGGGACCATCTAGTTGCAGGAAAACAAGCTCAGGGCTCCACTGATTCTACATGATGGTGAGTTGTAGAATTATTTCATTATGTATTACTATGTAATCATAATTGAAATAAACTGCACAATAAATGTAATCAGCTTGAATCATCATGAAACCATCCTCCCCGCCCTTGACCCTGCTCCCAATCCATGGTAAATTTGTCTCGCATGATACCCGTCCCTGCTGCCAAAAAGGTTGGAGACTGCTGCTCTAACCTCATCTCCCTATTTCTTCCTTCCCTCAACACCCTCCCTGGTAACCACTGTTTTGATAGAGAACAAGTGTATCTATCTACATTTGAATTTTTTATTTTTAGATTCCACGTATAACTGAGATCATGCAGTATTTTGCTTTCTGTCTCTGGCTTATTTCACTTAACACAATGTCCCCCAGTTTTATCTATGTTGAGCAAATGTTGAGATCTTGTTTTTTAAGACTGAGTAATATTTCATTGTATATATCTACTACATGTGTGTATCCATCCATCTGTCAGCAAACAGGATGTTTCCATATCTCAGCTTTTGTGAATACTACTGCAATAAAATTGGCAGTAGAGATACCTTCACAAGGTGGCAGTTTCATTTCTTTTGGATATATACCTAGAAGAGAGATTGCTGGGTCATATAGTAGTTCTATTTTTAATTCTTTTGAAATCTTCATACTGTTTTCCATAGTGGCTGTACCAGTCTATATTCTCACCAATAGTGTACAAGGGTTTCCTTTTCTCCACATCCTTACCAATGTTTATTATTTTTGACTTTTTGATGATAGCCATCCTAAAGAAACAAATAGATTCTTTATGCAACCCCATGCATCTTAATCTAAGAGCACAGCAAGACTAGCTAAAATTAGTATCCCAAGACACATCCTACAAACATCCTCTAACACAGCATGGGGAAGTGGTATTGGGGGAGCCAAGTTCACCATGACTTTTGGCAAAGATGAGGAAAGGTTCAGAAGTCGTTTGCTACCAACAAGAACAGCAGTAGGTACCTCAGTCTGCTTGTCCAATTATAACAAGATACCTGAGACTGAGTAATTTATAAAGAGCAGACATTTATTTTCTCACCATTCTGGAGGCTGAAAGCCCAACACCAAGGCCTGGTGGAGTTGGTGTCTGATGAGGGCTTGTACCTTCATGCTGTGTTCTCACATGACATAAGGTAGAAGAGCAAAGAGTTAGCATGGTCCTTCAAGCCCTTGAATAAGCCACTAAATCCCATGTGTGGGAGGGCTCCACCCTCATGACTTAATCACCTCCTAAAGGCTCCACTACTTCATATTATCACATTGTTCACTACATTTAAACATATCAGTTTTGGGGGATACATTGAGACTATAGCAGTAGGATTAAGATAGCACAGTGAGAACTGAGCTGAGAAGGTGGCTAAAGATTCTGGAACAGTCTTGGAGACTGACCAACATCAGCTAAGTTGCAGACCACCAACCATCAGCAATGAGGAGGCCAACTGAAGGTGGTGTGGCTCCGAAGGCACCTGCAGACTTCAAAGATGGTAGAAACAGCGTGAGACCAAGAGGATGGAGCTTCAGCCACCTCAGTTGCAGGCTAGTGTGAGAACCAGATAGGAAAAGATGCCAGTGACCCATTCTCAGCTTCTTCAGCAAAAGGAGCAAGAGGACAGCACCCAGAGAAATTCCAACCAACACATTCAAGAGAAAGATCTTTCCTGTTCGGGCACACAGTAGGGGAACTGAATGTAAATAGCAACAGTAAGACTTCTGGAATGATGTGGCAATATTGAATTCCTCCTAATGAAACCAAGTCCTCCTAGTGAAACCAAGTCCCACATTTTTAGCAAATGTCAACACCAGGGACTGGTGATGAGGTGGTTGTAATGTTCTAACCAGAAAGAATGATGTTAGGCAGAGTGACCTGGATCTTATTATCTAAAAAATAATGGGGATGTTCTTCTGAATAGTCTTCTATCTATTCTCTAAGATGCCTCTAGAGGACATTGGGGGATGTCTGGAAAGTTTTTGGCTGTCACAACTGGGTGGTCCTACTGGCATCTAGTGGGAGGCCCAGGATGCTGTTCAACATCCTACACTGCACAAAACGGCCCCACCACAGAGAATCATGCAGCCCCAAATTTCAATAGGGCTGAGGCTGTGAAACACTGCCTGAGCATGAGATTCCCTATCTATCTATCTATCTATCTATCTATCTATCTATCTATCTATCTATCATTTTTCTGTCTTTTATCTCATGTAATATTTATCATATCTGTCAGCTATCACATACATCTATTTATCTATCATCTATCATGTCTATCTAACTACCATCTAGCATATTGATCATACCTATCAGCTATCATATCTATCATCTATCATATCTATTACCTACATATATATTATCTGTCATATCTATCACTTATCTGTCATCTATCTATAATCTACATCTATCATATTTATCTATCATCTATTATATCATTTATCTATTTATCTGTCATCTATCATATCAATCATCTATATCTATTATCTACCTATCTTTATCTATGTATCATCTATTCATACATCACCTCTATCTACCTATCCATCTATCCATCATCTGTGTATCTACCTGTCTATCCATCTATCATCTATCCATCTATTATTTATATCTATCAATCTATAATCTATATTTCCATGTATCTATTTTTATTTATCATCTATATACCTATCCATCTAATATCTAAACACTATCATCATTATTATTTATCTATCTATCATCCATCTGTCAATCATCTGTCTGGCATCTGTATCTATTTATTTATCAATTATCTATATCTATCTATCATCTATCTATATCTATCTGTCTATCTCTACCATTTATCTATCTTTGATGGTGGATTTCAAATGGGGGGAATTTTCTCCCCAGGGAACACTGGGTAATATCTGGGGACATTTTCACTTGTCTCAGTGAGTGAAGGGGTGCTCCTGGCATCTGTTGGGTAGATCCCAGGGATGTTGGTCAACACCCTACAATGCACAGGGCAGCCCCCACCACAGAATCATCTGCTCACAAATGTCTTGTTTCACTTCTGGAGAAACCTTAGTCTAAAGCAAATATTTTTCAGTCAATATTTTTAAAATTACAGTAGGAATATATACATTTAAAAGTTTCTAAAAATGCAAGTTAGTTGGGAGTAACATTTCTCAGATGTATGTTAAAATCATTAATCCATGATTTACCTTTCAGAGTTTGCTCTTGAGTTCTGTTTCCATCTGGTTTGAAAAATAGAGGTCAATTTATTTCAAGGGTATGGAAGGTTTTAATCCCCATTGTTTTTGAAGTTCACTGAAGTAATATTTATTCTCCAGCTGAATAAATAACATCTAAAGCAGACCTGACATTTCAAGTCTGTTTCTGCCTTGGAAGCCACATTGTCCTTAGCTTGGGGCTCAAGAAGTGTGTTTGTCCTACTTAATCCTTTTACATTTGCTGTTTACAGTATAACAAAGGCTGGGAAAAAAAGTCTCACAAATTCTGTTTTCTTATAATGTAGAAAACAATAATCCCAGATATTTTTAAAGCCAACTGTTGAATTGAAGAACATCATGGCTAATTTTACATTAGGGGTTGTAAAATAGTGGGCCACATTGGGTTAGAAGGCAAGCCAGCATGGTCTTAAGAATGACAGGGCGATAGTCAAGGTTGAGTGCTGTGTGCACCCACCTTGCATTGTATCCTTTTGTCCTCTAACCACATTTCTTCAAGCTGTCCTCCAGGGCCCATTTCTCCTCTGATAACTTGCTGTCAGCACAGAAGCTGGTATTGGAAGAACTCTAACCTCCAATTCAGGAAGTCAGGTTTTTCAATTAGCAATAATTTTTGTTTCTTGTTTTTGTTTTTGTTTTTTTCAGAAAACATTCGTTATGGGTCCTCTGGGTGGGCAGACAACTCATAGATGGCTCCCAATAATGCTCATATCCTGATATTTATACTATTATATAATCGCCTCTCCTTGAGTGTCCGTGGGATCCATGACTTGCTTCTAATCAATTCGATATGACAAAAGCAATGGGGTGTTCTCTCTGTGATTACACTGCAGGAGCTTGTGAGTTTCATCTTCCTAGCAGCCTCTCTGTGTTGACCCTTTCCCTTGCTGGGTATGGTAAACAAGCTGCCATGTTGTGAGCTGCCCTGTGAAGAAATCAACGTGATGAGGAATTAAAGACAGCCTCTAGGAATGGAGATTCTTGGTCCAAAAACCTATGAGAATCTGAATCTTGCCAACAACCACATGAATTACCTTGAAAGTAGATTTTGCCACATTTCAGCCTTCAGATGAAACCCCAGCCCCAGGAAATACCCTATTTGAATTGCACCCATTTGAATTGTACACATTTTACTAACTCACAGACACTGTGAGTTAAAAGACTTCCGTTTTATAAGCTTCTAAGTAGGTGATGATTTGTTATACAGCAATAGCTAACTATTATGCTTCATAAGCCAACATTCTATGGGAGCCTGGGACTAAAGTAGGCACTGTCCCTTCCCTCAACACATTTGGATATTAGAAGTGGGGTTTGCAGACTGGCAGTGTAAATGATCTTCAGCAAGTTTATGAATTTCTCTGTGATTCCATATCCTCAACTTTACAAGAAGATTGCCACCACGTTTACAGAAATAAAATATAATAAAAGTGCTTTAGAAAATATAAAACTCGCTAAAAAAGAGAAGTTTAAAATTGTTCCATTGATTCTCTCTTACCATTGTAAAATAAAAATCTTTATTAATGACTTCTCAAGTGGTTCAAATTTTTTAATGTGTGCATTCCTTGAAAATCATACAATCTTGCCTTCAAAATGTTAAAGATTGATTGGAAAAGGAAAATAGCTAAGGGTGGAAAAGGCCTCATGTAAACTTGCTCTTTTGTTGTCTATTGATTATAAGTAAAATTATGGCATTCTTATTCTTGAGCATGAAAGAATTATAGTGCTTTATTTTGTTGGTGGCAGGATACATACAGTTGTCTCTAGGTATCCATGAAGGACTGGTTCCAGGACCTTGTGTAGATACCAGAATCCACAGATGCTCAAGTTCCTTAAATAAAATGATGTAGTATTTGTATATAACCCATGCACATCCTCCCTTATACTTTGAATTATCTCTAAATTACTTAAAATACTGAAAACAGTGAAAATGCTACACAAATAGTTATTATACTGTATTTTTTGAGAATAATGACACAAAAAAACTTGTACATGTTCGATATGGATGTGATATTTTTTCAAATATTTTCAATTGGCAGTTGGTTAAATCCATGGGTATGGAACTCTTGGATATAAATCCAAATGTACTCTTGCCTTTTCTTTAAATATAATGTATTTCCAGTTCATTGTGTTCAATGAGGTTGTAGTTGAAGGAGTCTGATGTTACTATGATGAATTGTGTTATGAAAGAATTTCCTGGGACTGATATGTGAATGGCAGAGTGTCAGGCTTAATCAAGGGAACCTACAACACAATCTACTATATCTATTATTTATTTCAGGACATAAGCATCTGTCATAGTATTTGTACTTGCCAGATCTGTGTACTGTTTGCTTTCAGAAGAATGTTATATTTACACTTGCAGTAAATATGTTTACTGTTTGCTTTCAGAAGAATTGTGGACTTTTTTTTGGACACGCACAACAGAAACCCTGGTGCTCCAATTCTGTCAGTAAAAGCAAGCCCGGGATAGGGAGATGTTGTCACTTTTAGGAATGTGAACTGAAGACATCCATATTGACATCTAGTTCAGCTCATTTGTCATCTGCATCTCTGACACCAAGTTCTTTTCCCTCTGAGATAGTAGCCAATAGACAACATCTTCTGAATAAATATATATGCACAATGTACTTAGGACGAAGAGTCTCATGTTATCAGTCAGGTGCAAATGTGTCCATTACTAACATTCTTAATCCACAGTTCATTTAAGAAAAGACACCATGGCCAGTCACGGCGGCTCACGCCTGTAATCCCAACACTTTGGGAGGCCGAGGCGGGTGGATCACGAGGTCAGAAGATCGAGACCATCCTGGCTAACATGGTGAAACCCCGCCTCTGCTAAAAATACAAAAAAAAAAAAAATTTCGGGCATGGTGGCAGGCACCTGTAGTCCCAGCTACTCAGGAGGCTGAGGCAGGAGAATGGCATGAACCCGGGAGGTGGAGCTTGCAGTGAGCTGAGATCGCACCACTCCAGCCTGGGCAACAGAGCAAGACTCTGTCTCAAAAACAAGAAAAAGAAAGAAAAATAAAAAAAAAAGAAAAGACACCATGAAGAATTCAATTTCTCTACTTTTAAGGATGCAAAAAAACCTCTGCAAAAGTGATAGTTTATTTACTTCTCTAATTTTTTTACATCTCCTCAGCTTTCAAGTGAAGGATATATAGTTTTGCATGTGAAAGTGGTTTATAAATTATAAAAACCTGTTCTATTGTTCGAATCCATCCCCATAAATTCGTGTGTTGGAAACTTCATCCAAAGTGCAGGTGTTGGAAAGTTGGGCACAATAGGAGATAATTAGATCTTGAGGGCTCTGCCTTCATAGATGGATTGTCTTTATGGCAGAAGGGAGTTAGTTATCTTCAGAGCAGACTTGTTAGCTGGTTGTAAAACTGAGTTTAGTTATCTCTCTCTCTCTCTCTCTCTCTCACTCTCTCTCTCTCTCCTAGAAACTGGGGAGATTGAAGTCCTGTCTGTGTGATATCTCTGTTGCATGAGATCAATTACTGAAGTCAAGTACACCCAGTAACTCTATTTTGGAGAAAGTCAGTGATCTGTTCTTATACTGCATCTTACTTGAGCAACCTCTAAGTGACCGTGGACACACTGGTTGGAGGACCACCCATCCTGGTATACCCGTAACTGTCCCGGCTTTAGTCTTGTGTTTTGGGAACCCCATTAGTCCCAGGCAAATGGAGATAATACGTTACCCCACACAATGGGTCCCTCTCTCTTTTTTGGTTTTGTGTTCATTTCATTTCAGGACACTGACTCTTCTTGCTTTTCTACTAATACAATTTACACACCTTCAGTCTCCTCTCCCAAATCTCCTCAATGTCATCCTACTCTTGAGGAGTCCTAGGCTCAGCCTGTTCTTTTATATCTTTGCTACTCCTTAGGGGAACTATGTAATCTCATGTCTTTAAATATCTTCATCGGCCAACAACCCACAAATTCATATCATTAACTTTGATTCCTCTGCCAATCTCCAGATTTGCCTATATTCAACCACCCACTTCAACACCTCCACTTGGGGGCTTAGTGGACACATCATTTACATCCTTGTGCATGGACATCTCCAATTCAGCATGTCAAGAACTAAACCCCTGGCCTACTTTTGAAAATGTCTCCCTTCTACCCTTCCCCATTCTCTGGGCAAATACATGGAATCAATATTCACTCTTCCCTTTCACATCCATCAGTGAAGAAATGTTATTAGTTTTACTGGCTGTATTAGTTTCCTAAGGATGTCATAACACAGAGCCACGAATTGAGTGGCTTTAAACAATACAAATCGATTATCTTGCAGTTCTAGAGGCCAGATGTCTGAAATCAAGGTTGTAGCAGGATTATGCTCACTTCAGAGGCTCTGGGGGAGAATCCTTCTGGAGGCTGTAAAGGGGAATCTGTTCCATGCCTCTCTCTCAGCTTCCAGAGCCTGCTGGAAATCCTTGGTATCTATCTGTTGGTTTATAGATCATCACCCACCCTAGTGTCTGCCTTCACCTTCACATGGTGTTCTCCCTGGGTACATGTTTCTCTGTGTCCAAGTTTCCCTCTTTTCTAAGGACATCAGTCAGATTAAATTAGGTGCTCACCATGCTCCAGTATAACTTAGTTATATCTATAATAGCTGTATTTCCAAATAAGGTCATATCCTTAGGCACAGGAGATTGAGAGTTTACTATATAAATTTGGTGGGAGTTCCAATTCAACCCATAATACTATCATAGCCATTTTAAATTGTACAATTCACCAGCACTTGATGCCTGTACAACATGATGCACCCATCACCATTATCTGGTTTCAGAACATTTTGATCACCCCAATGCTGTACCTGTTAAACAGTCACTCCCCATCCTCCTCTCTCTGCAACACCTGCAAAGCACTAATCTATTTCTTGTCTCTATGTTTAAATGTACATTAAAGCAGGGTATTTCTAAGTATGTTATAGGCAAACGTATGAGCAAATGAATGCCTGGTTCTATCTAGACAGTTTAGATCCCTTATTGAGTTTGTAATGAAGCCCTGTTTGTGGGTTCTGTCTGTATAAACACCTCAGGATAACTTAAACGACCTCACTCCTGGATCATTAAATATGTTGACCAGTAACTTGGATGACTGGATTTTAGAACAGGCTTTGTAAACTCACCCAAGACCAATCCAGTCCCTCGAAAAGAATATTTTACGTATCTCATAATGTAGGTGGGATGCAGGCATAGTAACATAAGAAAATTCTGCTAGATAGAAGGAATAAGTTCTAGTGTCCAACAGTACACTGGAGAAAGTAGAGTTAACAATAATTTATTGAATATTTCAAAATAGCTGGAAAAGAAGAATTCAAATACTCCCAACAGAAAGAAAAGATAGTTGTGTGAGGTTCTTGGCATCCCAATCATTCTGATTTGATCATTACACATCATATTCCTGTATCAAAATATCCCATTTACCTGTGAAATATGTACAACTATGATATATCAATTTTAAAGAATTAATTTAGAAAATAAATTTAAAACCTGAAAGAAAAGACTCTGAAGAGTCCTAGGGTTGCAAAGTCAGGGTTTTGTGCTGAGGGAGAAAGAATATATCAGGGCAAAGCTCTGGTGAAAATCAAGACTTAACTGTGTTCTCTGCTCACCACACAATAATAATCAAGAAATAATTATTTACCATTTGCAAATATCCATCTTGTTCCTCTAGTGTGATGGGAGATCGTGTTTGCATTTAGAGCCTTGGTAGGTTCTCACACATGCAAATAAACTCAATAAAACATGTAACAGCAGAGATGAGCTGGCCACTTCCAAAGAAAAACCCCAAACCTTAACCCCTTTAAGCTTGAGGTTGAAATATTTTGAATTTTTGCAATCAGACCTTGGCGACGACATGAGCAGTAGGATGTAAATAATCCCACATGTTCCATTATTGGAACGCTAAGCATAAATGGCTCAAGGCTATCACACATTTCATCTTCTACTCAACATGTGCCTTATTTCATGGATATGCAGGCAATAAATAGAAAGCTCAGAGTTCCTGGAACACCAAATTAAAATGGGAACTTAGCAAAGGAATAGTTCCTTTTTCTCTAACTTCCTGCTACTTTGTTGCTGGGGTTTGCAGTCAGAAAACTGGTTCTTCCTTTTCCTCCGTGTTGGATTTGATGATGGAATCAGATGGACTGCCAAGGTCAATATGTATTAATATGCCACCATGGAATGTACTTTATGTTTCAGTGGATGTTGGTGCATTTGACGGTGTGGTAATGGAAATTGCCTCTATAGAGCAATTGCTAGGTGCCAGGGAAAGAAAAGTTCAGTGACTCCAACAGCAAGTAGGATTAGAACAAATTCCTCTGGGCTGTTGCAACACCTTGGCTGCAGGGTATGGGGAAGTTCAGCATCTCTGTAGCTTCTCAGCAACAGCAACACACAGATCAAGCTAAGTTCCTGTAACTGAAATAGTGAAATTATGCAGCACAATTTCTAAAATATGATAGAAAAAAGGGGAAAACAAAATCATCTTAGATACGTTTAAAGAAGAATTTCTTGCAAAACAGTTTTACTCCTCAGGAAAGATGCAATGGAATCAATCAGACAGTTATTCCTTTTTATGCTTTGCTTTGAGAAATGCCAAGGTTTTTCAGATTTTGTTATGGCACCCTGTAAAATTAAACTCAATTTCTGCAAATGGAGTGTCACTATTTCATCAACAGATTCATGAATATAACAGTAAATCATCTAATATCTGAAGCATTCTTACAAACCACCAACTAATCTATAATTTGGGAATATTAACCAATCCCTTTCTAAATTAGGTGAACAGAATTTCTTTTGGTGAATTCTAATGAAGATTCTGAGAAAAACTTCTGACCACAAGTTTACTATGTTTGTATTTCATCATTGTTTTCTTTCAATGTGTGTATTTTTTTAAGTTCTTTCTAAACTGAAGGACATGTTGGAAGTTCACATGAGGTAAAATAAATATGGTGGTCATAATTTTCTAGCATCCCCAAACAAGATATGTTTCTTATTTACAAGGGTTGTGGCTAAACTGGATTTCCCTCAAGAGACTAGGTAACATCAACTCTATAATGTATTCACTTTGGTTTCTGGCTTTATAGTACCATTAAAATGTTTTTATTGTTATGAAAATGGGGTCACCCTGGGCAATGGACTTTGACTAACAAAGATAATAACATCAAAGCAATGTCATTAAAACAAGGCAAAATTCTGTTTGCCTTTTATTAAAAGCAAAGCTAAAATGATGACACTGTATGAGTGTATCATTGGATTACTTTGCTTTTAAAGAAAGCATCTTATAAATTATGTCACCTTTCCTCAGAGCTAAGAAAATTGGAGCATATCAGGTAGATCATAATATGAGGACTATTTTAAAAGGAAGCTTCTTTTGCATGATTGTTTGTTTGTTTGTTTGTTTTTGCACAAACTGAAAGAGCAAACATTTCTTCAGAGGGCTGGGTGCTTTATTTCTTTATATTTTTTTCATGGAATCCTCATAGCAAGCCAATGCATTCTCTTTCTTGTTGTTGGTTTTACAGGTGAGAAAGCTGAAATTACAAAGGTAAGTGTCAAACCCCAGAGTTGAATCTGAATGTGTGCTGCTCAGGGTTTGTCTAAAGTACTTTCTTGCCTGTAGAAACTACAGTATCCTTTCATTTAATTTGATTTTCAAAACAAATGTTACATAAGTATGTATGCCCAGAAGCATAAAAAGAAATCAAACGAGCATAAGATGTCCCCTGCTGATGTCTAATTCGATTAATGATTTTTATAGAGTGGATATATTGCTATATATCCAGCAAGCCATCTTCTAGAACAATGGAAAGACAGGGTGAGCTAAATAGCTCACAAAAGTGTCAAATGTATAAAATTCTAGGGCTTGCTGACTGGGTTAAAGATTTACACTGGGTGGGACTGTCTAAGACAGAGAAGAATTTGTGCAGGGGTTAGGGGGGATGCATAAATTTCTCTTAAGCTACTGCCTGAATGGGTATTACTTAGAAACAAATCAATTTGTCTAATTTCTTCCAGACATTTCCTTGAACAAACAGTATAGTTCAATCTGCCCCTACTGAGTCATCATTAGGCAGTTTGTTTATTTGCCTATTTAACTGGGTTTTCCCAAAAGAAGGAGGGACCTTGCTACGCAAAGTCCTTTCCAGAAGTCACATCCATTTTACAAGACATGTGAAATAAAATGGAGAGAAAACGAAGGGCTGAGAAATCCTCAAAGCTGCATACATCTGGTTTTGATTTGGGTCTGTATTTTTCTTTTCCTCTGGTAGCTTTCATTTTCAAAGCGGCCAGTGGGTGAAACATTTTAATTGACGCAACCCTTTTTCCAATGTCCTGGTGGTCATCCCTGAAACTATGTCACACAGTTCTCTAAAAATGCATTGATGATAGAAATCCTCTGTCTCCTACTTTGTTTAGACACTTGCAAAAATCTTTCTTAATTGAGCCCACGTTTTGTAGAGTGCCTACGGTATCAATATTTCATAGCACTAAGATGAAACTTGGAGTAGTATCAGTTTCCCATTACCCCAACCACAGGCTTTACTTAGCATAGCAAGTCCTTTTTTTTTCTTTTTAATTATACTTTAAGTTTTAGGGTACATGTGCACAATGTGCAGGTTAGTTACATATGTATACATGTGACATGCTGGTGCGCTGCACCCACTAACTCGTCATCTAGCATCAGGTATATCTCCCAATGCTATCCCCCCCCATCCTCCCACCCCACAACAGTCCCCAGAGTGTGATGTTCCCCTTCCTGTGTCCATGTGTTCATTGTTCAATTCCCACCTATGAGTGAGAATATGCGGTGTTTGGTTTTTTGTTCTTGCCATAGTTTACTGAGAATGATGATTTCCAATTTCTTCTATGTCCCTACAAAGGACATGAACTCATCATTTTTTATGGCTGCATAGTATTCCATGGTGTATGTGTGCCACATTTTCTTAATCCAGTCTATCATTGTTGGACATTTGGGTTGGTTCCAACTCTTTGCTATTGTGAATAGTGCCACAATAAACATACGTGTGCATGTGTCTTTATAGCAGCATGATTTATAGTCCTTTGGGTATATACCCAATAATGGGATGGCAGGGTCAAATGGTATTTCTAGTTCTAGATCCCTGAGGAATCGCCACACTGACTTCCACAATGGTTGAGCTAGTTTACAGTCCCACCAACAGTGTAAAAGTGTTCCTATTTCTCCACATCCTCTCCAGCACCTGTTGTTTCCTGTAGCAGTACCATGCTGTTTTGGTTCCTGTAGCCTTGTAGTATAGTTTGAAGTCAGGTAGTGTGATGCCTCCAGCTTTGTTCTTTTGGCTTAGGATTGACTTGGTGATGTGGGCTCTTTTTTGGTTCCATATGAACTTTAAAGTAGTTTTTTCCAATTCTGTGAAGAAAGGCATTGGTAGCTTGATGGGGATGGCATTGAATCTATAAATTACCTTGGGCAGTATGGCCATTTTCATGATATTGATTCTTCCTACCCATGAGCATGGAATGTTCTTGCATTTGTTTGTATCTTGTTTTATTTCATTGAGCAGTGGTTTGTAGTTCTTGAAGAGGTCCTTCACGTCCCTTGTAAGGTGGATTCCTAGGTATTTTATTATCTTTGAAGCAATTGTGAATGGGAGTTCACTCATGATTTGGCTCTCTGTTTGTCTGTTGTTGGTGTATAAGAATGCTCGTGATTTTAGAAACTCACTCAAAACCACTCAACTACATGGAAACTGAACAACCTGCTCCTGAATGACTACTGGGTACATAACGAAATGAAGGCAGAAATAAAGATGTTCTTTGAAACCAATGAGAACAAAGACACAACATACCAGAATCTCTGGGACACATTCAAAGCAGTGTGTAGAGGGAAATTTATAGCACTAAATGCCCACAAGAGAAAGCAGGAAAGATCCAAAATTGACACACTAACATCACAATTAAAAGAACTAGAAAAGCAAGAGCAAACACGTTCAAAAGCTAGCAGAAGGCAAGAAATAACTAAAATCAGGGCAGAACTGAAGGAAATAGAGACATAAAAAAACCCTTCAAAAAATTAATGAATCCAGGAGCTGGTTTTTTGAAAGGATCAACAAAACTGATAGACCGCTAGCAAGACTAATAAAGAAAAAAAGAGAGAAGAATCAAATAGACGCAATAAAAAATGATAAAGGGGATATCACCACCGATCCCACCGAAATACAAACTACCATCAGAGAATACTACAAATACCTCTACACAAATAAACTAGAAAATCTAGAAGAAATGGGTTAATTCCTCGACACGTACACTCTCCCAAGACTAAACCAGGAAGAAGTTGAATCTCTGAATAGACCAATAACAGGAGCTGAAATTGTGGCAATAATCAATAGCTTACCACCAAAAAGAGTCCAGGACCAGATAGACTCACAGCCGAATTCTACCAGAGGTACAAGGAGGAACTGCTACCATTCCTTCTGAAACTATTCCAATCAATAGAAAAAGAGGGAATCCTCCGTAACTCATTTGATGAGGCCAGCATCATCCTGATACCAAAGCCGGGCAGAGACACAACCAAAAAAGAGAATTTTAGACCAATATCCTTGATGAACATTGATGCAAAAATCCTCAATAAAATACGGGCAAACCAAATCCAGCAGCATATCAAAAAGCTTATCCACCATGATCAAGTGGGCTTCATCCCTGGGATGCAAGGCTGGTTCAATATACGCAAATCAATAAATGTAATCCAGCATATAAACACAACCAAAGACAAAAACCACATGATTATCTCAATAGATGCAGAAAAGGCCTTTGACAAAATTCAACAAACCTTCATGCTAAAAAGTCTCAATAAATTAGGTATTGATGGGACGTATCTCAAAATAATAAGAGCTATCTATGACAAACCCACAGCCAATATCATACTGAATGGGCAAAAACTGGAAGCATTCCCTTTGAAAACTGGCACAAGACAGGGATGCCCTCTCTCACCACTCCTATTCAACATAGTGTTGGAAGTTCTGGCCGGGGCAATCAGGCAGGAGAAGGAAATAAAGGGTATTCAATTAGGAAAAGAGGAAGTCAAATTGTCCCTGTTTGCAGACGACATGATTGTATATCTAGAAAACCCCATCATCTCAGCCCAAAATTTCCATAAGCTGATAAGCAACTTCAGCAATGTCTCAGGATAGCATAGCAAGTCCTTTAGATTTTCAAGGATTATCCAAAAAGTCAATCAGAAAAATAAACACAAGCTTTATTCAGTTTATACTGCATCTGAAATATTAATCTTTACAATAATTAGACTTAACTTTTTCCTCTTCTGAAGCACAGAGGAAGGCTGTCTTAGTCCATTTCAGGCTGCTGTAAGAGAATACCACAGTCAGGGCTTATAAACAACAGACTTTTATCGCTCACAGTTCTGGAGGCTGGAAGTCCAAGACCAAGGTGTGGCAGTTTCAGTGTCTGGTGAGGGCTTCCTGGTTCATAGATGGCACCTTCTCACTGTGTCTTCAAATGGTAGAAGGAGTGAGGGAGCTCTCTGGGGTGCATTTTATGAGGGCACTGATCCCACTCATGAGGCTCCATGCTCATGACCTCATCACTTCCCCATGCCTCACCTCCTAGTACCTTTGGAGTTAATGTTTCAAAATAGGAATTTGAGGAGATATGGACAAGCTGCAGGTATTCAAGAATATTACATTAATTTAGGAAGATAAATACAGGAAGGAATTTAAGTTTAGCTGCAAATGCATGTGCACGCACACACACACACACACACACACACACACACACACACACAAATACAAGTTTTCTCATTTTTTTGAAAGCTAGCTCCCCATAGGCAGAGATCTGCAGAAGATGAGGCTCTGGACTTGATAATGTGTTCTAATTCTCCCAAATGTTGTTTTATGAACTTGGATACTATGGTACTAGCTGAAAAAAATTTCAGCATTTTTTATAATCTTATTTTATAATTTTATAAAGTTCAGGATTTTATAATTATTTTTGACAAAATTTTTTATAACGTAACCACAACCTTCTTTATTTTTATTTTTTAATTTTTTTAAAGTCAGGGTCTCCCTCTGTTGCCCATGCTGGAATGCAGTGGTGCAATCATGGCTCACTGCAGCCTTGACCTCCCAGGATCAAGAGATCCTCCTGTCTCAGCCTCACAAGTAGCTGGGACTACAATGTGTGCCATTATGCCCAGTTAATTTTTTAAACTATTTGTAGAGATGAGGTCTTACTATGTTATCCAAGCTGGTCTCAAACTCCTGGACTTTTTCCTTTCTTTTCTGCTTCTTGTTAACCAAACTACAGAAATGTTAAATTTACTTATCTATGTTATTTTTTCTCCATACCTTTGATCTTGGCCTTTTTGTGTTCTGCATTTCAGACTTTTGCAAACAGCAAAGACCTAGATTTTTTTCAATCTCATCTGAGAGTTCTTGTCTTCTAAGATAGATTTTCATATGATTTCTATTTATTACAGTTGATAACAGTTTTACAATGTATTTCTTGTGTTCAATTTTGTACATTCTATTAACCTTTCACTTTCTTTGTTTTGATAATTTCTATTTTCTGATACCTGAGGGTTTTTTTAAGTTTTTTTCCTTTTTGAGAAAGCTGTTTTCAGTTTTTATTATTTTACTTACTGGCAATAAATTTCACATGCATAGCAACATTCACAGGAAATAAAATAAAGCAAATATTTATACTCTCCTCCCAAAAAAAGAAATAACTTGTTTTAGCTCTGACCATTGCATTTCTCTCCTACAAGCTATTATGACCTTTAATTTTAGGTCCACTTTCCTTTTAGACCCTCAATAGAGAATCACTTGAACCCGGGAGGTGGAGGTTGCAGTGAGCCGAAATTGTGCCACTGCACTCCAGCCTGGGTGACAGAGCAAGACTCCATCTCAAAAAATAAAAATAATAAAATAAAAAATGGACCCTCAATGGAGGTATCCTTTTATTATTGGTGCTGGATGTTGATGGTGTTTTATATGGCCGACACTAGTTTTGATTTAACTCTGGTTCCTCTATTTTTCGATGACCAGTAATTTTTTTTATTACTTAACTTGTATTTTAAGTACAGGTGTACAAGTGCAGGTTTGCTATATAGGCAAACTTGTGTCATAGGGATTTGTTGTCACCCAGGTACTAAGCCTGGTAGCCATTAGTTGTTTTTCCTGATCCTCTCCCTCCTCCCACTCTTCACCCACCAAAAGGACCTAGTGTCCGTTGTTCCCCTCTATGTGTCCAGGAGTTCTCATCACTTAGCTCCACTTGTAAGTAAGAGCATGCAGTATTTTGTTTTCTGTTTCTGCGTTAGTTTGCTAAGGATAATGGCCTCCATGATCCCACAAAGGACATGATCTCGTTCTGAATTCAGTCTATCATTGATGGGCGTTTAGGTTGTGTATTACCCCGTTTTCAAATTGCTATAAAGAACTTCCCTGAGACTGGGTAATTTGTAAAGGAAAGAGGTTTAATTGACTCACAGTTCTACATGGCTGGGGAGACCTCAGGAAACTTACAATCATGGCGGAAGGCAAAGGGGAAGCAGGGTACCTTCTTCACAAGGCCACAGGAAAGAGACAGTGCAGGGAAAACTACCACTTTTTTTTTCTTGAGACGGAGTTTCACTCTTGTGCCCAGGCTGGAGTGCAATGGTGTGATCGCGGCTCACTGCAACCTCTGCCTCCCGGGTTCAAGCGATTCTCCTGCCTCAGCACCCTTAGTAGCTGAGACTACAGGTGCTCACCACCCAGCCCAGCTAAATTTTTGTATTTTGGGTAGAAACGGGGTTTGGTCATGTTGCCCAGGCTGGTCATGATCTCCTGACCTCAAGTGATCCGCCTGCCTTGACCTCCCAAAGCGCTGGGATGACAAGGGTAAGCCACTGCTCCTGACTGGAAAACTGCCACTTTTAAACCATCAGATCTCATAAGAACTTCCTCACTATTATGGGGACAGCACTGGGGAAACCGCTGTCATGATCCAATTACCTCCCTCCAGGGCCCTCTCTCTACACATGGGGATCATGGGGTTTACAGTTCGAGGTGAGATTTGGGTGGGGACGCAGGGCCAAGCTACATCAGGTTGATTCCATGGATGCCCCGTATTTCCTGCATCTTCTGCCTTCCTCCAGCTTTGGTACCTCTCTCCCTATAGAGCATCTTTGAGTAGTTCCAATAGTGAGTCGAAGTAAGTGGAAAACGTTCTGGCTCAAAAACGGTGCATTTATTGCCTGCTTACTCCGGAATTGCTGAGCTCAGTGTAGAGCTGTCCACAGTTAGGAATTCCCCCTGAGGGCTCTGAAGACCTTTTCCCATTGTTCCCAGGGCCCTCCCAACCCTGCTGGTTTGTCTTGTTCAGGTCATGAAGGATGTCTGGGGGCCACTTGTCTGGCTATTTAAAGGATTTTTCTTTGTTTTGGGGGCTCCCATATTTTTCCCGAGTGTTGTGTATTGGCTTTTACTTGTACTCTTTGACTTGAAGAAAGAAATTCTGTGAAGGATCTGAGAAAATAATCAACCATTGTTTGTTTAAATATGGCTAAGCCCTGCCCTCTCCAAACAGCCCTTAGGGGCATTGAGTAAAAGTTTTGGCGACACCACCTCCTTTGTTCTGTGGCTTTGAAACTCATTTTCATATTTGCCATGTCAGAACTTCTTGGAGCTTGGAATTATCTCCTGGACTCTGAATTGCTTTTTTGATTCAAGTAATCCTTTGGGTTATTTGGTTATTTCAACAAATATGGGTGTGTGTACACACAAATATGTATACACAGACACACGCATGTATTTGTAAATATATATGTGCATAAGTGTATATATAGTCATATGTTTATATGATCATTTAAGTATATATACATATGTTTACAAGTATATAGGTATGTGTACGTATCTACACATGTGTATTTCTAAGTATATAGGTATATATACTTGTATGTTTATATGCTATATAAGTGTATATACATATATTTACAAATACATATATATTTGCACATTTAGACATGAGTATTTGTAAGTATATGTGTATATATACTTAAGATAATGTATCAATATATTCTGAAATACATATGTTTACATAGATACATATTTACACATGTATATTTGCACATAAACATGTACATATGTTAATACTTACATGTTTATATACTTATATAAATATATTTGCATGCATATTTATAAATATGTATGTACACACATTATACACATATATGTATTTGTCCATATGTATGTACATGTGTGTTTATACTGATATATTCATGTAAGTATACATACATGTAATTTACAAATACATAAGTACATATACATATATACCCATATATTTACAAATACACTTGATTATTTCAAAAATCCCATTGTTCTTTATTATTTATTATTTTAATTAACAAATTTAAACGATATACATTTATGGGATACAACGTGATGTTTTGATATATGCACACACGGTGGAACAGCTACATCAAGCTAAGAAATATATCCGTCACATTTCATACTTATCATTCAAGAGGAAGGGTGGAAATCTTTACAAGGTGTTCCTTTAGCAATCCCCAAATGTACCATGCATTGTTATTAACTATCATCCCCATGTTGTATAACAGATCTCCTGAACTTATTCTTCCTGTGTTCCTTGCACATCTCCCCTTTTTAACATTTCATCCCCAGAAGACTTTGTCTGTTTTCATTGTGATCTCAGCATCTTTTCATGCTTCAGTTCCTTCCAAATTAGGGGATTCACCTTCTCCTGCAGACTGCTGTCCAATCAGCTGACATTCTCTGGGGACACACCAGCCCATTGCTGAGGCTGTGGATGGGAATTCATTGTGAGATATTTTGCTGTGTGTAGATGGGCTCTGCAAGGTTACAAGAAACAAAGTCAATAAAAGGGTTCAAGGCTCACATGTTTTTCATGTTTGAAAAGCCAAGTTCAAATTTTTTTGATTTTTTTAATTGATGTATAATGATTAAATTGGATTATTTGGGGTATCCATCATGTGTAGTATTTTTAATTTCTTTTCTTTTTTTTTTTCTTTCAGATAGTGTCTCACTTTGTTGCCCAGGCTGGAGTGCAGTGGTGCAGTCATAGCTCACTGCAGCCTCTACCTCCTGGGCTCAAGTGATCCTCTTGCCTCAGCCTCCTAAGTAGCTGGAACTGCAGGTGTGCACCACCACACCCAGCTAATTAAAAAAAATGTGTAGAGATGAGGGTCTTGCTATGTTGCTCAAGTTGGTCTTGAACTCCTAAGCTCAAGGGATCCTCCCCCAACAGCTTCTCAAAAGGCTGGGATTACAGGTGTGGGCCACTGGGCCCAGCCCTATGTTGGTAACATGTCATCTCTTTTCCTAGCTACTTTGAAATACACAATACATTATTACTAACTATAGTCACCCCACTCTGCAAGACAGGTGGTTCTTGTTTTTACTCTTATGTAGTAGCTTTAAAAATTGACCTCATCATGGGAGGATCACCTAAGCCTTGGAGAAGTGAAGGGTTGCAGTGAGCAGTGATCATCCCACTGCCCTCCAGCCTGGGTGACAGAGCAAGATCCTGTCTCAAAAAAAAAAAAAAAAAAAAAATAGAAGAAAGAAAGAAAAAGAGAAAGAAAGAAAAGAAAAAAAATGACCCCATGGAGATAGAGAGCAATATGACAGATGTCAGAGGCTAGAAAGGGCATGTGGGTAGGAGGAAGGATAAACAAAGATTGGTGAGTATAAGCCCCAATGTTTGAATAAAAAATTCTTAGAATTATCCCAATTCCAGGAATTGGTGGAAAAGGGGTAAAACGTCACCATTCTACCAGTGCTTGGATGTGCACCTGTGCTGAACCATGAGAGACCAAGCTCAGGCACTTTGGTTGAGCTTGGCCAGAGGGATAGCTCTTACCTAGCATTTGCAGATATAACCCCAGTTGTGTTCCAGCAAACTGCCCAGACATCTGCAGACCTTACTGTTCTGGATCCTGACTTCTTTCCATTTCCCCTCTGGGCCGGACCTGTTGCAAATATGCAGGATGGACCCGAAGAAAAATGTCACTGAATTGAGAAGTGATCCTTCAAATACAAAGCAACCTCTCCAGTAGGAATGTTGTGCTGATTCATGAACATCTCTGAGTTATTAGAGCATCAGAAAATCTGCACTAAAATTCATCTGTCCTCCTCAGGAATGAAAGTGAAGGGCCAATGCTTTCATTTGACTTCTCCAGAAATGAGCTAAGCAATGGCATGGCCCAGGCTGTGACAACTGTCACATGGAGAATGGTGGCAGCCTGAGGGATACATAGAGAAGCTAAATGTGGAGTGGGGATATTCCTGAAGACAGAGCCAGCCCTAAGGCACATACCCCAGACATGAGCAATTCACACCAAAGAAAGGGCTCCAGCATGCAGGTGGCTTTAGAATGAATCCGTAAGCACATGGTTGGTGCCAGCCCCTTTGGTGACATCATATCCATGCTTCTCCTGCACATTCTGTGTTTGCTGCTGCTGCAGATCCCACTCACCAAACAGATCCACATTCAAGTGAACATATGAGGCCCCCACACCCTCCACCCCTTCAAGACTGGAGCTCTTACTCCAAAGACATTGAACACCCCTGGTCCCAGCTAATTTCCACTGCTGCATCTTGCACAACCCAAGAGGTGTAAGCCAAGCCTTGATTATGGAATCTAAGAGGGAAGACAAGCTCTTCATGATAACCTGCCTACCACCACCAGCTCTAGGTCCACAGGGCTTGTGGCCCATAAGGTAATGGAGCTCATGAGTGTGTTGTACCTTGGGGGTGTTTTGCTGCCTTGCATGTCAAGCTCTGTAGCCTTCCAGATCCCCTTGTTCTCTGACTGATAAAGGGAAAAGGAAGCGATTGAACATTCCTGCAGTGATATTGCTACAGTCTGAATGTCTGTGTCCTCTTCCAAATGCACATGTTGCAATTGAATCCTGTGATGGTTAATAGTGAGTGTCAACTTGATTGGATTGAAGGATGCAAACCATTGTTCTGGGTGTGACTGTGAGGGCATCGCCAAAAGAGATTAATATTTGAGTCAGTGGACTGGGAGAGCAGACTCACCCTCAATCTGGGTGGGCACAATTTAATCAGCTGCCAGCACAGCCGGAATAAAAGCAGGCAGAGGAACAAGGAAAGACTAGACTGGCTGAGTCTTCCAGCCTCCATCTTTCTATGGTACTGGATGCTACCTGCCCTCAAACATCAGACTCCAAGTTCTTCAGCTTTTGGACTCCTGGACTTACACGAGTGGTTTGCCAGGCACTTTCAGGCCTTTGGGAACAGACTCAAGGCTGCACCATTGGCTACCTACTTTTGGGGGTTTTGGGACTCGAACTGGCTCTTTTGCTCCTCCGCTTGCAGATGGCCTTTTGTGGGACTTCACCTTGTGATCATGTAAGTCAACACTTTTTAATAAACTCCTTTCATAACCACATCTATCTGTCCCTCTAGAGAATCCTGACTAATACAAATCTGCAATATGATAGTACAGAAAGGTGAAGCCTACGAGAAAGGGTTAAATCATGAGGACTCCAGCCTTATGAATGGGATTAGTGCCCTTATAAAAGAGACTCCCTTCCACAGTGTAAAGATGCAGCAAGAAAGCACAATCTTGGAAGCAGAGAGTGAGTCCTCACCAGACACTAAATTTGCCATGCCTTGACCTTGGACTTCCAGCCTCCAGAGCTGTGAGCAATAAATGCCTGTTGTTTGTAAGCCACTCAGGCTGTATTAGTCTGCTCTCATGCTGCTAATAAAGGCATACCCAAAACTAGGTAATTTATGAAGGAAAGAGGTTTAATTGACTCAAAGCTCCACATGGCTGAGGAGGCCTCACAATCATGATGAAAGATCAAGGGATATCTTACTTGGCCACAGACAAGAAGTAAGATTGAACAGGGAAACTCCTCCTTAGAAAACTATCAGAAGTTGTGAGACTTATTCACTACCATGAGAACAGCACAGGAAAGAACCAGCCACATGATTCAATTACCTCCTGCCCCACCGACTCCTTCCCATGACACCTGGGAATTGTGGGAGCTCCAATTCAAGATGAGAGTTGGGTGGGGACACAGCCAAACCATATTATAGGCTAAGGCCTTTTGTTGTAGCAGCCCAAACTAAGACAGATATCAAACCCAAAGTCAATGCCATCCCCTATAAGCACAAGTGTTGGAGCAATCTCTTGCAAACATTTATCTGAGCTCAGCTGGCTCTGAGAAGTGGGATTTTTTGCCTCATTCATTGGGTCCTAAAGCCTGTCATCAAGCATGGCAGTGTATGTGGTTATATTGGAAGGACAACATGGTAGATCTTGTGGTGATGGAAATGTTCTGTCCCTTGACTGTACCGAGGTCAATATCCTGGTGTGAGATTGTACTGTAGTTTTATCAGAGCCCTTCAAACCAGAGTGACTTTATCTTGAATAGGGGCTGGGTAACACGATGCTGAGACATGCTGGGCTGCATTCCCAGGTTAGGCTTTCTTAATCACAGGATGAGATAGGAGGTCGGCACAAGATACAGGTCATAAAGACCTTGCTGATAAAACAGTTTGTGGTAAAGAAGCCAGCCAAAACACACTAAAACCAAGATGGTGACAAGAGTGACTTCTGATTGTCCTCACTGCTCATTATACACTAATTATAATGCATTAGCTGCTAAAAGCCACTTCCACTAGCACCACGAGAGTTTACAGATGCCATGGCAACGTCTGGAAGTTACCCTGTATGGTCTAAAAAGGGGAGAAACCCTCAGTTCTGGGAATTGCCCACCCCTTTCCCAGAAAACTCATGAATAATCCACCCCTTGCTTACCATATAATAAGGAAATAACCATAAAAGTAGCCAACCAGCAGCCCTCGGGGCTGCTCCGCCTATGGAATACCCATTCTTTTATTCTTTCACTTTCTTAATCAACTTGCTGTCATTTTATGGATTTGTCTTGAATTCTTTCTTGCACAAGATCCAAGAATCCTCTCTTGGGGGTCTGGATTGAGACTCCTTTTTGGTAACAGTTTTGCAAGACATTACCCCTGGGGGAAAAGTAAAGAGTACAAGGGATCTCCCTGTGTTATTTCATTTTCTTTTTCTTCCCTTTTTTTTTTTTTTTTTTTTTTTTGAGACAGGGTTTCACTCTGTTGCCCAGACTGGAGTGCAGTGGTATGATCTCAGCTCACCACAACCCCATCTCCCAGGCTCAAGTGATTCTCCTGCCTCAGCCTCCCAAGTAGCTGGGATTGCAGGAACCTGCCATCACAATCAGGTAATTTTTTTGTGTTTTTAGTAGAGATGTGGTTTCACCACCTTGGCCAGGTTTGTCTCAAACTCTTGACTTCAAATAATCCACCAGCTGTGGCCTCCCAAATCCCTGTGTTATTTCTTACAACTGTGTGTGAATCTAAAACTATCTCAAATTTAAATGGTTAATTTCTCTAAAGTTCTTAAAAGTTTCAAAGATTAAAGAAATGTATGGATCAGTTCCCTGAACATTTGTCTCAATATACACAAAGATATTCTACATTTTTTCCCTCTACAAATGCTGGCTTTCAAGCCAACCATCTTAAAAAGGGTTCAAACCAAAAACCATGATAATAATTCAAGAGTCAAAGCAGAAGAATGTTGCTTTTTTCTAAGTAAGTGTCCATCCATCTCTTGAAGCTGTGGAATTCTTTGCCTTCATGCATTCTAAGCCCTGAGCGAAAGAGCATTCACAGGGTATGAAAAAATATCTGAATATATTTCTATATAAAGTAATTATCAGCACAAATATGTGTGATGCAACATCCCTGTGGTCAAACACTTCTCAGTCTTCATTGAGTAGAGAACACACAACTAATTAAGCTGGAAATCACAAGACAATGTGATCTGAGCAATGCTGGTGTTATGTCCTGGAGATTTTAGAGTTCTTTTAGGAATTATCTCACATTGGCCTTTGATCAACAGAAAAGAGAGAGATGGCTGAGAAATGCCTACGGAACACAATTTAGGATAAGTATGATCTTGAATGGTGATTAAAGACATAATTGCACAAGTTTTTGGTATAGAGTATTCCATGCATTAATGGTGAATATGTCATCATCATAAAAATATTGATTCCCTGTGACAGATGGTGCAGATGAGGAGTAATTTGTGGCCCTCCCTCTCTGCTGTTAAGCATCCTTTAGTAATTAACTTGATAGGGACCATGATACTCAATCCCTGTCATGGATGTTAACTCTGGAATAATGTACAGGCTTTGCAAGTATTCTCTTCAATGCTAGAAGATTTAGCATATGCAATGCATTTTTTCTAGAAAATGATTCTTTTTTTTTTTGAGAAAGAGTCTCGCTCTGTCACCCAGGCTGAAGAGCAGTGGCATGATCTTGGTTCACTGCAAGAGTTGCCTCCCAGGTTCCTGCCATTCTCCTGCCTCAGCCTCCTGAGTAGCTGGGACTACAGGCACCCACCACCACATCAGGCTAATTTTTTGTATTTTTAGTAGAATGGGTTTTCACCATGTTAGCCAAGATGGTCTCGATCTCCTGACCTCGTGATCCACCTGCCTTGGCCACCCAAAGTTCTGGGATTACAGGCATGAGCCACCATGCCCAGCCAAGAACGATTCTTTGTATGCACACGTGTATGGTTTTGTTTTGTTTTGTTTTGTTTTGTTTGGGTCAGCTATGACTCTTTGTCCTTCCAGCAGAGTAGAAAACCACACCAATTTGCTGTGGTTTAAATATTTAAATATGTTCTTGAAATATTTTCAGAATCTTCCCTCTTCCCATGAAAGTGACATATATGTCACTTCACTCATGAAATGCTCCCCTTAAAGAATGGATTCCAGACATTCTGAGGTGAGGGGTTCTCCTTTCAAGGAAAATGTTTACAAAGCACTTAATGTCAACTCAGCCTCCACGACCGTAGTTTTTTTTTATACTTTAAGTTCTGGGGTACATGTGCAGAATGTGCAGTTTTCTTACGTAGTTATACATGTGCCACAGCAGTTTGCTGCACCCATCAACCTGTCACCTACTATCCTTCCCTTAGCTCCCAACCCCAAAACAGGCCCCTATGTGTGATGTTCCCTTCCCTGTGTCCATGTGTTCTCATTGTTCAACTTCCACTTATGAGTGAAAACATGCAGTGTTTGGTTTTCTGTTCTTGTGTTAGTTAGCTGAGAACAATGGTTTCCAGCTTCATCCATGTCCCTGCAAAGGACATGAACTCATCATTTTTTGTGGCTGTGTAGTATTCCATGGTGTATATATGCCACATTTTGTTTCTCCAATCTATCATTGATGGACATTTGGGTTGGTTCCAAATCTTTGCTATTGTGAAGAGTGCTGCAATAAACATATGGGTGCATGTGTCTTTATAGTGTCTTTATAGTAGAATGATTTATAATCCTTTGGGTATATACCCAGGAATGATATTGCTGGGTCAAATGGTATTTCTAGTTCTAGATCCTTGAGGAATCACCACACGTCTTCCACAATGATTGAACTAATTTATACTCCCACCAACAGTGTAAAAGCATTCCTATTTCTCCACATGCTCTCCAGCATCTGTTGTTTCCTGACTTTTTTTTTTTGAGATGGAGTCTCATGCTGTCACCCAGGCTGGAGTGCAGTGGCACAATCTTGACTCACTGCAAGCTCCACCTCCCAGGTTCCATTACCCAGGTTCCATTCCCCAGGTTCCATACGCCATCCCGCTTACCATTCCCCTGCCTCAGCCTCCCGAGTAGACAGGACTACAGGAGCCTGCAACCATGTCCAGCTAATTTTTTGTATTTTTAGTAGAGATGGGGTTTCACTGAAGAGGCCAGCTTGGTTGGGGAGACCCTAACCTAGCAGCACTAGAGGAATTAAAGACACACACACAGAAATATAGAGGTGTAACATGGGAAATCAGAAGTCTCACAGCCTTCAGAGCTGAGAGCCCCAAACAGAGATTTACCCACGTATTTATTAACAGCAAGCCAGTCATTAGCATTGTTTCTATAGATATTCAATTAACTAAAAGTATCCCTTATGGGAAACAAAGGGATGGGCTGAAATAAAGGGATGGGTCTAGCTAGTTATCTGCAGCAGGAACATGCCCTTAAGGTACAGATAGCTCATGCTATTGTTTTTGGTTTAAGAATGTCTTTAAGCAGTGTTCCACCCTGGGTGGGCCAGGTGTTCCTTGCCCTAATTCCAGTAAACCCACAATCTTCTGGCATGAGTGTAATGACCATCATGAGCATGTCAGAGTGCTGCAAAGATTTTGTTTATGGCCAGTTTTGGGGCCCGTTTATAGCCAGATTTTGGGGGGCCTCTTCCCTACATTCACTGCATTAGGCAGGATGGTCTCAATCTCCTGACCTCATGATACACCTGCCTAGGCCTCTCAAAGTGCTGGGATTACAGGCATGAGCCACCACACCTGGCCATTTTCTGACTTTTTAATGATTGCCATTCTAACTAGCATGAGATGGTATCTCATCGTGGTTTTGATTTGCATTTCTCTAATGGCCAGTGATGATAACCTTTCTTTCAAATGTTTGTTGGTTGCGTAAATGTTTTCATTAGAGAAGAGTCTGTTCATATGTTTTGCCAACTTTTTGATGGGGTCTTTTTTTTTTCTTGTAAATTTGTTTAAGTTCTTTGTAGTTTCTGGATATTAGCCTTTTGTCAGGTGGATAGATTGCAGAATTATTCTCCCATTCTTTAGGTTTCCTGTTCACTCTGATGATTGTTTTCTTTTTCTGTGCAGAATTCCTTAGTTTAATTAGATCCCATTTGTTGCAATTGTTTTGGTGTTTTAATCATAAACCCTTTGCCCATGCCTATGTCCTGAACTGTATTGCTTAGGTTTTCTTTTAGGATTTTTATTCCTTTAGGTCTTACATTTAAGTCTTTAATTCATCTTGAGTTAATTTTTGTATAAGGTGTAAGGAAGGGGTCCAGTTTCAGTTTTCTGCATATGGCTAGCCAGTTTTCCCAACACCATTTATTAAATAGGGAATCCTTTCCCCATTGCTTCTTTGTGTCAGCCTTGTCAAAGATCAAGAGGGTTTTTTGAAAAGATCAAAAAAATAGATACATTGCTAGCCAGACTAATAAAGAAGACAAGAGACAGGAATCAAATAAACACAATAAAAAATGATAAAGGGGATATCCTCACCACTAATGCCACAGAAATACAAACTACAATCAGAGAATACTATAAACACCTCTACACAAATAAACTAGAAAATCTACAAGAATTGGATAAATTCCTGGACACATGCAGCCTTCCAAGTCTAAACCAGGAAGAAGCTGAATCCCTGAATAGACCAATAACAAGATCTGAAAATGAGGTAGTAATTAATAGCCTACCAATCAAAAAAAAAAAGTCCAGGATCAGACGGATTCACAGCTGAATTCTACCAGAGGTACAAAAAGGAGCTGGTACTATTCCTTCTGAAACTTTTCCAAACAATAGAAAAAAGGACATCCTCCCTAACTCATTTTATGAGGCCAGCATCATCCTGATACTAAAACCTGGCAGAGACACAACAAAAAAAGACAATTTCAGGCCAGAATCCCTGATGAACAATAATGCAAAAAATCCTTAATAAACTACTGGCAAACTGAATCCAGGAGCATATCAAAAAGCATATTCATCATGATGAGGTCAGCTTCATCTCTGGGATGTAAGGCTGGTTCAACATACACAAATCAAGAAATGTAATTCGTCACCTAAACAGAACCAATGACAAAAACTGCATAATAATCTCAATAGAAGCGGAAAAGGCCTTTGACAAAAATTCAACAGCCCTTCATGCTAAAAGCTCTCAATAAACTAGGTATCAATGGAATGTATCTCAAAATCATAAGAGCTGTTTATGACAAACCCACAGCCAATATCATACTGAATGGGCAAAAACTGGAAGGATTCCCTTTGCAAACCCCCACACGACAAGGATGCCCTCTCTCACAACTCCTATTTGACATAGTATTGGAACTTCTGGCTAGGGCAATCAGGAAAAGAAATAAATAAATCATATTCAAGTAGGAAAAGAGGAAGTCAAATTATCTCTGTTTGCAGATGACATGATTGTATGTTTAGAAAACCCCATCATCTCAGCCCAAAATCTCCTTAAGCTGATGAGCAACTTCAGAAAGTCTCAGGATACAACATCAATGTGCAAAAATCACAAGCACTCCTATACATCAATAACAAACAGAGAGCCAAATCATGAGTTAATTCCCATTCACAATTTCTACAGAGAATAAAATACCTAGGAATCCAACTTGTAAGGGTTGGGAAGGACCTCTTCAAGGAGAACTACGAACCACTGTTCGAGAAAATAAGAGAGGATGAAAACAAATGGAAAAACATTCCATATTCATGGATAGGAACAATCAATATCGTGAAAATGGCCATATTGCCCAAAGTAATTTATAGATTCAATGCTACCCTCATCGAGCTACCATGGGCTTTCTTCACAGAATTGGAAAAAACTACTTTAAAGTTCATATGGAACCAAAAAAGAGCCCACATAGCCAAGAAAATCCTAAGCAAAAAGAACAAAGCTGGAGGCATCATGCTACCTGACTTCAAATTATACTACAAGGGTACTGTAACCAAAACAGCATGGTACTGATACCAAAACAAATATAGAGACCAATGGAACAGAACAGAAGCCTCAGAAATAACACCACACATCTATGATCACAGATTTTTAATAAAGCTGGGTTAAGTGTGTTCACTGGTGGAATCATGTGGTTGAGGGAATTGGGAGCAGAGAAATATGCAACTAGAGAATCATTAACTCAGTGGCAACTGGAGCATATTTTCAAGCAGCGGAAAATTATATAACAACACATTTTTCAAAAATATGTCAACAAAAACTGTCAAACTCTGGAAAATTATTTGAAGAGATTTATTTTGAGCACACATGACCATGACCCATAACACAGCCCTCAGGATCTCCTGAGATCATGTGCCCAAGGTGATTGGGGCACAACTTGGTTTTATACATTTTAGGGAGAAATGAGACTTTGGTCAAATACATTTAAGGTTGTACCCAGAGAGGTGGGACAACTTGATTCAGGCTGGGAGTCAGGGGGCTAGGATTCAGGTTATAGATGGATTTAATGTTTTTCTGACTGGCAATTGGTTGAGTTTATCTAAAGACCTGGGGTCAATAGAAAGGAAATATCTAGATTAAGATAGGGGATGAGAGACTGAAGTTCTATCATGCAGATGAAGCCCCCAGGTAGCAGGCTTCAGAGAGAATAGATTGTAAATGTTTCTTATCAGAAGTAAGGTCTGTTTTGATGTTAATGATGGAGGGCTCTAATGAGGCACGTGCAACTCCACTTTTCATCATGGCTTGAACCAATCTTCCAGGTTAAATTTTATTTTAATTAATTAATTTATTTATTTATTTTGAGATGTTGTATCACTCTGTTGCCCAGGCTGGAGTGCAATGGCATGATCTTGGCTCACTGCAACCTCCACCTTCCAGGTTCAAGCGATTCTCCTGCTTCAGCTTCCTCAGTAGCTTGGATTACAGGCACCATACACCTGGCTAATTTTTGTATTTTCAGTAGAAATAGGGTTTCATCATGTTGGCCAGACTGGTCTTGAACTCCTGACCTCAAGTGATCCATCCGCCTTAGCCTCCCAAAGTGCTGGGATTACAGGCTTGAGCCACCGCACCCAGCCTGGGTTACATTTTAAAGTGCCCTGGAGGAGAAAGTCCATTCAGTTCTTAGGGGAGCCTTAGAACTGTATTTTTGGTTTACAAATGCCACACTAAAGTTTTAGCAACAACAGTGATAGAATTAAAGATCTGTCAATTATGATAACCTTGTGGTTTTCCTCTGGGACATGCACCATCTATAGGAGTTTTAATTTCCACATGGTGTCTTTATTGCTCAGAATTGCTGGCATCCTAACTTGGGAACTTGTTTCAGGATGAACACTCCTAACAAGAGCAGGACTGTCTATAGTTTCTTGAAAATTTTATTTTTCCACCCAGTCTCTGTGCTGACCTCTCTACTTTCCCCTTGGTCTCTGTGCCATTTGTCTGATGCATACC
This sequence comes from Homo sapiens, assembly GCF_000001405.40. NCBI lineage: Eukaryota > Metazoa > Chordata > Mammalia > Primates > Hominidae > Homo > Homo sapiens. Next base: position 7,508,871 of record NC_000024.10, on the reverse strand, counting down.
CTAAAAAATTAGATGTTATGGGGTCTGGCTAATTATCACCCATCCCAACTTTTCATAAAATTTTTAGCTCCAATACATAAAAAATAAAAACTAAAATAAAGGCATCATTTGAATTATCAGATTCTAACTTGTATAAACACATTGCCAATCATTATCTGTTATTAAGTAAGTAAAGATCTATGCCTCATATCTAAGAGACTGTCAAGAGCTAATTTTTTGGCTGGGAACCATGGATCGCACCTATAATCCCAGCAATTTGGGAGGCTGAGGTGGGAGGATTGCTTGAGCCCAGGAGTCCAAGACCAGTCTGGGCAACAAGACAACACCCAGTCTCTACTAAAAATACAGAAATTAGCTTGGCATGGTGTTGTGCACCTGTAGTCCCAGCCACTCGGGAGGCTGAGGTGGGAGGATCGCTTGAGCCTGGGAGGTCGAGGCTGCAGTGAGCTGTGACTGCACCACTGCACTCCAATCTGGGTGACAGACTGAGACCCTCATCTTAAAAAACAAAAATAAGAAACTGATTTTTCTACCAATTCTGAGGCATTTGAACTTATATAATGATAATAAAACCCTCTTGGTCTCAATTTCCTCGTCTGGACCAGATCATCTCTAAAGCTTTTTCCAACTGTAGTGACACGTGTATAGTTCTATTACTTAATTTCCGAGCATAAGAGGAACTCTAAATGGATTTTTTCCCTGTCTTTAATCCGCTTACTCTGTAAACATTTTTCAACTTTGAATTTTGAAATCATGATAGACTCAACAGTGCTGCAAAAGAGTATAAGGCATTCCCTCTCATGTGTTTTTTAAAAAATAATGTAATATTTATTGGAGAGAGATGAACTAATATGTAAATTACTGAAATTAGCTGGTAATGTACTTTGTCTTTGGAAATGTTTTATTGTTTCATTTATACTCCTATCCCCCAAATCCCATAATGTATCACCTTGCATTATTGATCAAGAAGATCAACTTCAATTGATAAGTAAGATTGGCTATTATGTAACAATAGCAGCAAATAATTGTGTTCAAATGTGGGTTTGTACGTAGAAAAATTGATAGGGCTAGAGATTTAGGTTTACAAGTTATCCTGTTAGAGGCGATATTGAAGTCATTTTGGAAGGAAACATTGTGAAGTAAGCCATTTACGGAAGATGGGAAAAAAAGGTGATTAAAGTCAGGAATGCTTTTATGAGCAATAAGTACTAAAAGCAAATTAGGGAAACAGTATTAAGAAGCATTCCATGACATGATTTTTAGTAAAATAGAGAATAGTTAACTTTTGGGTATAAATCTATTGATAAATACTATAAAAGCAAAAAGAGGCTTAAAGAAAGACCAGTCAGATTTGGTGGCTTATGCCTATAATCCCAGCATGTTGGGAGGCTGAGACAGGAGGATCACTTGAGTTTAGGAGTTCAAGACCAGCCTGGGCAACATAGCAAGACTGCCATCTCTGCAATAAAATTTAAAAAAAAAAATAGCCAGGCATGATGGTGTACTCCTGTAGTCCCAGCTACCTGGGGAGTGGGGCTGAGATGGGAGGATCACTTCAGCCCAGAAGGTTGAGGATGCAGTGAGCCCTGATCATGCCACTGCAACCCAGCCTGGGTGACAGAGAAAGACCCTGTCTCAAAAGAAAAAAAAAAAGAAAAAAAAAGAAAAGAAAGATCAACTAACACCTCATAGGAAGAAAACATGATGAAATCATAGGATGGAAAAATGGAAGCTGACACATGCATCCATGTGAAGAGACCACCAAACAGGATTTATGTGAGCAGTAAGGCTGTTTATTTCACCTGGGTACAGGTGGGCTGAGTCCGAAAAAGTAGTCATCAAAGGGTGGTGGGATTGTCATTAGTTCTTACAGGTTTTGGGAAGGGCAGTGGAATTAAAAGCAATGTTTTGCTGGCAGGGAGTGGATCTCACAATTCTCAAGGGTGGGGAGAATTATAAAGAAACTTCTTAAGGGTGGGGGAGATGACAAAGTACATTGATCAGTTAGGGTGGAGCCAAAACAAATCACAATGGTGGAATATCATCAGTTAAGGCTATTTTCACTTCTTTTGTGGATCTTCAGTTGCTTCAGGCCATCTGGATGTATAGTGCCAGTCACAGGGGATATGATGGCTTAGCCTGGGCTCAGAGGCCTGACATTCCTGTCTTCTTATATTAATAAGAAAAATAACAAAATAGTGGTAAAGTGTTAGGGTGGTGAAAATGTTGGGGCGCGGTATGGAGAGATAATGGGTGATATTTCTCAGGGCTACTTTGAGCAGGATTAGGGATGGCATGGGAACCTAGAGTGGGAGAGATTAAACTGAAGAAAGATTTTCAGGTAAGGGGTGATATTGTGGGATTGTTAGAAGAAGCCTTTGTTGTATAAAATGATTGGTGATGGCCTGGATGCCGTTTTGTGTGAATTGAGAAACTAAAAGGAAAACACAAGGTTCAAATAAGAGAAGGAGAAAAACAGGTATTAAAGGACTAAGAATTGGGAGGGCCCAGGACATCCAATTAGAGAGTGCCCAAGGGGATTCTGCATAATTATTTGGTTGGTTTGCAAGTTTTTGGGCTCTATCCTTGAGTTTTTTTATGTTGTCATATACCAGGCCAGATTGATTTAGGTAAAAACAACTCTCTTCATTTAAAAATATACAGAGTCCTCCTTTTTCAGCAGTGAGTAAATTGAGGCCTCAGTGATTTTGGAGGAAAGAGAAATGCAAAGCCAGCTATTGTTTGTTAAAGAAGGATTAGAAATGGCTAGGAGTGAGTGAGATTGATAGTGTGGTGGAGATAGCTGGGGAGAGGTAGAGGATGGCATAAGAATGTGAACGAGAGCAAGAGTGAGTATAAAAGTAAAGAATAAGACTTCATAAGGGTGAAAGTGTTAGAGTGTATCCTGTCAGCAAAGATCATCTATCCACTCCAAGAGGGAGTCAAGAATGAGGACTGGGGATAGATATTCATGATGGAAAGGAAATGAGAGGTTTTAAGAGGCAGTCTAATGGCTTGTAACCTACATGGAAGAGGTTCTGAAATGATGACAGAATAGAATGGGGCTGTGAGACTGGAAGGAGATATTTTTCTTGGTCCAAGAACCATTTGCCTTGTGTGGGAAGAGATTGATAGGTGGAAGTTTCAGTGGGAGAGTAAGTGGGAGTGACCTAAGAGAAGAAGAAAAACTGGCCATGAGAGACAGAAGTTGGAATGCTCGCTGCTTCTTTAACTACCTTATCAGCATAAGCATTCCCCTGAGCAATGGGATCTGATGCCTTTTTGTGGCCTGTGTAGTGTATGACTCCAGCTTCCTTTGGCAGTAAAGCAACCTTGAGAAGAGTTTTTATTAAAGAGGCATTAATAATGGAGGACACTTGGCCGGGCGCGGTGGCTCACGCCTGTAATCCCAGCACTTTGGGAGGCCGAGGCGGGCGGATCATGAGGTCAGGAGATCGAGACCACGGTGAAACCCCGTCTCTACTAAAAATACAAAAAATCAGCCGGGCGCAGTGGCGGGCGCCTGTAGTCCCAGCTACTCGGGAGGCTGAGGCAGGAGAATGGCATGAACCCGGAAGGCGGGGCTTGCAGTGAGCGGAGATCGCGCCACAGCACTCCCGCCTGGGCGACAGAACGAGACTCCGTCTAAAAAAAAAAAAAAAAAAAAAAAAAAAAAGGGAGGACCCTTGCATAGTGAGGAAATTTCTTTCTGCCCATATAACAGAATGGTGGTGCAGGATATGGAAGGTATATTTAGGGTCAGTATAAATATTGATGTGTAGTCCCTTTGCAAGAGTGAGGGCCCAAGTTAATGCAATGAGTTCAGCTTTCTGAGAGGTAGTGGAAGGGGGCAGAGCAGTAGCCGCAATGATAGATGTGGAAGATACTACAGCATAGCCTGCCTTTGCTAGTGAGTGGTGATTAGGCCTGGTGGAACTGCGATCAATAAACCAGGTGTGATCAGGGTGAGCAACAGGAAAGAAGGAAATGTGGGGAAATGGAGTGAATGCCAGGTGTATCAGAGAGATACAGTCATGGGGGTCAGGTGTGTTATCAGGAATAATGTGGAAGGCCAGATTGAAGTTCAGGCCAGGAACAATGGTAATTGTGGGAGACTCAACAAAGAGTGAATATAACTGAAGGATCCAGGGATCAGAAAGTATATGTGTCAGGTATGACAAGAAAATAGCTTTTGGAAGTTTTGAGAACTGTAGAGAGTAAGTTGAGTATAGTTTGTGATTTTGAGGGCCTCTAAAAGTATTAGGGTGGTGGTGGCCACCGCATGGAGACATGATGGCCAGCCTAAGACAGTAAGGTCAAGTTGTTTGGACAAAAAGGCTACAGGGCATGGTCCCGGTCCTTGTGTATGAATTCCAACTGCACAGCCCTGCACCTCGGCTTTGTGTAATGAAGTGTTCGGATGAGTCAGGGAGAGCTAGTGTGGGGGCAATTTCTAGGGCTGTTTTTAAGGAATGGAAAGAGGAGTGGTGAAAGGATTTAGGATCCATGGGGTCAGCTAAGTTTGCTTTCATGAGTTTATATAATGGTTTACTCAGGATGGTAAAACTAGGTGTACAAAGTCAGAGTATCTAACCATGCCTAGGAAGGAAAGGAGTTGTTGCTTTGTAGAAGTGGTTGGGGTTTGGGAGGTTAGCTGAACATAATCAGCAGGGAAAGCATGTGTGTTTTCTTGAAGATTATGTCAAGATAGGTAATGGATGAGGAAGAAATTTGGGCTTGACTGAAGTAATGGGAGCTATTTGTGAAGCCCTGTGGCAGTAAAGCCCAGGTAATTTGTTGAGCCTGATGGGTGTCAGGGTCAGTCTAAGTGAAAACAAAGAGAGGCTGGGATGAAGGGTGCAAAGGAATAGTAAAGAAAACATGTTTGAGATCCAGAATGGAATAATGGGTTATGGAGGGGTTGTGGAGGGAAGTATTGAGGTTGGAGAGTATATGGGTTTGGCACCATGAAGTGGATATGCAAGACAATTTGGTTGATAAGGCACAGATCCTGAACTAACCTGTAAGTCTTGTCTGGTTTTTGGACAGGTAAAATGGGAGAATTGTTAAGGAGAGTTTATAGGTTTTAGAAGCCCATGCTGTAGCAGGTGAGTGGTAACAGGCTTTAATCCCCTTAAAGCCTGTTATGGGATAGGATACTGGAGTTGAGCGGGGTAAGGGTGATTAGGTTTTAGTGGGATGGTAAGCAGGGCATCGTCTGTGACCAAGGAGGGAGTAGAGGTGTCCTATACTTGCGGATTAAGGCAGGGAGATACAAGGAAAGGATGTGAAGGAGGCTTTAAACTGGGGGAATAGGTGGCAATGAGGTGTGGCTGTAGCCCAGGAATAGTCAGAGAAGCAGATAATTTACTTAAAATGCCTTGACCTAATAAGGGAGCTGGGCAGGTGGGGATAACTAAAAAGGATCACATTAAAGAATGTTGTCCAAGTTGGCACCAGAGTTGGGGAGTTGTAAGAGGTTTAGCAGCGTGGCTGTGAATACCCACAATGGTTATGGAGGCAAGCAAAACAGGCCCTTGAAAAGAAGGTAATGTGGAGTGGGTAGCCTCTGTATTGATTAAGAAGGGATGGACTTGCCCTCCACTGTAAGAGTTACCCAAAGCATCCGTGATGGTCCAGGAGGCTTTCTAGGTGATCAGGCAGCATCAGTCTTCAGCCACTAAGCTGATAAGATATGGGAAGGAGTCAGCCAAGGAACATTGGGTTTGGGCTCCAGGGACTTTACGAGTGGTGGCGATGTGAGTCAGACTGTCTGACCTCCAGTGGGAGCCTGCACAGAGAGGGCGTGGCTCAGGAGGAATCCCAGACTGCAGACATTCTAAGGCCCAGTGGCCAGGCTTTTGACATTTGAAGTAAGGTCCATGAGGATGTTTTGAAGGAGCGCCTGGGACCTGTGGCTTGCATGTTCTGAAGTTCTTGTATGCTGAGATGTGGCTGTGGGTTGTCTTACAGAGGAGGCAAGTAGCTGAACTCAGAAATGTGTTGCTGTCTGGCTACCTCCTCTCTGTTATTGTACACCTTGAAGGTGAGGTTGACTAATTCCTATTGTGGGGTTTGAGGGCTGGATTCCAAATTTTGAAGCTTTTTTCTAATGTCAGGAGCTGACTGGGTGATAAAATGCATATTAGGAATAAGGTGGCCTTCTGACCCCTCTGGCTCTAGGGTGGTAAAGTGTCTAAGGGTTGCTGCTAACTAAGCAGGCCATGAACTGGGCTGGGTTTTCCTCTTTACTTTGGGTAGTTTCTTTAAATTTGTCATAATTAACAACTTTGTAAGCTGCCTTTTTAAGCTCTTCAACTAGGCAGGAAACCATGTAATCTCGCCTAGCTATACCTGGGGAATCTGCCTGATGGTTCCATTGGGGATATTCCCAGGGAACTGCTCTAATGCCTTCCTAGGGGTCTGGCTCATGAAGCTGGTGGTTATTAGCATGAAATTGGGCTAGAGAAAAAACTTTTTCCCATTCATCTGGGGAAAGGGTAGAAGTTAGGATGACATTTAAGTCACTCCAGGTTAAATTGTAGGACAGAGTTAGATATCGGAATTCCTGTATATATTTAGTGGGGTCTAATGAGAAACAGCCTAAACTCTGGCTGATTTGGTAAAGGTCTGATAGAGAAAAAGGCACATGTATCCTGACTATGTCTTCAGCTCCAGCCACTTCTCTAAGAGGAAATTTTGGGCAAGTGCGGGAGAGCTAGTCATGGAACAAAACTGTAAGCCAGACTGGGTGTGAGGAGGGGAGGTGATAGAAAGATTACAGGGTCAGGGAGCAGAGGCTGAGGAAGAATTGGGACCTGGCTCAGCTTGGCAAGGAGCAGCCCAGGGACAAGGGGAGAGGTCAGAAGATTCCATAGAAAAGGATTCAAAGGACCCAGAGCTTGGGGTGGAGACTGAAGGAACAGAAAGGAGAGAAAGAAGAAAGATTTGGGATGAGTCATATTGGGAGCAGAGGCTAGGGAGGGACCAATGTGTAAAAGAATGCCTGGACATCAGGCACCTCTGACCATTTGCCCATTTTTTGACAAAAATTATCTAGATCTTGTAGGATAGACAAATTGAAAGTGACATTTTCTGGCCACTTGGAACTACTGTTGAGCTTGTATTGGGGCCAAGCAATATTGCAGAAGAAAATAAGATGCTTAGATTTTAGCTCAGGTGAGAGTTGAAGAGGTTTTAAGTTCTTGAGAACACAGACTAAGGGAGAAGAAGGAGGAATGGAGGGTGGAAGGCTGCCCATAGTGAAGGAGGCAAGTTTAAAGAGAAGGGTAGAGACACAGAAAAGGGGTGGGGAGCAGCCCTGGGCTGCAATGTGGGTGAGCAGCCAAAGCAGGCATCCTTGCAATTGACTTGCCACCAAGGGAATGTGGGTGAATGACCAAGGCAGTCATCCCCATGGTGACCAGACACCAATGGAATGTGGGTGAATAATCAGGTAGACTTCCCCGCAGTGATTAAACACCAATAGAGTGTGGGTGAATAATCAGGCAGGTGTCCCCACAATGATTAAACACCAAGGACGGCTGTCTTTTCCAGTCCATGACTGACACCAGAGTTTTGGGTTCATGGATAAAATGTGTCTCCTTTGTCTCTAACAGAGAGGAAAAAGAACTGGAATTGGAAGGACGGGGAGACTGAAGGGTAGCAAGAGAGGCTGGAGAAGAGATTGAAAATACCACTTACCCAATTTGAGATTGGTGAGATGTTCCTTGGGCTGGTTGGTCTAAGGACTCGAGGTCATAGGTGGATCCCTTCATGGAGTGAGAGTGAGGACAGGGGCCTGGTCTCCCGAAGGAATCCCTGTGACCTGGGTCTTTGGCACCAAATGACATGCACATCCATCTGAAAAGACCACCAAACAGGCTTTGTGTGAGCAACAAGGCTGTTTATTTTACCTGGGTGCAGGCAGGCTGAGTCCGAAAAAGGAGTCAGCAAAGGGTGGTGGGATTGTCATTAGTTCTTATAGGTTTTGGAATAGGTGGTGGAGTTAGGAGCCATGTTTTGCAGGCAGAGAGTGGATCTCACAAAGTACATTCTCAAGAGTGGGGAGAATTACAAACAACCTTCTTAAGGGTGGGGGAGGCTACAAAGTACATGGATTGATCAGTTGGCGGGGCAGAAACAAATCACAATGATGGAATATCGTCAGTTAAGGTTATTTTCACTTCTTTTGTGGATCTTCAGTTGCTTCAGTCCATCTGGATATATACTTGCAGTTCACAGGGGATATGATGGCTTAGTCTGGGCTCAGAAGCCTGACAGAAGCTTTAAAGAGAATGACATCTCAGATTTCTGAAACTGCCTTTGGAAAAATTATAGCAGTGAAACAAATTATGGCAGTGGGGGAGATCTGATCTAGCCAACACCCTTCTTGCCTTTAGCCTCCAACCCGCAAGACATTTAGCTTATAGTTTAAATGATAATAGGACTTCCGCAAAACTCAACCACCTTTGTAAAGCTAAGGAGAGACCACCAGGCTAGGCCAGAGGAGTCTGAATTCTGTTAAAGTGCAGACAGAAATGATTGGTAGCCATTATTCCAGAAGTCACAAGCTATGCAACTTCCCCAATTACTCCTGCAGATAACATCACTGTTGCTGAACTGAAGGACTGGTCTTTTGAGATGTCTTTTCAGGTGTTTTTGCATGTCTGACACCCATGGCAACACCTGGACCCACCAATTGAGGGCTCCACACTCTTGTGGTGCCACCTAGAAACAACTTAGCCTGGGAGGACAGCTTCAACTCCCTATGATTTCATCTCTGACCTAATCAATCAGCAGCAGGCACCCATTGCCTAGCCACCCAGACTCCTTTCCCAAACTACCTTCACAAAATCCTAACCTCCAATTTTTGAGTAATAACTCCATCTCCCATGTGGCATACCTGACCTTGTGTCTATTAAGCTCTTGCTTTATTGTAACATAATGGTCTCAGCAAATTGTTTTTTTTTTTTTTTTCTGTTTGGTGGGCAGAAAGAACCCGTCATGTAGTTACATATATACTTGACAAATGTTTATTTCCCTGAGCCCTCATTGAGTCCCAAGGCTGAGATTGTGATGTATTAGAAGCCATGGTCTGTTTAACACCCTTACACATATAATCCAGCCATCCCACTTCTGGGTATACATCCAAGATAATTGAAATGAGTGTGTTGAAGAGATATCTGCACTCTCACGTTCACTGAAGATTATTTACAAGAGGTGAGATGTGGACACCATGCCAATGTCCATTTGCAGATGAATGGATACAGAAAATGTGCTTGTCCAGCCCTGGTGGCTCATGCCTATAATCCCAGAACTTTCAGAGACTGGGGCAGGAGGATCAGTTGAGGCCAGGTGTTTGACAGCAGCCTGGGCAACACAGCTAAACCCAATCTATTAAAAAAAATGTTTTTAAATTAGTTGGGCATCATGGCTGTGCTTGTAGTGCCCAGTTACTCAGGAGGTGAAGGTGGGAGTATTGCTTGAGTTCAGGAATTCAACACTGCAGTAAGCTATGATCATGCCACTGCACTCCAGCCTGGGCAACAGAGAAAGACCCTGTCTCTAAAATATGATGATGAGGAAGAAGGAAGAAGGAGGAGGAGGAGGAGGAGATGAAGAGGAGAAGAAGAAGGAGGAGTAGGAGGAAGATGAGCAAGAGGAAAGGAAGAAGGAGAAGGAGAAGAAAAAAGAAGAAGAGGAAGAAAAGAAGGAGGAGGAGGAGAGGAAAGGTGGAGGAGGAGAGGAAAGGTGGAGGAGGAGAGGAAAGGTGGAGGAGGAGGAGGAAAGAAGGAAAGTAGAAAATGGGATGAGCTACATAAAATTTGGAAATGCAAGCTTTTTTGTAACCAAACACATACCAAGACCCAGCTGATTCTAACTCCTCTACTTTGAGGCTATGTCATCTTGGAAAAGTTACACGACTTTGATTAGTCTCAGCTTCTTCATCCAAAGCCCTAATGTATCTTCTATAAGATGGGCAAAATGAAGGAAACTATCACAGTTGGAAGGGGCAAAAGTTGAGACCATGCAGTAGAGATTCTTGAGTCCAGGTGGGCATCAATCACTCCCATGATCACTTAAGGACCCCATCAATACACAGCCATTTCCACTCTAGTGAGCTTCTCTAGGGCTTCACTGCAAAGCATCCACTATGCTCCTTCCAATTCAAGATGCAGCTTCCAACCCCACTACATGGCTGTGTTACTGCACCGTGTTATTCCATTTTCCTTCTCTTCTTTTTTCTTTCCAACTTTTATTTTAGGCTCAGAATGTCCACGTGCAAGTTTGTTACGTGGGTAAATTGCATATCAAGAGGGTTTGGTGTACAATTTCATCATCCAGGTGGGAAGCATAAAACCCAGTAGGTAGTTTTTCAGTCCTCTCCCTCCTCCCTTCCTGCACCCTCAAGTAGCCCCCAGTGCCTGTCATTCACATCTTTATGTCCATGACTACCTAAGGTTTGGCTCCTACTTAGAAGTGAAAACAATCAGTACCTGGTTTTGTGTTCCTACACTAATTCACTCAGAATAATGGCCTCTAGCTGCATCCATGTTGCTGCAAAGTATTCCAGCGTGTCTATGTACCACAATTTCTTTATCCACTGATGGGCATCTAGGTTGATTCCAAGTTTTTGCCATAGTGAATAGCGTCACTTGGTTTTCCACCCTCAAATATGACTATGAATTTATTCTATTGTGTCCCTCCCATTCCACTATAATTTTTTTTCTTTCCATTGGTCATCTAAAGCAAAATCATTTTCCCTCTCTCCCCCATGGTCCCATCTTCCCACGGTCTTTCAGCACACCATTTCCATCCACAGTGACGTCAGGAGGAGGTAGTTACCATGACTCCTCACTGATGTTTATGCCTCTGCTTTTGTAATAAAGTGCATCATTGGAAGTCCTTGTCTTCCAATCATGCCACATTCTACAGTTCTTGTTTGCCTCACAAACATCTGCTCACTGTCAGACTCCTGGAGCTTCAGTCAATCCATACAATAAAGTGGGCTGCTCTGCTGTGGCCCTTTCTCTATGGAAAAGAGGTCTGAGCTCTGAGACGGGAACATCTCATTGACTGGGAGAGCCAACTGCAAAGTCACTACATTGCAGTGAAAGGAAAACAGAACATTACACCTTATTTCTCATGTGGATGGAAATCTGGACTCTCATAGAAGCTGAAGAGTGGTATACTCTTGGCTAGCTCCTAAAGCCTAGCTTTCATCTCAGACCAAAGTTCCATAGCAAAACATTCTCTTTGCTTTCTATTCCTTGCTTTGACAGATTTCCAGAAGGAGGTTTTTCATTGAGTAAATGCAGACATAAATTTCTCATCAAAGGCAAAATGGATTTTGTGACTATTACCCGTGTTTTCTCTAGTTTCCACCATATAAATTGGGTTTCTGATGGCCATTAATTTTCCCAGAATAGAGACACTCATATAGTTGCCAGTTATACTGAAAAGGCAAAAAAGAAAAAAAAAAAGTCCCGATCATTCAGGATTTTTGCAGTCAAATCTCTGTTCATTTTATCACTAACAGTATGCCATAATCACAATATATGGTAGTAGTATTTTCACTATACTGGAAAATGGAAGATTACAGTGAGAAAACTGTGTTTTACAGATGTAAGAGGACTGCTCACTTAATTTCATGTGAGTTGCTTTCTAATAACATTGTAGGCTATTTTGATTCTGATCTGTTCTATTCTCTTATCCCATGCTCCCACCTAAATTTTTGAACTGGTATTTATGTTTAGGAAAATCTCTTGTAATGGAAAGAATAAGACTCTACTACCAAAACCTAAGGAGTTCAATAATATATTCCTGTACTATCAGCAACAATGACATGATCCCTTTGTATTTACTGGGCAGTGATAAATCTTAACAATCTAAGTAAAACTAACAAAGTAAATCTAAGAAAATCCAACAATTAAAGTAAAAACTGGATTTAGGGTAGTAAACATAAGAAAGACTTGAAAATCATACAAAAGTCTCCCTTTGATCTTCCTTCTCCATCTTTCCCCACAGGAATGGCCAGAATTGCAAATGAGAATAAGAGCTATGCTTCCTTCCTCCTTCAACAGTAAAATGATGCAGAATAAACTTAAGATGGAAAAAAAATGGGGATAAATGCGTGACCTGGGATATTATCCAGTGGAGCCACAAAAAGTCTTTCGAACCAGTGACAATGGAATAAATACAGTGCAGCCTATGAATTAGAGTGAATTGAAACTTTTCGATTAGAAGATGAGAAAGTTTGTCTTGTGGGTTAGAGCTTTAAATCTCTCTGTGTTATGCTGTGGTTTCCATTTTTGTACCATCTATAATAATTTGATTATTTGGATATAGAGGAAAATGTAACCTATTTTTTCAGCCTGCAAGAAATAGCACATAGCATCATCCAACTCACTAAACAAATAAATCAACATGTTTATTGCTTAAAAATGTATCACACAAATTCAGTTTCTGCTTTGTTACTGTAAGGCTAGTGGATAAATAAAGCATGGTTGTATGTTAAAAAAAAAAAAAAAAAAAAAAAAAAACAGAGAGAGATGGAGCCTAAAGAAGTCCAACCACAATTTCTTGTGCAAAATCTTAGAGAAGCTGGGTTGAAGTGCTTTGTAGCACCTCATTAATATTTGTTGTAGCCACTGTGATGCCAGGCTGTGGAGAAACTGATGATCTGACAATTGTAAATCACTCAAATGTGTACATCCATAGAGCAACATGGATTTTAAAGGGTTGTCTATATTTCTAGGAGGAAATTTACTAACACATTCACCCAAATATTTAACTTAATATGATACGTCATTTACTGTGCAAATGCCTGATTGAAACAGTATGGGGGAAAGCTGTTTTTATGGAGAAATAAGGAATAAGGAATTCACTGTTCGGTTTTTGTGTTTGTCCTGGATATAACAGCCTTCACTCTCTTCTACCAGAACGTCTGCTGGCAAAAACACAATGGCAGCACAACTGAGAACAAGACCTAGACTTAACCTCGCAGTTGGAGTTAAGGCGGCTTTTCCAACTGTAACTTCAACGTCTGCAAAGCAATCATTGATCTGAACTTCTTCTATGATGGATATTTCTAAATGATATAAAGGTGGGAAAAAATAGAAAACTTACAGGATAATCCTCATTAATTAAAGCAGTAGTTATTATTTGCTTTTCAATATGTAAAATTTTCCCAAAATAATTTTTGTTTTTGGTAGAGATAGAGGGGTTTCACTTGTTGCCCAGGCTGGTCTCAAATTTCTAGACTCAAGCAATCCTCCTGCTTTCACCTTCCAAAGTGCTGTTATTACAAGGGTAAGCCACCACTCCTGGTCCCAAAATAATTATATGATTATGTTTGACTAACCTGAAAGATTTCCTCATAATCTAATGTCACCTGAATTATGAAATACATTGGGAATTTAGATCTGAATTTTGGAATATACACAAGGCACTTGAGTTCCTAAAAATAGGAAAGGTATTCTGATTATCCTAATAATAAAATGTCCCTGAGAAGTAGCAGGCACTTAATATTTTGGAGGGTCATTGACTCTGAATCTCAAAGTAATTTAATATTTATAAATTCAGATTTTTTTTTTGAGAGAGGGTCTCACAGGCTGGAGTGCAGTGATGCAATCATAGCTCACTGCAGACTTGACCTCCTGGGCTCAAGTGATACTCCCATCTCAGCCTCACAAGTAGCTGGGACTACAGGTACATGTCACCATGGCCAGCTAATTTTTTTTTTTTTTTTTTAGATATGGGGTCTTACTATGTTGCCCATGCTGGTCTGGAACTCCTGGGTTCAAGCCATTATCCCACCTTGGCCTCCCAAAATGTTGGAATTACAGGTATGAGCCACCCAGCCTAGCCAAAAACTCTGATTTTCAACAAAAGGCAAGAGGATTGTGTGGAGAATATATCTTCTTGATCAAAACATGAAATCTTGCATAGATATGAGGATTCTGATGAATAAGAATTTGGAGAATGCCCAGAGAAATAATGCATTCTTCTGGGCACACAGGAAAACCGCACACAATTCAGACTCACCACTCCTGGCCCTAAACCTGCAGTCAGGACCAAGTTGTCAGGACCTAATTAAGGCCAAAGGAGTTTGGCTACATTAAAAATAAATCATTTTTGATATGATAATTACCCTAATTTTGTCACTGTACATTATACATATTGAAACATCACTATGTACCCCATGAATACGTGCTGTTGTTGTCAATTTATTGTTTGTTTTTTAGACAGGGTCTCACTCTGTCACCCATGCTGGAGTGCGGTAGCTTGATCTCAGCTCCCTGCAACCTCCACCTCCCAGGTTCAAGTGATTCTTTTGCCTCAGCCTCCTGAATAGCTGGGATTACAGGCACCTGCCACCACGCCCAGCTAATTTTTGTATTTTTAGTAGAGATGGGGTTTCACCACATTGGCCAGGTTGGTCTTGAACTCCTGACCAAACTTCCAAGTTTCTTAGGGACTAGAGTGAGGCATTCATCTAGGGCACCAGATTTATTCTATTTTATTATTATTATTTTGAGGTGGAGTCTCAGTCTGTAGCCTAGGCTGGAGTGCAGTGACACAGTCTTGGCTCACTGCAACCTCTGCCTCCTGGGTTCAAGCGATTTTCCTGCCTCAACCTCCTGAACAACTGGGATTACAGGCACCTGCCACCACACCCAGCTAATTTTTGTATTTTCAGTAAAGATGGGGTTTCAGCACATTGGCCAGGTTGTTCTGGAACTCCTGACCTCAGGAAATCCAACTGCCTCAGCCTCCCAAAGTCCAGGGATTACAGGCATGAGCCACCATGTCCAGCCTTATTTTTAAATTAAAATTAAATATATATATATATATATATAAAATGATTATATGTATATATCTCCTGAATCTGTCAGAAAAAAAGAAAAAGTCAAAAAGGGAATAAAACAAAACAAAAAAAAAAACAACAAGCCTCTCCCTACCAGTGACATCCCAAGGGTGTAGCCCTCTGTTCCTCAAATAGGTAAGAAGCAGATCCATATCTATAGGGAATTTTAACATAATGTTAAAACAAACCCAATTGGGCTTGTTTGTAGTTGTCATCACACATCGGCCATTCTTCCAATTTTATTTACAAAGTACAAAGCTGATATTATTGCAAACTGATACAGCTGCTTTTGCATTTTAATAATAATATTGCATATGAGAGCTTCAAGATATTTGTTAATTGTCTTTTGATGAGACTTGCATTCCACAGGAAGATTCAGGGAACTGTCACAGTCAACCGGCGACATAGACAGGCTCAGAGACACATGATCTTTTTGAGAATAGATTTGCACGAGTGCAGAATCTTCATTTTAGGTCTCTATTCCCCATGCTTCTAAATACTCTTGGGTTTAAAGTGTGGACTGGAAAGCAACATTGATAAACGTAATGAAAAAATAACAGCAGTTAGGATCCAATTTTTTTTTTTTTTTTTGAGACAGAATCTTGCTATGTCACCCAGGCTGGAATGTAGTGGTGTGATTTTGGCTCACTGCAACCTCTGTGTCCCAGGTTGAAGCGATTCTTCTACCTCAGTCTCCTGAGTAGCTGAGACTACAGTTGTGCACCACCACACCCTGCTAGTGTTTGTATTTTTAGTAGAGATGCCATGTTGGTCAGGCTGGTCTTGAACTCCTGACCTCAAGTGATCTGCCCACCTTGACCTCCCAAAGTGCTAGGATTACAGGTGTGAGTCACCAAGCCTGGCTCGAATTAATCTTTGAATCACATAGAGTTCACTTGTTTGCAATGATTTCTTCATGTGGCTTTTCCCTTTTCTCCAAAAATTGACATAATTAGAATGTATTAATCCATTACTTTTCCCTTTATACAGTAATATTAATCTTATTGTAGAGATTTATGAGGCACAATATGATGTTTTGATATTTGCTCACATTGCAGGATGATTAAATTAGACTACTTATTCATCACCCAACATATTTTTGTATCGGTAGTGAGAATATTTTAAACTTTGTTATTCTCTTATCCATTTTCAAGTATACCATGCTATTAACCATAGTCACCACATTGTACAGTAGATCTCCTGAACGTATTCATCCTGCGTCATTGAGATTTTGCATCCCCTGACCAACATCTTCCCTAATTCCCTACACCACTCCCTAGCCAATGGGAACCACCATTCTACTCTCTACTTCTAGCACTTCCACTTCTTTAGCTCCCACATAGAACTGAGATTGTGTGATGATTGTTTTTCTGTACCTCATTTATTTCACTTAACATAATGTCCTCCAGCTCCATCTATGTGGCTGCAGACTGCAGAGGAAGTAATTTTATTCTTTTTCGTTTTTTTTTTTTTAAGACAGAGTCTCACTCTGTTGCCCAGGCTGGAGTACAGTGGCGTGATCTCAGCTCACTGCAAGCTCCGCCTTCCAGGCTCAAGCAGTTCTTCTGCCTCAGCCTCCTGAGCAGCTGGAATTACAGGCACCTGCCATCATGCCTGGCTAATTTTTGTATCTTCGTAGAGACAGGGTTTCACCTTGTTGGCCAGGTGGGCCTTGAACTACTGACCTCAGGTGATCCATCCACCTTGGCCTCCCAAAGTGCTGGGATTACAGACTTGAGGCACCACACCCAACCAAATTTTATGATATAATATATTATGTCTGCATAGTAATTTTTTTATTTTTATTTTATACATTATATAATATATATAGTATAGTGTATGTTGGATATTAATATCATATATTATATATGATGTTATGTAAGATATGTTGTATATTATTATATATGATATGTTGGATATTATACATTACTATATATGATATAATTTATTTACATGTGTTATATATGATATATATTATTATATATCATATGTTGTATATGATATATTATTATATATCATGTTATATATTATATAATATATTATTATATATCATATGTTATATATTATATAACATATTATTATATACCATATGTTATATATTTTATATATTATATCATATATTATTATATATGATATAATATATTATTATTTGTCATATATTATTATTAATATTATTAATATAATTAATATTTTGTTTTCTTTTTGATTTTTTTCCCAAATTCAGGATATATATATATATATATATATATTTTATATATATATATATATATATTTTATATATATATATATATATATATTATATATATATATATAATTTTAATTGAGAAATAAGACCAGACACAGTGGGCTCATGCCTGTAATCCCAGCACTTTTGGCGGCGAAAGCGGTTGGATCACCTGAGGTCAGGAGTTCGAGACCAACCTGGCCATGTGGTGAAAAAGATGAAAAGCAGGAGAAGGAGGAAGAGAGGAGGCTGAGGGAGAGAAGAAGAGAAGAGAAGGAGGAGAAGGAAGATGAAGAGAGGAGAAGAAAAAGGAAAAGGAGGCGGCAGAGGAGAAGGAGGAGGAGGAAGAAAGGTTTACCGCCTTCAGGGCCATTTGAGTCAGAGGAGTCCCCACTGCAATCATGATAATGCAGTCAATGGAAACAAAGGCTGACTGGCATGAACTCAGGAAGAGTGGCTGAGAACATGCACACATGAAACAGATAGGATGGGGGAGGTGAGAGCAATGAAGACCACATCTCATCCTGTAGTGCACGAATCCGTGTGGACGTTGGCATCCATGACAATGCCTCCATGAAAGCATTAAGTCTTATCCCCTGCTCTCATCCTGGAAAAGGTTCTTGAAGTCCCCTCCCTGCAATGTTCACTGGAGGAACTGAACCTTAATTGCTACTAAGAAACCTTTTGGCAGTGGAAGAAATGCAAGATAAAGTCTAATTGGCTGATGACTGCTTATGGGCCCACATTCAGGAATCATTTATCTTTCATGTTTGGCAGCAAATTTTCAGAGCTCAGAGCAAATGTTTACATGTTTTTGAGTTTATGTGATACTGTAATTTTGCAACACTTTGGTTGGAGATATTTTGATTGGTCTTTTTGCTTATTATAATAAGACATAATAAATCATAATATGTCATCATAACTGAATTATAAGGCTGGAAAGAATGTTAAGGAGTCAATAAGAGCAAGCAATCCCCAACTGGTACTGCTGATAAGTATTTCTGGGCACCTGCAATGTTGGGGTGTGCTTCACAATGTTTAGGACAATCTCCCTCTGTGTCTGATGGGTTGTGAAAATTCCCAAAACTTCCACTCTCTCCATGACACAGTTTACCAAAAAACTTGGGTGTATTTTTGTTTGTTTGTTTGTTTGTTCATTTTGCTAGGGCTGCCATCACAAAATTCTGTAGTATGAATGGTTTAAAAGAACATAAATTTATTGCCTTATGGCTCTGGAGAGCAGAAGTCTGATATCAAGGTGGCGGCACAGTTCATTCTCTTTGGAAAGAAAATCTGCCACTGTGTTTGCTTCTGGTGAATTTCATTAATTCCTTGGTGTTCTTTGCTTGTAGACCTGTCATCTGATCTCTCCCTCTATGGTCACTTTGGTAATATTTATTTTCATCCAATAGAGCAGGCATCCCCAACCCCCAGGCCATGGACCAGTACCACTCCATGGCCTGTTACAAAGTGGGCCACATAACAGGAAGTGATAAGCAAGCGGGCGGGCAAGCAAAGCTTCATCTGTATTGACAGCCAATCCCCATCGCTCACATAACCACATGAGTTCTGCCTCCTGTCAGATCAGTAGTGGCATTAGATTCTCATAGGAGCATGAACCCTACTGTGAACTGCCCATACGAGGGATCTAGTTTGACGCTCCTTAAGAAAATCTAATGCCTGATGATCTGTCACTGTCTCCCATCAGCCCCAGATGGGACTGTCCAGTGGCAGGAAAACAAGCTCAGGGCTCCAACTGATTCTACATGATGGTGAGTTGTAGAATTATTTCATTATGTATTACAATATTATAGTAATAGAAATAAAGTGCACAATCAATGTAATATGCTTGAATCATCCCAATGTCATTGTCCTGCCCTGGATCCACATAAAAATTGTCTTACATGAAACCTCTCCTTGATGCCAAAAAGGTTGGGGATCACTGCAATAGAGTGGAAGGTGAAGTAGAGTGTACAGAAATAATCCAACAGAAAGCAGCTGGTTAAGTTGTTAGCTGGTGCATGCAGATTTCTGGGACCACTCTCTACTCTTCACCATCTCTATCTTGTCAGCACCAATACTCGCCAATATTTCATATGGCAAATATGAGTTTAGAATGGGCATACCATAATCGACCTAAATAAGTGACTTGTCTATTATGACAGACACTACCTACTAATACTAATGTTTTAATATTTATTATTATTCAGGTATTCATGAGCTTTGACTATTGTAAACACGGAGGCAAGTTCTTCTTTACAACCGAGTGACCTGCCCAAAAGTCAGTCAGGCTGAGGGAAAACTCCAGCTCATTAACTATCAATCTAGTGTTCAAGGAACAGACCAAATGGCACTTGTCAAATTGAGTTTTAAAGTCTACTTCTATTATAAATTGTCTCCGCCCAGCTTTAAATGCAAAGTTCCATAGCTGAAATTAATTGTTGGTTTCTCGACAGAAAACATGAGCAAGCTGTGTTGAGTCACTTCATGGTATGTCTTACCATGGGATTGTTCATCAGAATAATGTTTTATTAGACCTAATTAGGGATTCATTAGTGGGAAATATGTGTATTTGGATTTCGCAGATGATGAGACATGCCCTGTTTTTTTGCCTCATCGAGTTTTGACTGATAAGACACCTGGGTGACCCCATCAAAGAGAAATTCTACCATGGTTTGAAATATTACAGTTGTAGCAAAGCTTGCTTCTCAAAACCATACCACCCCAAAGGCATATGATATGCATAATATTCATTGCAATATTTGGGCATGTTTATATACAGCATAAAACTTATTTGCCACTTGTGCATCTTGGTTTAATCGATTGTTATGTCTTTGATCTCCGGCCAAATTAAAGGTTATTTGGTAGTTTCTATGAATTCAGAGACAATTTTATGAACCATCGCCTTTCCAATGTGAAAAGAATGCCTGGGTGAAGTGACAGTAGCAATTGCATCTTCACAAAACAGCAAGAATGCATCCTCTCCCATGTTGGGTGGGTGGCACCTGAATGATAAGGCTGACAGTTTCATTGGTGGTAGAGAGGGAAAACTTATTTAAAGTGAATAACTGCATTTTGCCAAGGGCTGTCACCTTTGCCAAGGAAGCTGAGTTTGAATCCACCATGCAGAAGGTGCAAAGGATCTTTAAGCAATATGTAAACATGTCCAAATATTGTGACAAATAAATAAACAGGGAATGCAAGTTTTCAAGAGAGGGACATGAGGGAGGAAGCAGTCTTGGTTACCCCTTCCAGCAGCAAGGCTACCAGGAGGAAGGTGCTCCAAATGCCATGGGCACAGCAGGATGACCAGAGTGACGTCTTTTCCTGAGCAATGAGGGGCCCAGAAAACACAGAAACACCTGAGAGCGGCTCCATTTGTCTTTTATCAATATTTAAGCATGGATTTTTTACATGGAATCACAGTTATCCATTCCATATTGCTGGCTAAATGGCAACATTATCTATTTTTTTCTGATCCTTCATTCTTTCATTTGTATTTGGAAACAGCAAAGTTGCTGTTTTCAGATGACCACAGAATATTACTACAGTGAATGCTTTCCACCAAAAGGTATAATATTTTTTATTCTGTGCTAGTTCAGTGCTTAATTTGCATAGTAAGATTCATGTATACATACATGCATACACATGCACACAAGTATGTATACAGGCATTGTCATGGTTAATTATATGTGTCAACCTAGCTGGGCCATGGGGTTCCCACATATTTGGTCAAATGTTACCCTAGATGTGTTTATGATTATTATTCTTGTTGAGATTAACGAATAAATCAGTAGACTTAGTAGAGTGGATTGTCTTCTCTTATGTGGGTAACAGAGTAATTGGCTCAATGGTGGTGTCATTAGGGAACAGGGAGGAAAGACAAGAAAACAGAAAAGCTTCTTGGCCACTATGGAAAACAGTGTGGAGATTCCTTAAAGAACTAAAAGTAGAACTACCATTAGATCCAGCAATCCCACTCCTGGGTATCTATCCAAAGAAAAAGATGTCATTATATGAAAAAGGATTATCCTCTGTTATGAGGGTGCACATAGAGCAAGAAAAAAATGGAGTAAGAAAGATTTTGCTCTCTCTGCCTGTCTTTGAGGTGGGACAATAGTTTTACTCCTAACTCCACACTGGACTCAGACTGGAACTCTCACCGTTGTCTCTCCTGGGTCTCAGGACTTCAGACTCAGACTGGAACTCATATCATCAGCTCTTCTCAGTCTCAGGCCATCACACAAGAACTTACACCATCAGCTCTCTTAGGTCTCAGGCTATCACAATGGAACTTACACCATTGGCTCTCCTGGGTCACAGGTTTCAGACTCAGACTGGAACTCATACCCTTGGCTTTCCTCTGTCTCAGGCCTTCAGACTCAGACTGCAACTCACACCATTGGCTAGCCTGGGTCACAGGTCTTCAGACTCAGACTGAAACTCACATCCTCAGTTCTCGCGGGTCTCAGGACTTCAGACTCAGTCAGGAACTCACACACTTGCCTCTCCTGGGTCTCAGGCCTTCAGACTCAGACTGGAACTCACACCCTCAGCTCTCCAGGGTCTTAGGCCTTCAGACTGGAACTCACACCATCAGCCCTCCTGGGTCTCCAGACCTAGTAACTAAATCTATAGGCAGTATTATGAGTGAAACTTAGAAATTCAAAATTGGTAGAAAAAAAGATATAGGAGACTATGTGCTATGTTAGCAATAACTGTGATTCAAAAGTGAGCAAAAGTGAACCGTAAAATTTAATGCACCCAGATAAATTTAATTTTTAATTTACAAATAATCAATGTATGTATGTATGTATGGAGGACAGTGTAATATTTTCATATATGCATACCTTGTGGATGGATTAAATTGAGATAATTGTCATATTCATCCGTTCACTTACTTACTAGTTTTGTGTGTGAGGTGAGAACATTTGAAATCCACTCTCTTAGCCACTTTGATTTTTGGTTGCTTTTTTTTGAGACAGAGTCTTGCTCTGTTGCCCAGGCTAGACTGCAGTGGTGGGATCTTGGCTAACTGCAATCTCTGCATCACAAGTTCAAGCTATTCTCCTGTCCCAGCCTCCCAGGTAGCTGGGATTACAGGTGTGCATCACCAAGCCTCGCCAATTTTTGTGTTTTTAGTAGAGACAGGGTTTCACCATGTTGGCCAGGCTGCTCTTGAACTCCTGACCTCAAGTGGTCTGCCCACCTTGGCCTCCCAAAGTGCTCAGATTAGAGGCATGAGCCACCTTGCCTTGCCTTGTGGAATGATTAAATTGGGCTATTGCTATATTCATCACATCAGCTACTTATTATTTCTGTATGTGTGATGAAAACATTTAAAATCCAGTCTCTTAGCCACTTTGAAATATATGTTACCTTAGTATTAACTATGGTCACCATGATGTAGAATACATCCCTAAGAATTATTCCTCCTCTCTAACTAAAACTTTGTACTCTTTGATCAACATCTTCCCAATCTCCAACCCTGAAGCCCCTGGGAACCACTGTTCTACTGTGTTTCCGTGAGTTTGATTTTTTTAGATTCCACAAATAAGTGAGATCATAGGGTGTTTTTCTGTGCCTGGCTTATTTCACTTGGCATGATGTCCTCCGGGTTCATACATGTTTTCTTAGTCTTAAGGGAGTACCAAGGAGACAGGATTTTAAAGAAAATAGCAGTGAGGGGAGAGGGATCAAATTGGGATTGAAAGCAATTAGTCTGAAAAAGTTCCAATTGCCTCTTCCTTGCAGGGCCCATCTTACTGACTTAGTTTGAATGAGGTCTCCACCCTTTGAGGCATAAAAGCAGAAAATGGTGGTGACAGCATAGTGCAGTCATAGAGAATCCACTCTTAGGTCAGCAAGATCCATTAAAGGCTAAAGAATCACTGGAGATAGGAAACTGTAGGAAAGATTCGCTGCACCAAAAACTAATTTATTTTGTGTGTGAAGTGTTGGGTATGTTTAAAGGAAAATATGCAGTGGTGTGAAAGGATGAATATGCAAAGCATGTTAAGAAGCAAGCCAATAAAATAAGCGTGGATCCAACCACCCACATAAAAAATGGAGAATATTTCTCATTCATTGCTGCTTTCAAGGCTTGTTTCTCTACTGCCTTGAAAATCCCACAGTCAAAGTTAAATATGTTCCTGAATTTTTTGTGTAATAAAAACATAACAATTTTGCCTAAGAGCTCTGTTTTCCTAATCAATATATTATGGTTTACTTAGGCTAGCATTTGAATCATATCCACTGGGAGCACACTGCATAGTGTGTATTTTTTTTCCCTTCCAACAATTTGGAATTTCTGACATTCAGCCATGACTCTGCACATAGATTTAGTTTATTCATTTTGCCTTTGTACAATCTTTCACTATGTAACTATTTCACACTTTATAGATCCATCCCCCTGACGGTGAACATCTGAGTTGTTGCAGGGTTTTACTGTTACAAACATTACTGCTAAGGGCATGCTTATGTATGTACAAGAGTATGCAAGAGTTCCTCTAAAGTGTATATCAGTGAGGGGAATTGGTGGGTCGTGTTCTGATTTAACGGATGGTGCCAAAGGGATCTCCAATATGGTTGTACTGATTTATGGTCCCAGCAGCAGTGGGTGAATGTTCTCATTGTTTGACATGTACATTAGCAGATAGATTTAGCCATAATTACATGCTGCTCGCTGACACCAAACCAGTTTTTCCCTCTTTAGAGCCTGACCACATTTTCCATCTGCTCCTGGAATTCAGTGTCTGTTTGGTTGAGTTCTGGCCAAGGAAATGTGAGTATAAGCGTGTGTCCCATGGAAATCTCCCACGGGTGAGCTTCCATGAGCTTTTTCCTTGGAGTTGATAAAACTGAAACAGTGGCCAAAAAAATCAACAAACAAAAACAGGGATACCTTGCAAGGCAGGTGTTGGAGATGGCAGAGTACCAATTTGGCAATAAACCTGAGTCTCTCACTCACCACTTGGAGAAAATCTACCCAAGTGAAAACACTTGCAAAGGGCTAGTAAAGTAGGAAAAACAAACTACTATTGTGTTCAGCCAATAAAATCCTGAGGTGCCTTTTTTGTATAGGTGAGCATTACTCCAGAATTCTGAATTGGATCAACCTTGTGCATCTAAAATAACAGCGTTCTCTGGTGGCAACATGCACTTCTGATTTCTAATGTGATTGACCAAATTGCCACCGGGTTACTCAGCTGTCATAGTTCCTCTGCTGAAAAGCCCTGAGGTTTTTGGCCTTTGTTCATCGAAGGACTGTAAAAATAATTGTAAGAAAGGATGAAAATATGTTGAGTACATGCACATAAATATTTGTAGACTTTTATAGCTATCGTGCATATAGAATATGAGCATACATACACAAATGTGTTCCGAAATAAGGCAATTTTAGGAATTGTTTAGAATTTAAAGTTTCTTTTATTTCAAGGCTTTTAAGAATATTCACAGAGCTGCATGTAATGAAGGATGTATATTTGTGCCCTGATTTTGAAAAGTGTTATACAACTTGCACA
This sequence comes from Homo sapiens, assembly GCF_000001405.40. Lineage (NCBI taxonomy): Eukaryota > Metazoa > Chordata > Mammalia > Primates > Hominidae > Homo > Homo sapiens. The sequence continues at coordinate 7,484,252 of NC_000024.10, read as the reverse complement.
GAAATTTATAGAAATCAGAACCTGATAGGCAAAAAAAAAGGTGAATTCCAAATATTAAAATTACTTTTACTACTTTGTCATTGAATGTTCCTGGGTGATAACCAGTCTCTACATTAGCAATGTCTCATATAATTTTCTGTAATAATGGAAATGTTCTATCCTGGGCTGCCAAGAGGTAGCCTGTAGCCATTTGGGACTACTGAGCACTGAAATGCATCTACTGTGACCAAAGAAGTGAATTCTTTTCTTTAATTTTTAATTTTAACTTTTGTGGGTACATACTAGATGTATATATGGAAGTGAATTCTTAATTCTATTGTACTTTAAGTCCTTTAAATTTGAATTTAATTAGCCACAGATGGCTAGAGGTATGATGTTTAACAATGCACCAGATCTACAGGAACTTGCCATTCAAAAGGTTGGGCAGCAACACCCACTTCACCAGGGGTGCAGCTAGAAATTGAATTTCCCAGGTCCTGCTCAGGACTTACTGCATCAGACTCATTTGAGAGCATGTTCAGGTTTGAGAGCATTATATCAGTTGTACAGAAATTTGCACAAATTTCATCCATGCCCATCAGAACCTGACCATCAGAAAAGAACAATTCCAAAAATTGAAATTTTCTATCTGCCCACCTGGAGAGTCATTTCATACAGACATCCCAACAACCTCTTCCTGTCTTCTGCTTTCTGGAACTTCCCTGAGCAGAGCAACCTGGCTGGCATCTTTCCACCACCCAATGAAGAAAACACTGTTCTTTTTTGATTTTTAAATTTTTAAAATGTATTTAAGGTGTACAAGTGCAGTTTTCTTACATAGATATATTGCATGCTGGTGAAGTGAGGGCTTTTAGTGTACCCATTACCTGAATGATGTACATCGTACTCACTAAGTAATTTCTCATCTCACCCACTTTCACTCTCCCACCCCTCCAAATCTCCAATGTATATTATTCCACTCTCTATGTCCATGTGTACACATTACTTAGCTCCCACTTATATGTGAGAACATATGGTATTTTCTTTCTATTTCTGAGTTATTTCACTAAAGACAATGACCTCTGGTTCCATCCATGTTGTTGCAAAAGACATGGTTTCATTCTTTTTCATGACTGCGTAGTATTCTGTGGTATACATGGACTGCCACATTTTCTTTATCCAATCATCCATTGATGGACATTTAGGTCCAATGAAAATAATATTATTCTGTTTACTTGCAACTCTCCAGTGTTTAAGTCATCAGTGTTCCAGAAAACAAGCTACATCTTATTGAGTTTCTAAAATTAATAAAAAATATACTTCACGCTTTCTGCAGTATTGTGTTCCACCATGCAGGTTATGAGGCATAAAGTGGAGTCACATAACATTGTTTCTCTAAAGAGAGAAATGCATTCAAATGAATTTCTCCTGACTAGCTGTGACTATAGGCACACACCACCACGCCCAGCTAATTTTTTGTATTATTTGTAGAAACAAGGCTCTTGCTATGTTGCCCAGGCTGGCCTTGAACCCCTGCTTCAAATGATCCTCCTGCCTTGGCCTCCCAAAGTGCTGTGATTACAGGCATGACCCATTGCCCTAGGCCTCATCTTGCTTTTATTCTCTTTGTCAACCACTGTGAAAATCTTTCACATATTGCCTGGGTGTGCTCTTGTTGCCACTTGAGCCCATTTGTTCTCAGAAAGCAAGTGGTATTCCATCATCCCCAGGTCAAGGAGCCAAGGAGGACATTATGTATCACCAGATGGCTGAAGGTGTTTACAGTCCAACTTGCATGCCCTGTGACTGAGTTACTGTTAACGATTCTGCCATTGAAAGTATCAGACACTGGTCGAGCTGCCATTTTCTCAGACCCCAGGACATGTAGAATGACTCCCAAGAATTCCTTCTGCAAATGGTTCCATGGTTCATAGACATCATTGTGTTTCATAATAGAAGTGGCATATGTGAAGTTTGAGCCAGCATACCATAGGAACACAGAAAAGCAGCATCTGCCAGTAGGGTGAGTCTACGGCAGGTTCTTACAGGAGATGAGGGGATTTTGTGAGCTGAGCCTGAAAGAATGGGTAATGGCAAGGCATGCTTTCTAACACTTACAGAACATTTCCAAAAGAGTGAGTTGGGTAAGTGCCCTTTCCTGAATATTTTATGAAGAGGCTACACATTGAGAAATAATTGTGGAGTGAGGTGAGAGGTTGTGGGTGATGACGGCATATAAATATGTGCACGTATGCGTGTCTGCCTAGCTGTCACATTTGGAATATATGAGTGTTTAGAAATGTAAATGTAAGAAAAGCTGGGCATGGTGGCCTACAGCTATAATCCCAGTGCTTTGGGAGGCTAATGAGAGAGGATTGATTTAAGACAGGAGTTCAGCACCAACCTGCACAACACAGTGAGACCCCATCTCAAAATAAAATAAAATAAAATATTCAGCATGCTGCAACACACCTGTAATCCCAGCTACTTGGGAGGCTGAAGTGGGAGGATCACTTGAGCCCAGGGAAGTCAAGGCTAAAGTGAGTTATGATGGTGCCACTGCACCCCTGCCTGGGCAACAAGCAAGATCCTGTCTCCTAAAGTAAAAATAAAGAAATTTAAGTAGAAGAGAGAAGTGATTTTTTGGTTGATGATAGCTGGGGAAACTTTAGGGAAAGCAAAATAAGAATGTTTTAGATAGTAAAATGTTTAAAGCATTCCTATAGTTGGATGCATGCACAACTTGCTCTTTTCCTTGTCCTCTGAAACTCAGCGGGTACTATAATCTTAAAAGTACGTGGAAAAACCATATGCAGAAAGCTGAAACTGGATCCCTTCCTTACAGCTTACACAAATATTAACTGGATTAAAGAATTAAAAGCATGGATTAATTAAAGAATTAAAAGAACAATTTAATTAAAGAATTAAAAGCATAAAAACCCTAGAAGAAAATCTAAGCAATATCATTCAGGACATAGGCATGGGCAAAGACTTCATGACTAAAACACCAAAAGCAATGAAAACAAAAGCCAAAATTGATAAATGGGATGTGATTAAACTAAAGAGCTTCTGCACAGCCAAAGAAACTATCACCAGAGTGAGCAGGGAACCTACAGAATAGGATAAAATTTTGCAAGCTATCCGTCTGACAAAGGGCTAATATCCAGAATCTACAAAGAGCTTAAATGGATTTACAGGAAGAAAACAAACAACCCCATCAGAAAGTGGGTGAAGGATATGAGCAGACACTTCTCAAAAGAAGACATTTATGCAGCCAACAAACATATGAAAAAAAGCTCATCATCACTGGTCATTAAAGAAATGCAAATCAAAACCAAAATCAGATCCATCTTATGCCAGTTAGCATGGCAATCATTAAATAGTCAGGAAACAACAGGTGCTGGAGAGGATGTGGAGAAATAGAAACACTTTTAGACTGTTGGTGAGAGTCTAAATTAGTTCAACCATTGTGGAAAATAGTGAGGTGATTCCTCAAGGATCTAGAACTAGAAATACCATTTGACCCAGCAATCTCATTATTGGATAGACACCTAAAGGATTATAAATCATGCTACTATAAAGACTCATGCACACATATGTTTATTGTGGCACTATTCACAATAGCAAAGACTTGGAACCAACCTAAATGCCCATCAATGATAGACTGGTTAAAGAAAATGTGGCACATATACACCATGGAATACTATGGCACCATTAAAAAGGATGCATCCATGTCCTTTGCAGGGACATGGATGAAGCTGGAAACCATCCTTAGCAAACCAATACAAGAATAGAAAAACAAACACCATATGTTCTCACTCATAAGTGGGAGTTGAACAATGAGAAGACATGGACACAGGAACAGGAACATCACACACTGGGGCCTGTTATGGGGTGGAAGGCTAGGGAAAGGATAGCATTAGGAGAAATACTTAATGTAAATAATGGACTGACGGGTGCTGCAAACCAACATAGCACATGGATACCTATGTAACAAACCTGCATGTTGTGCACATGTACCCTAGAACTTAAAGTATAATAACAAAACAGTCATCATTATGAACAAGGATATATTCATGCAGACAGAAACACAGTGCAGAGTGCAGAATCTACTGTAACTAAGACCTAATTTCCACCAGGAAATCCAAGTTCGTGTCTGCCTAATCACATACCTTTTTAGTAACTGCAAATTATCTGAACTCCAGGCTTCTTCTGGAGACCACAGGGGCTTCTTTTAATTGCTACTGGAAGTTGAGAATCAAGGAAATCACTGAGTTTCATATTATTCAAATATATTTTTTGGGTCTGTTCCAAGATGGCCAAATGGCAACATCTCCGGTCTGCAGCTCCTAGTGTGATCGACGCAGAAGGCGGGTGATTTCTGCATTTCCAATTGAGGTACTTGGTTCATCTTACTGGGACTCGTTGGACAGTGGGTGCAGCCCATCGAGGGTGAGCCAAAGCAGATCAGGGTATTGCCTCACCTGGGAAGCACAAGGGGTCGGGGGATTTCCTTTTCCTAGCCAAGGGAAGCTGTGACAGACTGTACCTGGAAAATCGGGACACTCCCACCCTAATACTGTGCTTTTCCAATGGTCACAGCAAACAGCACACCAGGATATTATACCTCGTGCCTGGCTCAGTGGGTCCCACACCCACGGAGCCTTGCTCACTGCTAGTGTAGCAGTCTGAGATCAAACTGCAAGGCGGCATCCTGGGTGGGGGAGGGGCGTCTGCCATTGCTGAGACTTGACTAGGTAAACAAAGTGGCTGGGAAGCTAGAACTGGATGAAGCCCACCGCAGCTCAATGAGGCCTGCCTGCCTCTCTAGACTCCACCTCTAGGGGCAGGGCATAGCTGAATAAAAGGCAGCAGAAACTTCTACAGACTTAAACGTCCCTGTCTGACAGCTCTGAAGTGAGCAACGGTTCTCCCAGCATGTAGTTTGAGCTATGAGAATGGTCAGACTGCCTCCTCAAGTGGTTCCCTGACCCCCATGTAGCCTAACTGGGAGACAACTCCCAGTAGGAGCCAACTGACACCTCATATAGCCAGGTCCTCCTCTAAGACGAAGCTTCCAGTGGAAGGATCAGGCAGCAATATTTGAGTTCTGCAATATTTGCTGTTCTGCAGGCTCCACTGGTGACGCCCAAGCAAACAGGGTCGGAGTGGACCTCCAGCAAACTCCAACAGACCTGCAGCTGAGGGACCTGACTGTTAGAAGGAAAACTAACAAACAGAAAGGAATAGTATCAACATCAACAAAAAGGACAACCACACCAAAACTCCATCTGTAGGTCACCATTATCAAAGACCAAAGGTAGATAAAACCACAAAGATGGGGAGAAACCAGAGCAGAAAAGCTGAAAACTCTAAACACCAGAGTACCTTTTCTCCTCCAAAGGATAGCAGCTGCTCACCAGCAATGGAACAAAGCTGGACGGAGAATGACTTTGACGAGTTGACAGAAGTAGGCTTCAGAAAGTCAGTAATAACAAACTTCTCTGAGCTAAAGGATGATGTTTGAACCCATTGCAAGGAAGCTAAAAAGCTTGAAAAAAGATGAGATGAATGGCTAACTAGAATAAACAGCAGAGAAGACTGTAAATGACCTGATGGAGCTGAAAACCATGGCACGAGAATGACGTGATGCATGAACAAGCTTCAGCAGCCCATTTGATCAAGTGGAAGAAAGGGTATCAGTGATTGAAGATCAAATGAATGAAATGAAGTGAGAAGAGAAGTTTACAGAAAAAAAGAGTAAAAAGAAAGAACAAAGCCTCTAAGAAATATGGGACTATGTGAAAAGACCAAATCTACATTTGATCGGTGTACCTGAAAGTGATGGGGAGAATGGAACCAAGTTGGAAAACACTCTGCAGGATATTTTCTAGGAGAACTTCCTCTACCTAGCAAGGCAGGCCAACATTCAAATTCAGAAAATCCATAGAACACCACAAAGATACTCCTGGAGAAGAGCAACCCCAATACACATAATTGTCAGATTCACCAAGGTTAAAATGAAGGAAAAACTGTTAAGGGCAGCCAGAGAGAATGGTCGGGTTACCCACAAAGGAAGCCCATCAGACTAACAGTGGATCTCTCAGCAGAAACTCTTCAAGCCAGAAGAGCCAATATTCAACATTCTTAAAAGAATTTTCAAACCAGAATTTCATATCCGGCCAAACTAACCTTCATAAGTGAAAGAGAAATAAAATCCATTAAAGCCATTAAAGCCAAGCAAATGCTGAGAGATTTTGTCACTACCAGGCCTGCCTTACAAGAACTCCTGAAGGAAGCACTAAGCATGGAAAGGAAAAACCAGTACCAGCCACTGCAAAAACATGTCAAGTTGTAAAGACCATAAATGCTAGGAAGAAACTGCATCAATTAATGGGCAAAATAACCAGCTAACATTACAATGACAGGATCAAATTCACACATAACAATATTAACCTTAAATGTAACCAGGCTAAATGCTCCAATTAAAAGACACAGACTGGCAAATTGGATCAAGAGTCAAGACCCATCAGTATGCTGTATTCAGGAAAACCATCTTACGTGCAGAGATACACACAGGCTCAAAAGAAAGGGATGGAGGAAGATCTACCAAGCAAATAGAAAACAAAAAAAGCAGGGGTTGCAGTCCTAGTCTCTGATAAAACAGACTTTAAACCAACAAAGATCAAAAGAGACAAAGAAGGCAATTACATAATGGTAAAGGGATCAATTCAACAAGAAAAGCTAACTATCCTAAGTATATATGCACCCAATACAGGAGCAACCAGGTTCATAAAACAAGTCCTTACAGACTTACAAAGAGACATAGACTGTCACACAATAATAACGGGAGACTTTAATAACCCACTTCAATATTAGACAGATCAATGAGACAGAAGGTTAACAAGGATATCCAGGACTTGAATTCAGCGCTGTACCAAGTGGACCTGATAGACATCTACAGAACTCTCCACCCCAAATCAACAGAATATACATTATTCTCAGCACCACATTACATTTCTTCCAAAATTGACCACATAGTTGGAAGTAAAGCACTCCTCAGCAAATGTAAAACAACAGAAATCCCAACAAACTGTCTCTCAGACCACAGTGCAATCAAATTAGAACTCAGGAGTAAGAAACTCGCTCAAAACCACTCAACTACATGGAAACTGAACAACCTGCTCCTGAATGACTACTGGGTACATAATAAAATGAAGTCAGAAATAAAGATGTTCTTTGAAACCAACGAGAAGAAAGGCGCAATGTACCAGAATCTCTGGGACACATTTAAAGCAGTGTGTAGAGGGAAATTTACAGCACTAAATGCCCACAAGAGAAAGCAGGAAAGATCTAAAATTGACACCCTAATGTCACAATTAAAGGAACTAGAGAAGCAAGAGCAAAGAAATTCAAAAGCTATCAGAAGGCAAGAAATAACTAAGATCAGAGCAGAACTGAAGGAGATAGAGACACACAGAAAAAATCAAAAAAATCAATGAATCCAGGAGCTGGTTTTTTGAAAATATCAACAAAAGTGATAGACTCATAGCAAGACTAATAAAGAAGAAAAGAGACAAGAATCACTTAGACACAATAAAAAATGATAAAGTGGACATCACTACCAATCCCACAGAAATATAAACTACCATCAGGGAATATTATAAACACCTCTGTGCAAATCAACTAGAAAATCTAGAGGAAATGGATAAATTCCTGGACACATACACCCTCCCAAGACTAAACCAGGAAGAAGATGAATCCCTGAATAGACCAATAACAGGCTCTGAAATTGAGGCAATAATTAATAGCCTACCAACCAAAAAAGGCCCAGGACAAGATGGATTCACAGCCAAATTCCTATATACCAATAGCAGACAAACAGAGCCAAATCATCAGTGAACTCCCATTCACAATTGCTTCAAATAGAATAAAATACCTAGGAATCTAACTTACAAGGGATGTGAAGGACCTCTTCAAGGAGAACTACAAACTGGGCGAAAACTGGAAGCATTCACTTTGAAAACCATCACAAGACAAGGATGCCTTTTCTCACCATTCCTATTCAACATAGTATTGGAAGTTCTGGCTAGGGCAATCAGGCAAGAGAAACAAGTAAGTGGTATTCAAGTATGAAAAGAGGAAGTCAAATTGTCTCTGTTTGCAGATGACATGATTGTATATTTAGAAAACCCCATCATCTCAGCCCAAAATCTCCTTAAGCTGATAAGCAACTTCAGCAAAGTCTCAGGATACAAAATCAATGTGCAAAAATCACAAGCATTCCTATGCATCAATAACAGACAGAGAGCCAAGTCATGAGTGAACTCCCATTCACAATTCCTACAAAGAGAATAAAATACCTATGAATCCAACTTACAAGGGATGGGAAGGACCTCTTCAAGGAGAACTACAAACCACTGCTCAAGGAAATAAGAGAGGATGAAAACAAATGGAGAAACATTCCATGTTCATGGATAGGAACAATCAATATTGTGAAAATGGCCATACTGCCCAAAGTAATTTATAGATTCAATGATACCCTCATTGAGCTACCACAGACTTTCTTCACAGAACTGGAAAAAACTACTTTAAAGTTCATATGGAACCCGAAAAGAGCCCACATAGCCAATCCTAAGCAAAAAGAACAAAGTGGGAGGCATCATGCTACCTGACTTCAAACTATACTACAAGGGTACAGTAATCAAAACAGCATGGTACTGGTAGCAAAACGAAGATATAGACCAATGGAACAGAACAGTGGCCTCAAAAATAACACCACACATCTACAACCATCTGATCTTTGACAAACCTGACAAAAACAAGAAATGGGGAAAGTATTCTCTATTTCATAAATGGTGCTGGGAAAACTGGCTAGCTATATGTAGGAAGCTGAAACTTGATCCCTTCCTTACACCTTACACAAAATTTAATTCAAGATGGATTACAGACTTAAATGTTACACTTAAAACCATAAAAACCCTAGAAGAAACCTAGGCAATACCATTCAAGACATAGGCATGTGCACAGACTTCATGACTAAAACAGCAAAAGCAATGGCAACAGAAGCCAAAAGAGACAAATGGAATCTAATTAAACTAAAGAGCTTTTGCACAGCAAAAGAAACTACCATCAGAGTGAACAGGCAACCTACAGAATGGGAGAAAATTGTTGCCATCTTCCCACCTAACAAAGGCTAATATCCAGAATCTACAAAGCACTTAAACAAATTTACAGGAAAAAATCAAACAACCCCATCAAAAAGTGGGCAAATTATAGGAACAGACACCTCTCAAAACAAGACATTTATGCAGACAACAGACACGTGAAAAAATGCTTATCATCACTAGTCTTCAGAGAAATGCAAATCAAAACCACAATGAGATACAATCTCACACCAGTTAGAATGGTGATCAGGAAACAACAGGTGCTGGAGAGGATGTGGAGAAATAGGAACACTTTTACACTGTTGGTGGGAGTGTAAACTAGTTCAGCCATTGTGGAAGTCAGTGTGGCGATTCCTCAAGGGTCTAGAACTAGAAATACCATTTGACCCAGCCATCACATTACTGGGTATATACCCAAAGGATTATAAATCATGCTACTATAAAGACACATGCAAATGTATACTTATTGTGGCACTATTCACAATAGCAAAGACTTGGAACCAACCCAAATGCCCATCAGTGATAGACTGGATAAAGAAAATGTGGCACATATTACACCATGGAATACTATGCTGCCACAAAAAAGGTTGAATTCATGTTCTTTGTAGGGACATGGATGAAGCTGGAAACCATGATTCTCAGCAAACTGTCACAAGGACAGAAAACCAAACACCGCATGTTCTCAGTCATAGTTGGGAATTGAACAATGAGAACACTTGGACACAGGACAGGGAACATCACACACCAGGGCCTGTTGTGCGGTGGGGGGAGGGGGGAGGGATAGCATTAGGAGAAATACCTAACATAAATGACAAATTAACGGGTGCAGCACACCAACATGGCACATGTATACATATGTAACTTGCATGTTGTGCATTTCTACCCTAGAACTTCAAGAATAATAATTAAAAATATTTTATTGCAAATGGTACTTAAAAACTACAAATAACCATTTTAATTTTCATTTTACCATTTTTATTGGATTAGTATTTCAGTATTTTCTGCAGATTTGGTATTTCTTTTTAAAACATTTTTGATTTCCAATTGTATTAGGATACAGACACACACAGAGGTTTGAGCACGTGAGGATACAGGGAGAAGATGGCACTACAATCCAAGGAGAGAGGCCTCAGGAGGAACCAGCCCTGCCCACACCTTGGTCTCAGACTTCCAGCCTCCAGGACTGTGGGAGACTCATTGTTTGTTGTTTATAAGCCTCACAGTCTGTGGTATTCTGTGATAGCAGCCTGAAATGGACTAAGACATCTTATAAGAAGAGGAGATAAGGACACAGACACATGCAGAGTGATGACCCTGTGAGGACACAGGATAAGATGGCAACTCCAAGCCCAGGAGAGAGGCCTCAGGAGGAACCAGCCCTGCCCACACCTTGATCTCAGACTTCCAGCCTCCAGGACTGCGGGAGAATCAATGTCTGTTGTTTAAGCTGAGCATTCTGGGGGACCTGGTTATGCAGCCCTAGCAAACTCACACAGCAAGCATTATTTTCTCTCCCATATCTCAGGGTAAATCACCTTCCTTTAAAATGGTAAGACCCTAAATCATAAAAATGCATTCCCATCTGTTGTGTCTATTTTTCTCAGGGTAATAACTATGAGTAGAGTCTTATCAATAAAGCTCTTTACCTAACATATAAAACTGGCCTTAATCACCAAACCCTGAAAGTTCATTTTAGATTTTCAAAGTAATAATAGTTTTTACAACAGGAAAACCAAATTCAGCTATAATCATCTAAAAAGCACCCTCAAGTACATCATGTTCTTATTCTAATTCTTCTTTTACTCACACAATTCTCTCAGATGTTAAAAAAAAAAAAGAACCTTCAATTATATGCAGAAAAAAATTGTGATCCAAGAAATTGTGGCTGGGCACAGTGGCTCACAGCTGTAATCCCAGCACTTTGGGAAGCCAACGCGGTCAGATCACTTGAGGTCAGGGGTTTGAGACCAGCCTGGCCAACATGGCGAAACCCCATCTCTACTAAATATACAAAAATTAGCCAGGCATAGTGAAATGTGCCTGTAATCCTGAAACTCAGGAGGCTGAGGTATGAGAATCACTTGAACCCAAGAGGCAGAGGTTGCAGTGAGTCGAGATCGCACCACTACAGTCAAGCTTGCAAGACAGAGTGAGACTCTGTCTCAAAAAAATAAAAATAAAAAGAGGAAATTGCAATAGGAAGCTGCCACATCCAAGTGGCTACATTTGGGAATTAGGAGGATAAAGAAATTGAAGAGGAGGATGACAAGAATAAGGCCTCAAATGTACTGTTTGTTTTCTCTTCTAATGGGTGTTTGCAAGAGAGTGGCACGTATAAGAGAAACTTAGGCTGTTAAAATAATTTCAGTATGCAATCTTTGGCTTGTCTTTCTTCTTGGTATTATGAGAATGTCTTCTGAGAGGTAGAATGGTGCTTCTAGGAAACCCAAGAAAAATATGTTCATTTTCATCAAAAACATAATTGGTGCATTTATTGAGAGCCTTCTCCATGGTCACGCTGATATCACAGAAAACTCCATGATAGTTTGCTGAGTAAAGCAAACTGTGTTCAAATGCAGCCGTCCCCAACCTTTTTGGCACCAGGGACAGGTTTCGTGGAAGACAACTTTTCCATGGCTGGGGTTGGGAGCAGGATGGTTTCAGGATGATTCGAGCACATTGCATTTATTGTGCACCGTATTTCTATTATTATTACATTGTAATATACAATGAAATAATTTTACAACTCACCATCATGTGGAATCAGTGGGAGGCCTGAGCTTGTTTTCCTGCAATTAGACAGTCCCATCTGGGGCGGGGATGAGAGACAGTGGCAGATCATCAGGCATTCGATTCTCATAAGGAGCGTCAACCTAAATCCCTCGCATGTGCAGTTCACAAAAGGGTTCACGCTCCTATGAGGATCTAATACCACCGCTGATCTGCCAGGAGGTGGAGCTCAGGAGGTAAAGTGAGTGATAGGGAGCAGCTGTCAACACAGATGAAGCTTTGCTCACCCACCCGCTACTCACCGCCTGCTGTGTGGCCCAGTTCCTAACGGGCCACATGGGGACCCGTGTTTTAACATATATCATCTCTAATCTGTCTCCCCAAATCTCTGAAGATTATTGTTCCCAATGTACATCAAAAGACCCTGTAGGGGCAGAGATGTAAAAGCATCAGCCTGATATTCTGTTGCTGGCATATATCATAGATGGTCATCAAATCCTGATTTTATACAGTTGCATAAAAGACATAATTCTAATATATGATAGCAGGGTAAGGTGCCTATAGTTAGCAATAATGTATTGTGTATTTTAAAATAGCTAGGAGATTTGAAATGTTCCCAACACATGGAAATGATTAATTCTCAAGGTGACAGATATTCCAAATAATCTGGCCTGATCACTACACATTCTATGCAAGCAACAAACTGTCACATGTACCCCATAGATATGTAAAATAGTATGAATCAATAATAGAAAAAAAGGTAAATGCAAGCAAGTTTCTCAAAAAAATTATCAGTTTCTTCAAGTATCTGGTATGGTCCTTAAACTCACAACTCCTGTGCAAGAAGTCAAGCTCGATTTTGGCTAGGGTTTGTGGGGTGCCTGATGTTTAGTTTGAACACCATCCAATTTCACAGGCATTTTTTGATATATTCCATGCGTCACTCTTCTGCAAATCATTTGGTCCTAAGCTCACCATGAGCTCCAAAGGGTGGGAGCGTCCACGGGAAGGAAGGGCTTCTCTGGGGTGATAAGCATTGCTTTGCTCAGAAGCAGCCTGGGCAGATGGAATTCTGGACAAAGGATGCCAGGACATGAAGGGTTTTCTTCCAGCCCCAAACTTAACTCTCCTGGTACGTTATACTGCAAAGAAGGCTGAAATACAAGAAAATGGCCAATGAGGGGATGCGTTGAGAATGAGGCAAAGGACTCTGGCTTTTCCTTTTCCTGAGATAGCTGGAAGAATTTGAAGGATTTTGAGCATGAGAGAGGTGTGAGCAGAGATGAGCTGCTCAGACAGAAGTTGGCCTGTGGTTTGGGGTCCTCTAGACAGGAAAAGATTAGAAGCAGGGACACCATTGGTAATCAACAATTGATCGCCAAAAATTCACCCAATCAAAATGGCAGGAAATGACCTCAGAATACCTTGGATGCTGAAGGTGCCCTGTAAGTGTTAGTCAAATTGAATATACTTTGGATCTGGAGGTATAAATTATATATTATGTATAATAGGTATGTCATATATATAAAATATATATTTTAATAATATATCTTAAATATTATTGTAATATATAATACTTAAATACTATATGTAATATATAGTATTTGAAATATTATATTATAATAAAACACAAATTACATATTATTTCATATTATATATTAAATTGCGATTACTCTTAATGGCAGAAACCACAATTACTTTTGCACCAACCTAATAATACGTAATATATAACTATATGATATATAATATACCATTATATGTCTATGTATGTTATATATAATATACTATGTAACATATATTCTATGTAATATATACTATGTAATATATGATATTATAATTAAATGTTATGTGTAATATATATCATATACATAATATAATGTAAATGTCATATATTATATAGTATAAGGTGTTATATAACATATGGTGTTATGTCTATGTATGTTATATACATTATATACTATGTAATATATATATACTATGTAGTATATATTATAATTAAATGTGTTATATGTAATATACATCACATACCTTATATAATATATATGTCATATATTATATTGTATAAGGTGTTATATATTATATAACATATAGTATTATAAATTATGTAATAGATAATATAGATAATTGCTGAGTCAGCAAGACCAACCCTTCTGTTTCTCCTCCTCCTCAACCTCCTCAACATGAAGACAATGAGGATGCACACTTTTATGATGATCCACTTCCACTCAATGAATAGTAAATGTATTTTCTGTTCCTTATTATTTTCTTAATGACATTTTCTTTTCTTTAGCTTACTTTATTGTAAGAATAAAGTATAAAATGATGTAAATTATATATAATATATAGTTATATTTTATAAATATATTTTATACCATACATAACATTTTATACTATTTTATTATTATATTATTTTATTATTTATACTATTTTAACTATATTATATACATTTTGTATATTTAAATTATTACATATTTATAGATAACACATTTTAATAACAATTTATTATCTATAACATACATATACAAATAATTATGTATAATACACAATATAATAAATAATGAAATATTTATCAATAATGGTCACTTCAAAACACAAAATCAAAATTTTTATCAGATGTGTTGTCAGGAGGCTGTTGTAATTAAGCTCTGGATGGAATTGACCTATCTTATTGGGCACAGGTGGAAAGACAGAATGCATTTTTCTATTAATATTTAACCAAGATCTATTGTGCTTATAATACTTGCAGCAGCAACAGCATCAAGAGCACATGATCCCTGTCCTCAGAGTCACACATCAGCCAAAAGCTCACACAAAGTAAGATGCTAGGGATGAACTCAGAAAGTGCTATGAAATAATAGCCAGGCACGGTCACGGGTGCCTGTAATCCCAGCTACTTGGGAGGCTGAGGCAAGAGAGTTGCTTGAACCCAAGAGGCAGAGGTTGCAGTTAGCCAAGATCATGCCACTGCACTCCAGCATGGGCAACAAGAGAAAGACTCCATCTCAAAAAACAAAAAATTAATTAATATTAAAAGAATTAATTAAAATTAAAAGAAAATAAAATAAAATTAGTATTAATCATAAATCACATAGCGACAAGCTTCCTGGAAGCCAAAGGAAAAAAGTGAGACATCTTCTGCATTATGAATCACACATTTCTTTGGTAAGAAATTAAGCAAAGCTTTTCCAGTCATATCTGAGTCATTCATACCAAAAACGTCTTCAACAGTACCCCCACAGTAAAGACAGGATCACAACTTAAAAGTGCAATCTGTTACAAATATTCTCATTTTAGAGCTCAGTGCACTATAAGAAAGTACTGCTCAGCAGTAGCAATTCTGTGGAGAACTACAACAGAAGTGAATTCAGTTTTTGGATGGTCCAGATTTTATTTTACTGAAAATAAAATCTATGCTATCCAGGACCATGAGTCCTTCAAAACATGTTCCTCCAATAGCGTGTCTCTCAAGTAATTGCATTTTAGGATCATATCGTCTGGCAGAAGCATGGACAACCTGCATTTTTCTGTGGTTGTTTAAGGGCATGTGCATAAACCCTAATGATCGAGGATGAGAAGAGCATGGTTACAACCCTGCAAAGGAAGGTTCATGGCAGAATGGCTGCTGGGCTTCCTTCAGTGCAGCTAGTATGTTTCTTAAAAATGAAAGTCCTCTCCACTCCTATCTATCTATCTATCTATCTATCTATCTATCTATCTATCTATCTATCTATCTAATGTGTCTATCTGTATTTCTATCTATCTCTATCTGTATTTCTGTGTTTCTATCCATCATCTATCATGTATTATCTTTTTATCTTTCTATCATCTATCATCTGTCTACTTAACACCTATTATCCCTCTATCATCTATCTATTTTTTTCTGTTTCTCTATTCTCTATCTCTACCTTTGTATTTTCATCTCCTACACACACACACACACACACACACAACAAATCTCCAATCTTCTGCTCCCTTGGGCAATATAGTTAGATCATTTCATTACAGGAAGTGTGTCCAAGGAACACATAGAAGTCACTGGTCCCAACCACAGAAATATTTCTACCACAAAGAACATGGATTGAGCAATGCAGTCTCTTTGTGAAGAATGAGGATCCATTTTACACAAAAGAAAACTTAAAATAGCCAGAACCACTGTATGGATTTGCTGTGCATACACTCATTTCATCTTGGTGACCATCTACCTAAAATAATTATATGTATTCTCAAAAATTTATCATAAGCCACTGTTAGGACAATGGCTTCATTGTAGGAACCACTGTCCATTGATTCATCACTTAACTGTAGTAAAGTTGACCTTTGAACAACACAGGTTTGAACTATGTGGTCCACTTAGAAGGGGATGGGATTCTCTTCCACCTCTGACACTACCGAGTCAGCAAGACCAACCCTTCCCTTCCTCCTCAACCTCCTCAATGCGAAGACAATGACGATGCACATTTTTATGATGATCCACTTCCACTCAATGAATAGCAAATGTATTTTCTGTTCCTTATTATTTTCTTAATACATTTTCTTTTCTTTAGCTTGCTTTATTGTAAGAATACAGTATTTAATACACATAACATATAAAATATGTGCTAATCGACTGTTTATGTTATCAGGAAGGCTTCCACTCAAAAGTAGGTTATTATTAGTTCTGTTTTGGGAGAGTCAAAAGTTACAAGTGGATTTTTTTTTTTTTTTGAGCGGAGTTTCACTCTTGTTGGCCAGGCTGAAGTACAGTAACTCAATCTCTGCTCATTGCAAACTCTGCCTCCTGGGTCCAAGTGATTTGTCTGCCTCAGCCTCCTGAGTAGCTGGGATTACAGGCGCATGTCACCACTCTTGGCAAAATTTTGTATTTTTAGTAGATACAGGGTTTCACTATGTTGGCCAGGCTGGTCTTGAACTCCTGAGCCTCAGCCTCCCAAAGTGCTGGGGTTACAGGTTGTGTAACCGCAGCCTACAGGTGGATTTTTTACTGCACTGGGGGTTGGCACCCCTAACTCCCACATTGTTCAAGAGTCTACTATACATTAATGTACTCTTGGGGTGTGTTTGTGTTCTCCAACACTATGAGTGTTGGAGAAGGTATGGAATTTTTCACCTCCTCTCTCCTTCCTGTTATGGAAACAGGGATGCTGACTCCTGGGCTATTTCCCATGGTGACATCAATTAAATTGGGTCTCAACTCCAGAAAGGAGAGGAAACAGTTTAGTACATGTCAGATCGTATTGGATGACCACATCACCAGTTCAATAAAAAGCCAAATTTAGCCACGACAAAAAACTCATGAATCTCACAAAGGCAGGCATGAAAAGACTCATTGCAATGGGTTTAAGAAGAAGGTGACTTTACTGTAAATTCCCACTCACTCAAAATTCCTGTGATTGGGAAACTCATGCAGGTGAAATTTGTCTTCTGTCCTTCATCTGAAAGAACAATTACACAAATCCCAAATATCTGCTTAAAAGGTGTGTTGGAGGCATTCTACAGAACCGTTATAAGGTTGAGTAGAATTAAGTATCCAGTGCAATGGACATCTATAATGATCATTCTGAGTTGCTGTGAGATAGTGTATAGAACAATAACAAATTTGAATACAATTAAATATAAAAGTAAATATGTGCAATGGTGACTCAAGCTGGGTATAATGTAACCTTGATTTGGAAATAGCATATCTGAAATGAAAGAAACAGAAGAATGCTATGTCTCTGCTCCATCTCTTACAGCTATAACTTCTTCCTGAAGCAACTTATGGCTCTATCATGTGGTTTTCATACGAAAAATGATAAGAGCAGAATATTTGAACTTTCTTAGCTATTATGCTCAATGGATGAATGTATAGATAGATAGATAGATGATGGATAGATAGATTAGATAATTGATAGATGATAGATAGTAGATGGATAAGTAGGTAGATGATAGAGATGAGATTTTGATAGGTAGGAAAGTAGCTAGATAGAAGATAGTTGGATGAGTAGATAGATAAGTGATGGATAGATAAAGATAGAAGACATAGATGATGATAGTTAGATGATAGATGGATGTAGATGAATAGAGAGATGATAGATGAGACAGATGATAGACACATAAGATAATAGATAAGTGGATGAGATAAATGGATAGATAATAAATAGATACATAGATGGATACAGAGCGACATGAGAGTTGAATAGGTAGGGAAGTAGGTACACAGAAAGCTTGATAGATGGATGAGTAGATAGAAGACAGATGGATAAAAATGGAAGAGACAGAGATAGATACGAGATAGACAATGATAGCTAAACTAATAAATCTAATAGCTATTACATATGATATGAATTTATACTTATACTCACATACACACAGTTGAAGTTTGCATGTAGAGGAATAGTTAGATGTTAGCAATTTGTATTGAATTACAATTGTACTTCACGTATTTAAGTGTCATAAGCCAAATTCTAAATAACCTAATCCTTTTAAAATTATCAGTTCACTAGAATCCTGAGTTAAAAAGAACTTACAACCCTCCAATTCTAAATAATTTCTCAAGAGTAATGATGCAGTTGAGAGAAACCCCCAACCTCTCTGAGAGAGGAAACTTCTCCACTGCATTCCCTGGAAATAGGCACTCTTTGGGGCTCTCATTTGCCTCAAGATAATGATTTTGTTCTCTTTGTTTGCTTATAGGGGGAAACAACTATGTTATAAATCAAAGAGTTCTGGCTTTGTGCACTGCATCTGGAGATCCGACACATTTGGAATATTATTTTTGAAGTTGACCTCATTCATCTGTGTCGGCCTTGGCAGAGGCTGTGGTTAGATGCTAGTTCTGCTCACATAGATATGCCACATGGAAAAATATAAAAGTATTTTCAACAAACCAAGAAGCGGTGACCCAGATATAAAGAATGAGCATTTGTTTCCAGTGTCCCCTGGTGACTCACTTCACTCTGTCATTGGTTAGAGCTTTCCCGTTCTGAAGCACAGCCCCGGCAAACGTGGGGTTCTGGAAGGACAGAGCTTGCCTGGGAGATGATTCAGGAATCAGACAGGGGGTGGGTGTTCAGTAACTGTATCACTCTACCCTCAGCATGAGTTAGAAAAGGATTGCACTCCAGCTTCTGCTGCGGGTCTTCATTCTCTGCTGTGTGGTGTGTGTGTGTGAGAGAGAGAGAGAGACAGAGAGAGAGTCTTACTCTGTTGCTCAGGCTGCAGTGTAGTGGCAAAATAGGTCACTGCAGCTTTGACCTTTGACCTGCTAGGGTCAAGCTATCCTTCTGCCTCAGCCTCTGGATTAGCTGAGACTACAGGCACAAACCATCATACGCCTAGCTAATTGTTTTGCATTTTTTGTAGAGACACGGTTTTGTTACATTGCTAAGGCTGATCTTGAATGCCTAAGCTCAAGCAGTCTACATGCATTGGCCTCCCAAAATGCTGTGATTACAGGCATGAGTCACCACACCTGGCCACCATTCTCTGCTTTTCACTTGAGTAAATGCATTTACAAGCAAGGGTGAGCTCTGAGAAAGAAAGCTCTTGCCCAATTCCACAAACTGAAAAAGGATGAGGGATGAGTATTCAGGATACTGAGTATCTTGAATATAGTGGAACATCTGGGTTTTGGTTTTTTGTTTTTGAGACAGAGTCTCGCTCTGTTGTCCAGGCTAGAATGCAGTGATATAATCCTAGCTCACTGTAGCCTCGACCTCGTGGACTCAAGTGATCCTCCCACCTCAGCCTCCTGAGTAGATGGAACTGCAGGTGTGCAGCAGCACACCTGGCTATTTTATTTTTTTAATTTTTGTAGAGACGTGTTCTTACTATGTTGCCCAGGCTGGTCTCAAACTCCTGGGCTCAAGCTATCCTCCTGCCTTGGCTTCCCAAAATGCTGGGTTTACAGGCATAAGCCACCACTCCCAGACCTGTTTTTTTCTAATATCCTTGCCTTTGACACTCATTTGTTAGGGGAATGCATTTATTCCTTAGGGGTGCTGTAACAAATTGCCACCAATGTAGAGGCTTCCAGTAACGTGCATATTGAAACTGCCATTACTTTTGCACCAACCTAATACATACTCTCATGGTTCTGGAAGTTGGAAGTCCTGAATCAATACCACTGAGCTGAAGTCAGGGTTTCTCCACGGTTGTGCTCCCTTGGAAAGCCTGTGGGGAGGATCCTTCCTTACCTCCTCCAGCTTCTGGCAGCTCCATCGTCATCACTCTGATCCTCAAGGCCAGCCTCTCTGAATTCTCTCTGTGCTCTGTCTCACACCATCTTCTACTCTGTAGGTGTGTCAGGTCTCCTTGTGTCTTCCTCACATTAGGATCCATGTCTGGCAATTTAGGAGTCACCACTGCTCGGTTTGTTGAAAGTACTTTTATTTTTTTTCCATCTGGCATATCTAGTTGAGTGGAACCAGCATATCCCCCACAGCTTCTGCCAAGGCCAGCCCAGATAGTGAGGTCAGCCCCCCAAAAATAATTTTGTAAATGTGTCAGATCTCCAGATTCAGTGCACAAACCCACAACTCATTTATTAATCATCTAGTTATTTCCCTCTACAGGCAGGATTATCTGCCCATCTCAAGATCTGTACCTTATACACATCTTCAAAAATTATTTTTTCCAAATAAGGTTCCATTCGCAGGGTGCAGAGAGGAACAGCTGATCTGTTTGGAGAACATTATTCAGACTATGGCCGGGAATGAGTTGTCACCAATTTGGAAGGATGCATTTTTCAAAAATAATTTCAACTTTTATTTCAGATTCAGGGGATACTTGTGCAGGTTTTTTTCATGATAGCGTGATGCTGAGGTCTTGGGTACAACTGAAGCTGTCACCCACATAGTGAGCATTAGCACCCACTAAGTACTTTTTCAACCCTTGCTACCAACCCTCCCTGCCTGCTTAGTAATCCCTGGTTTCTCTTGTTGCCAGGAACGATGAATTTTTAAATTGATGTCTGTCCCAAGTATCCCTGGGAAAGACTGGGTGTATGGTTACACTGTGGTCAGCAGTGTAATGCTGTTTCTCTGCTGGAAAATAAAGAAGTGGTATTAAAACTGAAAGAGATCTTGGGAATCTTACAAAGATCTCAGCCAGGTGCTGGGAGGTCCCAGGACAGAATGGGGCCAACCCCCTACCAGCATCTCCTCCACCCTTGCTGCCTGACCAAGAGAAAATTAAATTATCTTTTACTGTAGCCAAATTCCCGTCAATTATCCTCTCTTCCATGTTTGTTCTGTTCTTCCCCCTCCTGGAAGACAGAATGAGCCTTTACTGCCTGTGAATTTTTGGCTTTCTTGCCAGCCCGGGTCCTGACCCATGGGCTGTGCTTGAGGAGCCTTTGGAGTCTTTTGCAGGAGGACAGCCATACCAGCTTGAGGTAGACCCCACTCAAGAGGCAAAAGACTCCTCAACAAGCTCATATTCAAGCACATTACAAAGTACTAACGTGTAAGGGGGGAAAAAAGCAAATCTTAGCTCTCCAAGTAGAGAAAGAATGTTTTACAGCTATTTAAACATTGGTAACAAGAAACCTTTGGCATAACTAGCTTCTCCCAAACGATCATATAAGTACTCTTACTAATGTAAGAAACATGAATAAGCATGAGAGAATTCCAACAAAACTCAAGGGGATCAACTTTTTTCTTTAACTTTTCACATCTGGAGCTTTCAAATTCTGTCAATGTAACATCTAAGAAAAATAATTGACACATGTTCAGCATATCTGTATGCAATCAAGGTGTTGCCATTAAACACCATATAATTCTTTTCATAGCTTGATAAAAATAAATTATAGCACGGGGGCATTTGAGATAGACTGTATGAATTCCTTTTGCATTAATGTTTTCTTTTTAAAAAAATATTTCCAGAGGGTTTCCCCCAATGGCATTGGAAATTCTGTTTTGTTTTGTTTTGTTTTTTAAATGATAAAGAGAGTTTAGCTTACACCCTTAGGTCTCAGTAAACTCCCTTGGTGATGGTGAGAGAAACTTTTCATCATTAACAAAAAATATATGCTGAGGTTTAGATGACATCAATCGGATTCCTATGGAATGATGGGATTTGAGAGTTCTGTGCAGTGAAAAAACAGCAACAACAAAAAAAGAGGCTTACAGTTTACTCAGAACCATAATTTACACCAAGGGAAAGAGAGAGAAGAGAATAAAAGACCATTAGTAAGAATCTCTTCTCATTATATCAGGGGACATGAGACAATGACTAATAAGAACTGAGACAGCTTATATGTATGGTGTTATTGCGATGGAATGTGTAGCATCGCCCATGGCAAGCCACATTCATCTTAGATACAAGGCTATTATCATATCCTCAGGGGAATCTTTATTTCCAGGATATTGGGTTCATTCCTCCCTCCCAAAACCCTGCTCTGCTCACCCATTTTAATCTCCCCGTTGGCCTCTTTTTTGGTCATGTCTCGACCACAGACACTACGTGACCAGGCCAACACTCATGTCCTCCTCCTCTTCCTGCTCATGATGAGGTAGCTCACTGGCATTCTCTTAGTCTCTCTCTTCTCCTTTGTTTTCAACAACTTGACATGAATCAAAGATGCCAGATAGTGCTAGATGTTTTTAGAAGAAAAAAAAAACAACATGGCAGATGTTCTCAGAATTTCCTGCCTTCACTAAGTTTTCTGCCTCTTTCCCAAAAGCTACTGTCCACTCTCTTCTTCCTGTCACTAGCAAATATCTTCACCCATGGACCACACTCTTTTTTTCCCAAGGGTCATGGCTCCAGCCAACTTCATTGCTCTGTGATGTCACCTTTGGAAACATGATTGAGATCTCATTTCCAAACCAGGAACCCATTCTGAAGAGTTTATCTTCTTCTTTGAGTTTCTGACTTGTCTCTCTCTTCCAAAATCTATCCCCCCCCTGGTTTCCATAGTGTACTCCTTCTTGCCTTTTCCTGATAGTGCTCATACTTCCCATATCTATCATATTTTATTGTTTTCTCTCCTCCACATACCCATATTTGTAAGAGTTTATACTTGGTCTCTTTCTTTTTCTCTGAGACCTCATCTACTTCTGCTCCATTAAATACATCCCATACACACATGGCTCCCCGGGTCTTTAGCCTTTCCCTGGTGAGACTCAAATTGTCATTATTCTACTGAATTTGTTTTCTTGGATGCCTCTATTTAACTCAAACTCATATTTATTAGCCCCTCACCTCATCTTAGTCAATTTTATGCTGCATCACAAATTACCACAGACTGGGTAACTTATGAAGAAAAGAAATTTATTCTTTCACAGTTCTGTAGTCTGGGAAGTCCAAAAACAAGGTACCATGGGTCAGGACTTGTTCTCCTATCCTACAGAATGGTGCCTTGAATGCTAGGCCCTCCAGACGGGAGAAAGTTTGTATCTTTGTGTGGCAAAGAAACATGGGGGTTGTGGGGGAGAGAGACAGAGAAAGAGAGAAAGAGGAGAACCCATCCCCACACATGCTTTTCTTATGGCTGCTTTAATGAACTCATGAAGTGGAGCCCTCAATGACCTAAACACCTCCCATTAGGCTCCACCTCCCAAAACTGTTGCATTGGAAGTTATGTATCCAACACATGCGTTTTGGAGGGGACAAAAACCTTCAAACCATAGCATTCCCTTCATCCCCACTGTACCACCATTACATGTCATATCTCAAGGAGTCACTATCTGTTTATCCAAGTGAGAAATCATGGCCACATTTTTTAGCTTCCATGTCCAATCATGATCTTCAGGTCAGACCTGGCAAAATGTTCACCAACTCTGTGGGTAACTTCCCTCTCCAATCTTTCCCTTTCTTCTTAGTCCCTCTGCTGTTTTCCTGGTTCAACTCATCATCTCTATGAAGGCTAAGACAGACAGGGGTAACTGCCATTCTCTCCTTTGTATTTTGTGTCATAGAACTCCCCCACCCCGCCCACCACCAAAGTTTTTGTTGGGCACATGTCTGCCCTTATAGGGATACCTTCTCCCAATCTCCCTTGCAGGTAGTGGCAGCATGTGACCAAGTATATGAATGAACTACGAGAAGAATGGACTGGCCCTCTGCTGTCTTTTTTTTTTTTTTACTTTCCTGAGTGCTAGTTCCTATAGATGTTGTTTGCTGAGCAAGTATAACATTCTTTGGATAGCAAAGACATCAGTGAGAGCTAGCTTCCCTGAAAAGACTTTCCTGTGTGTCTACTAAACTATATTGGACCTATATTTAGAAACAACATTATAGCTTATTGGAAGCTTATATCACCATCATCACCATCACCATCATCATCTCATCACCATCATCACCATCACCACCACCACCATCACCATCACCATTATCATCACTGTCATCAACTCATCATCATCAGCATCATCACCATCACCATCATCTTCACCATCACCATCATCATCACCATCACCATCACCATAATCACAGTCATCATCACCACCATGATCATCACCATCATCATGACTATCATCACCAACACCATCATCACCATCACCACCATCATCATCATGATCATCACCATCATCACCATCTAAATTTCCTACTTTATTTAGATCTCCTTGGTTTTCACCTAATATTCTCTTTCTGCTCCAGCATCTTCCAAGATCCTAAGTTACATTTTGTTATCACACATCTCTTTATGCTCCTCTTGGATGAGACAATTTCTTAGACAGTCCTTGTTTTTGATGACCTTGACAGTCTTGAGGACACAACTTGGCAGGTATTTTCTAGAATATACCTCAATTAGGCTATGTCAAGATTTTTTTTCATGTTCAGACGGCTTACAGGTTTTGGTAAAACCATGGAAGTAAAATGCCATGTTTATTTTACCATATCAAGAATGCCTTCAAGGACCTACCAGTAGGGATTATGGCAATGGACAGTAAAAGTTGTCATTGGCAGTTTCCAAATTAATGTCCTTTCCTTCTCTTTTCTTTTTGGCTTGTTCATCCTCTCATTAGCCAATACATTAAGATTGTGGTATATGTCACCACCTAGATTTAACTGCATTTGGAGAATTAAGGGAGAGCCTAATGTCATATTTTTGATGCTGTGGACTGATATCATAAGTACTAGTGAAGGCACCCATAAGGAATAAACTTTTCCCCAATGTCCAAGTTTGACTCAAATCATATTGTTTACACATTAACGTGAAGGGTAAGCCCTGAAGAATAAGAAGTCAAAGGAGAAAAAGGAGAAGGAAAAGAGAAAAAGCAGGAGAGAAGGAAGAGGAGGAAAAGAGAAGGAGGAAGAGGAGAAAGAAGAAGGAAAAAGGGAGAAAAGATAAAAATTTAAAGGTTGATCTCCCCATAATGGATTAGACACAAAACTTTGATCCACTGAAGGGTAAGTCTGGAAAGAACTGAAGCCCCAGGTGATGGCTTTCACTGCCTCTGAATCACAGCTTGCTTTGCAAAGAGAAAGGATATGAACCCAAGTAGAGATGGGACAAGTTTGTTCTCTGTTTTGACTTTTCAACACCATTCCTCCCATGAAAGCCAGCATCTCCCCACCATGCACTTGCTTCAATTCCAGGTTGATGAGTCAGTCTAAGAAAACTTCCTTCATACTTTTTACCATCAGCCCAACAATTGGCAGATTATCTACTGTTATTCATTCAACATTTATCTTATCAGCAAGTCTCCTACCTGCCTTCCTCCTACCTTGCACAATATTGAACCTCTGCATTTCTCTTTGCCAGTTACATTTTGATTTTCCAGCAAGATCCATACACCCAGGCATTGATGTGAGTTGTCAGCAGGTAGAGGCAGCAGAGTGAATTCTAACTGAGGAGCCCCAGAGCTTTCTGAAACTGAGTCCCTTTGCTTGCCAAAATCCTCTCATATCCTGTTTTGCATGCCATGTGTTACACACTGCAATTTCCATCCAGTGGAGATACAGCTGCTTTTATCAGTTGCAAACCAGCTAAATACACAGAGCCCCAGCTTCTGCAGAAATTGGCTAAGATGCAAGTTAAACTGTCCCAATTTGCTAGCGAATATACAAAAGGAAAAAGTCTTTTCAGCTTGGCAAGTTAGGTGCAAAATATGTCATTTTCTTATTCACATAATTGTTTGGCATGATCAAGTGGAAAAATGTAACTATTTTTAAGGTACTCTTTTTCCATGTGATGGTGATTCTTTCAGGGTATATATCAGAAAGATCCTTTTTAAAAAATTTTTTAAATAGGTAGTTAAGATTTTTTTCCCCTCTCTCAGATCTACTGAAAAAGAATAGGGTGCATGAATTTTGATAATGTTCTCCCTGGGATTTTTATTTATAATCCTGGATAAGAACTCTCCTTGAAAGAAGTGGGGTGACAGGGTTAAGGGATTCTTCCAACACTGAAGTTTAGGATTCTATGAAGCTTTAAATTTGGATGGAGTGAAAAAAAAAACCAGATATCCATTAATGTTAATAAACAGCTGCATGTTAGGAAAGCAGATACACTCATAAACTAAAATATCTCTTTATTTTTGTTTCCTGGCATGAGTACTTTCACCTCAGAAACAGTCTCCATGGAAGCAGCCAACATGTAGTCCCTACTGTGTTTATCCAGCCCACTTCCTCCTCCTATTCTCCAAATACCTTTTGCATTAGTCTCCTCAACCCACTAAGTGATTTCTGCTCATCTCTCTTTCTGCTCAACTTCAAAAAACAACGTTTTGTATTGGGTCATTTTGATCAGGGAACCTGTAAAGACCTTATGGTCTTACAGTACCTGTTTGACATCATTGCTATCATCACACAGCCATGATGTTTCTGTAGATGAGTATCTATAGCTATAGATACAGCTATAGATGACCAATCAATGAGCTCGCCGCTCAATCCACATAGAGACTAATACTATGACACTGGCTTTTGACAAAAGAAAAGCTTTATTGTGAGTCAGCTGGCAAAGAGACTGGAGGTAATGCTCAAATCTTGTCTGTGAGCTGAGCTTCAGGTCAGGCTTTATAAGCACATGGTAATTAGACAAGATCTAATTGGACTTTGCAATGAAGTGATGCCACAAGGCATGTTCTGATTGGATCTTGCCATGGGATGATGCCAGGAGGCACGATCTAATTGGATCTTGCCATAGGGTGATCCCAGGGTTCAATCTGATTGGATCCTGAATCATGAAATGTGGTGTCTGCTTCTTAATTCAGTCCCTACTTCTCAATTAGGATTATCTCAAGTTGCATGCTAGGTTCATCCTGGCACATTCAAGTTACATGATCTTCAGTGTGAGGGTTCATGGCAACTGAAGAACAAATCACAATTTTGTTACATGAAAGTTAAGCCAGATTTGTCTGATGCAGTTTATATATATATATAAAATAATATGTACAGACACACACACATATATATACATATGTGTGTATATATATATATACTATATACACATATAGTTTCAGGTTACTTAATTGGTCACCTCTTAGGTTTCATTTTTTTTTAGTTCACAAACCATAAAATACGATAAACTCTGTAAGGATGTCCATTGACACCGCACCCGGCCGACTTCTTTTAACAAGTTAGATATATTATGCAATATTCCATCTATTATTTTTAGCGGAACAAAAGAATGATGGACTTTAAAAAAAATCATTTTAGGCTGGGCATGGTGGCTCACACCTGTAATCCCAGCACTTTGGGATGGCAAGGTGGGAGGATTGCTTGAGCCCAGGAGTTCAAGACCAGCCTGGGCAACATAGCCAGGCTTCATTTCAAAAACATAAAATAAAATAAAAAATAAAAATTTTAAAAAATCTTTATAATTCTATCCTGAAAAGATAAACATCAAACCCAGCATATTATGAGTAAGTCACCTATTAAACAACTTAGTACAGTGTCAGTTAAATGGTTTATACTGAGACAATCTAATTACAGTTCAAGTTTGCTTTCTTATGTTGGGTTGTTTCAAAATAAAGACACTTTTGCATAAAACATTGAGGTAATTACAGTTAATCTGAATTTATCATCTTTGATTTTGCTTGTAGATAAAAATCATGTTTATTTCTGTTAATTTCTGTAAACCTCAGTCTATAAACAAAGACGATACCTTCAAGATACCCACCTGTGAATTAAAATTATTTGCTTTAACAAGACTAAGCAGAAGAACTTAGCATATGCTATAGTGGTATTAACTATCATGTAACAAAACTGTAATCTGTTCTTCAGTTGCCGTGAACCCCCACACTGAGGATCAAGTAACTGGTACAGCATATGCTATAGTGGTATCCTTTAGTGTTGTTTCTTACTATTGGAGTATATTTGCATTCAATTTATTTGAGATTTAGAAAATGTAGCCTTAGCTCTACATGTTTGGGAAGAAAGAAAGCCTTCACATTCTCTGTATCTATAACAAAGATGTGTATTTCAAGCATATAGATGTTTTTCTGCAACAACAACAAAAATAGTCTCAATGGATTGTCCAGACTGCCTTTATGTTCACCAAAGTGTTAGGCTATTCGAGGTTAAAACTTCCCAAGCCTGTTAACCTCATCCATTTTTTTCTGACTACAGCATTAGCAACTCTTTCATGACATCACTAAATACCATACGCATGTGGTCACAGCTACAGAAACAAATCTATTATAAACTGTCAGAAGAAGACCAGACAAACTGCAGACCTCAAAAGCCTGCCGCCCTTAGGCAGCCATTTCTGCAAGAAATTATGTGCGGATTTTCCAATGCCCAAGAGCTGTTGTAGACAGGCATGGTTCTCACACATTGCATCACCATTCCCCAGTTGGGAATTAACTCTGTCTCAATCCCATTTTAATGTCCCCAGCAGGTATATCAGTGCTATGATTTCTCTCTGATTATCATCAAATCACCAAATTACAGTAAACAAAAGTCAGATCATGATCTGAAGAGGCTTCTTCATCCACAGCATGTTATTCTTTGAAAGTAGAGAGGTTTTGTAAAAACAATAAGAATGTACAAAATTACACATGCTAGCTTTTTTCAGAGAACTTAAAACACATGGTCACCCTGGAGGAAATGGTCACATTTTTCATTTCTGTCAGTACCTGTCAAGATTAAACTTTCTGGTTGGAGACTAGAAGATAAGATCAGAGCAGGAATACAAAGAAAGAGAACACAGGCTACTCAGACATTTCCAGTCACAGTAAGAAATGGCCTCTGGAAGGGAACTCAAATTAAAGATGATATTCCAAGAAAAAACCTCCACCAGTCCTGTCTCTAATTTTTTTTTTCATGCCCAAAAGCATGAGATTTCTCAGATCTCAGTCTGTAACTATCTTGGTCAGTGTGGGCTTCCATAACAAAATACAGTATACTGAGTGGCTTATAGACAGCAGACATTTATTGCCCACAGTTCTGGACTCTGGAAGTCCAAGATAAAGACATGGCAGATTTAGTGTCTGGTATGGACTTCCTTTCTGGTTTGTAGATAGTCCTTCTTGCTGTGTTCTTACATGGTGGAAGGGGCAAGGGAGCTCTCTGTGGTCTCTTTTATAAGTGTCCTGATTTCACCTATGAGGCTCCACCCTCATGGCCTCATCACCTCCCCAAAGCCCCAATTTCTAATACTATAACCTTGGGGATTAGGATAAATTTGGAGAATACATGAACATTCAGGCCAGAGGGGCAGCAAAGGCTACAGTCATGTATCACTTAACAACAGAGATACATTCTGATAACTGTGTCCTTAGGTGACTTTGTGTGAACATCACAGAATGCACTTTCACAAGCCTGGATGGTCTAGCCTACTACACACGTAGGCTATATGGTCTAGCCTGTGGCTCCTGGGCCACAAATCTGTATAGCAGGTTACTGTACTAAATACTGTAGGCAATTATAACACAATGGTAAATATTTCTGTATCTAAATTCATCCAAACATTAAAATGTACAGTAAAAATATGGTATAAAAAAAAAAGGTACACTAGTATAGGGCAGATTCATTATAATTTTAAGGAATGACTGTCATATATGTAATATATATATCCAGGAGTTGGAGGCTGCAGTGAGCTATGATTGTGCCGCTGCACTCCAGCCTGGGTGACAAGCAAAATCCTGTCAAAAGGAAAGGAAAGGAAAAGAGAAGAGAGGAGGTGAAGGGAGTAAAGGGGAGGTGAGGGGAGGAAATGGGAGGAAAGAGTTTTAATGTCAGAGAATTTGACAGAGAGTGGGAAACAAGAAGAGAATAATCTGAAGCAGGAAAAAAGGGGAGAGAGTAGATACAAATGCTGTTTGCAAAAGAGCAAATCAGTTTCCCTTCACAGCCAACTTGTAGATAAAGTAGCATCCTCTTGCTCTTCTGGGTACTCAGTAGGTGTTCCACTATTATGGCATTAGGTCTGGTAAAATGCCTGTGCTGTTTGCCTGTTGCCATAATTAAGTAGCCATTGACACTTGAGTAAGAATTAATAAATAGTGCACTGGCAGCAAATGGATTGTCAGGTTCGAAAACCCAGATGATTTACTTCCAAGAAAGACAAACCCCCTACTGCAGCAGAGAGCCTGGAATTAACAAGACTTAATCTACTAAAGGAGAAGGCAGACTCCCAAAAAGGGTTAACGGGAAACTGAACACAAGTCCCACTCACATCAGGATTTTCCAGAGCACAGACTGACCTTTCACAACTCCACAATAAAAACCAGTGACTTCTGAAGAGGGATTCTGAATCATATTTTTCCCCAAGGATTTGGAAGAGTCAATTTTTCATGTGTCATCCTCACTTGTGGGGGACATGTGTGTGTGTGTGGCTTCATGATTGATTGTCTTATGCAAACTCTAGTTTTTTACACATGTTCTCTATGTGCAGCAAGCATGGTAACCATGACCGTACTAAGCTTCAGCATTTGCATTGTCATTGAGCTCATTCAAGCAAAACAATTCTTCAGTAGGGACTTTCCCTTACAGAGAGCATGAGCATTTTGAGGTTACCTGTCCTCAAACTGACCCTTTCTCATTTTAATAGTAAAATGAGATGTAAGATGCTTTTTTTTTTTTTGAGACAGAGTCTCAGTCGCCCAGGCTAGGGTGCAGTGGCACGATCTCGGCTCACAGCAAGCTCCGCCAACAGGATTCATGCCATTCTCCTGCCTCAGCCTCCCGAGTAGCTGGGACTACAGGCGCCCGCCACAAATCCCGGCATTCCTTGGCTCATGGCTCCTTCCTGTGTCTTCAAAACCAGGAGTGCTGCTTCACCTCCCCCTTCTCTGTCTGTCTGTCTCTGCCTCTCTCTATCTCTCCTTCTGCCTCTGTCTTCAGCCTCTCTCTGTCTCTCTTTCTGCCTCTGTCTCTGTCTCCCTCTCTCTGCCTTTCTGTGTCCCATTCTCTGTCTCTCTTTGTCTCTCTCTCTCTGCCTGTGTCTCTTTGTCTCTTCCTATCTCTCTGTCTCTGTCTCTGTTTCTGTCTGTCTCTCTTTGTGTTTTTCCATCTCTCTTTGTCACTCTCTGTCTCTGTGTGTGTGTGTGTGTGTCTCTCTGTCTCTGTCTTTCCTTCTCTTTCTCTGTCTCTCTGTCTCTCTGTCGGTCTCTCTTTGTGTCTCTCATTCTCTCTTTGTCTCTCTCTGTCTCTGTGCCTCTGTCTCTAAGTGTCTCTCTCTTTGTGTGTGTGTGTTTCCCTGTCTCTTCTTCTCTTTCTCTGTCCCTCTCTGTGTCTCTCTCTGCTTTCTTCATCGCATCTGCTTTCTTCATCTTTGACTGCTTGCTGCTGCGCTCTTCCAAGGAGCTTGGTGTTATGTTGAGCGCATCTGAATAATCCAGAATAATCTCCTGTCTCAAGAGCGTTAATCTGGAAAGTCCTGTTTGCCATGTAATGTAAAAGATTCACAGGTTCCTGAGATTAGGACGTGAACATCTGGGCTCAGGGACACCCATGTTGCAGCCCATGGCAACCACTTTAGGATTCTGAATAAAACAACAGGGTCAGCCAGGCACAATGGCTCACACCTGTAGTCCCAGTTATTCACAAGGCTGAGGTGGGAGGATCGCTTTGTCATACCCGAGTGAGTTAGAAAAATGCCACACTTTGAGATGAATTAAGAGTCATTTATTAGCCGGCGGCCGAGAGATGACTAACGCTCAAAGTTCTCTCGGCCCCGAGGAAGGGGCTTGATTAACTTTTATACCATGGTTTAGAAAGGGGAGGAGGGGGGTCTAGTTAAAACAATTTTACAGAAGTTAAGTAGTCAAAAAGTTAAAAGGATAAATGGTTACAGGAAAGTAAACAGTTCCAAGGGCAGGGGCTTTAAGACTATTACAAGGTGATAGACATGGGGCTTTGGGCGTTATCAATCAGATGAGTTCTTGGGGACTGCAGATATAGCTTGCCACAGTATCTTATCAGTTAATTGCATTCTTGGATGTGTTTGGAGTCAGCTTGCACAAGTTAAGTCCTTGAGGAAGGGGCTGCCAGTGAAAGAGCCAAGATGGAGTCTGTCTTGTTCTCTTAGCTAAGGGAGAGTCTATTCAGGTGGAAACAAGGCTATGTGAAAAAGGAGAAATGAGGTTGGGCATTACAGCTTAAGCCCAGGAGTTCAAGACTGTAGAGAGCTATGACTGCACCACTGTACTCCAGCCAGGGTGACAGAACAAGACTCTGTCTCAAAATTAATTAATTATTAAGTTAATTAATTAATTTAAAAAACAATTTGTTTTTCTAAAAGGTGTATACTGTTTTGATGATTGTTATCTGAATGTTTCAGGTAATGGATTTTATTTACTTATTTATAGAGATGGGTTCTTGCTTTGTTGCCCAGGCTGGAGTGCAGTGGTGCAATCATAGCTCATTGCAGCATAGACTTCCTGGGCTCAAGTGATCCTCCCACTGAGCCCCCCAAGGAGCTGGGACAACAAGTGTGCAAAACCACACCCTGCTTATTTTTGCAAAAAATTTTAGTAGAGATGAAGTCTGATTATGTTGCTCAGGCTGGTCTAGAACTCCTGTGCTCATGTGGTCCTTCCACCTCAACCTTCCAACGTGCTGGGATTACAAGTGTGAGCCACTGCACCTGGCCATGCTGATTTTAAAGCCTATTTAAATCTTAAAGCATTACATTGTCCTCCATTTGATGGCGTAATAATATTTGTGACCATGTTCATATGACAGTGCTTAAACATGTTGAGTGTTCAGAGAAAGAACCACTGTTGCAGACTGACGCCAATGTTTAGAATGCCTTGTGGACATAAATATTACAAAGAAGAAAGAAGTAGTTTTCTTTAGCCCTCAGAAGACTACTTGGTGAATAAACCAGTGACATTTCACTTTAAAGAGAAAATTAAGCAGGTAGGGTTTGCTTCACAGTAAATATGTGCTGAGCATAGGAGAATAAGAAGTGGAGAAACCTTGTATATGTGGAAAGGGTAAAGTTAACTCTTGGAATGTGGCTAAAATTCAAGGTAAGGAACACATTAAGTTATCGGAACATGAATAATTAAGGTAAATACAGGTAGAATTTTACAAATTCAGTTTGCAAAATAATATCCAAAGAATGGCTGAATAATTAGTGAGATCTATAGTTTAGCATTTAACAAAAAGGACCCATTTCAGATGCTGATTTGTGAGCCAATCTTTATCTGTTTCCATTCCTATTTAGGGCACAGCTATCAAATATTCAGTATCTAATGGTGAAAGAAAAATAATGTAATAGATATGCTGGGTGCAGTGGCTCATGCCTGTAATCTCACCATTTTCAGTGGCTAAGGCAGGTGGGTCACCTGAGGTCAAGACCAGCCTGGCCAACATGACAAAAACCCTTCTCTACTAAAAATACAAAAATTAGTTGGGTGTGGTGGCATACACCTGTAATCCCAGCTACTCAAGAGGCTGAGGAAAGAGAATCATTTGAACCCAGGAATTGGAGGTTGCTGTGAGCCAAGATTGCACCACTGCACTCCAGCCTGGGTGACAGAGCAAGACTACGTCTCAAAAAATAAAATAAATAAATAAATAAATAAATAAATAAATAAATAAATAAATAAAAAATTGTAAGTAGAACTTCCATTGCATTTTATTTATCTCAGGTACATGTAACTTGAGGATAAGAACATTCACATTCAAGAGCTAAATAAAGTTAGACACAACTACAGACATTGACACAATGAAGTTCCAGGAAGAAAAACACTAGAAACAAGAGGGGTATAACTCAAAGCAAATCAAACCACCTCTTTGCATCTAACTACATTCTATTCTTCATTATTTGGTTTTTGCAATCACATGACAATATTCCAGTGCACACACTGAATGTCTCTCTCCTCTCTCATAGGCAACAAGAATGGGCAAGGCTTCTTAAGCTATTCAACTTCAAACTATGCGGAAGTGAACTTTAAAGATGGAGCTATTTTACCAGCACAGACTTGGAGTTGTTTCCTGGTAATGTCTATGTATCTCAGCCAACACAAACACATCTCAGGTGTGGCAACAACCAGGTGCAGCCAAGTGTCTCTACCCTTTGGAGAATGTGTACATTGGCTCATGAAGAATGTCCATACACTAAGTCTGTGAAAGGCTCATAAAGTATCTTTAAAAGTCACAATGCTCAGCAAATGTTTTACAAGTTGCGAAGGAAGCAGAGATAGAATAGAAATGGACAGAACTTGATGAAAACATAAAGTCAGTTTGGACTGCTCTCAGAAAAGGAGAAAACACTGTATTTTTATTTAATAGCTGGAGCTTGGGAACCATCTGAAACCCTGGAACCACTGCCTCTACTTTCCACTCCCCTCAGCCAGGCTAGAAACAGCATTGACTATAAAAAGTAGTGAACACTATTGCACCAAGAATAATACGTCCATTGTAGCAGCTACTGGGGTAAGGCAGAATGGAAAAATCAGAGCCATCCCATTCTCATAAGCCAGATTCCCAAGTGCAGAGGAAAGAGGGGTGGGGGCGGGGACTGAGATTTCCAAGCAGAGTTAACTTCTGGTCCTCATTTGAGCTGTAATGCGGGACATACTGCTTTCAATCTCTGAGACATTGTCCTTTTCTAACCCAACAGCACTGAGTCCACAAGGTATTTTAAGGATAGCTCCATCACCAAATAAGTAAAGAAAGCAGAAAGCAGAATAATGTCTGGGGTACGGACAAGGTGCCTGCATTATGCTTGGGCCACCATAACAAAGGTCCACAGACTGGGTGGCTTAAACAACAGACATTTATCCTCCCACAGTCCTGGAGGCTGGAAGTCTGAGATCCAGGTGTGGGCAGGGCTCGCTCCTCCTGAGGCCTCTCTTACTGGCTTGTAGACGTGGTCTTTTACCTGTGTCCTCATGCACAGATGATGTCTGTGTCCTCATCTCCTGTTCTTATAAGGACTCCAGTCCTATTGGATCAAGGGCCATTCTACTGACCTTGTTTTACCTTTGTCACCTCTTTAAAGACCCCATCTCCAAATATAGTCACATTCTGAGATCCTACATGTTAGGATTTCAACATATGGATTTGAGGAGGATACAGTTCAGCCCATCACAGTGCCTGTTCTTGACAAAGCATGTTTCATGCTGAAATGGTATTCACAAGTCACTAGCAGCTGCTTGGCATATGCTGATGGAGAGAGAAGGAATTCAGGCACTAGAAGTGAGCATCAGAATGCACAGCAAGAGAGAGCATCGCCCTTCCACTACGTTTTTGTTTGTTTGTATGTTTGTTTGTTTTTGAGACGGAGTCTTGCTCTGTTGCCAGGCTGGAGTGCAGTGGCAGGATCTCAGCTCACTGCAACCTCCAACTCCCTGATTCAAGCTATTCTCCTGCTTCAGCCTCTCAAGTAGCTAGGATTACAGGCATGCAACACCACACCCAGCTAATTTTTGTATTTTTAATAGAGATGGGATTTCACTATGTTGGCCAGGATGGTCTCCAGCTCCTGACCTCATGATCCACCCGCCTCGGCCTCCCAATGTGCTGGGATTACAGGCATAAGCCACCATGCCCGGCCCCTTGCACCGTGTTTTAAAATTTGTTTTTTATCCTCTAAATCAGAGCTTGACAAACTAGGGTCCACTGGCCAAACTCGACCCATCATCTGTTTTTGTAAAAAATGTTTTATTGGCACACAGCCAATAAAACATTCATTTACATATTTTCTGTGGGTGTATTTTCAACCCAGTGGTGGAGTTGAGTAGATGCCATGGAGACCGGATGCCCCACTAAGCCAAAGACATTTGGCCAGTTAAAAAACAAAAATAGAAAAGTGTGCCAATTCCTGCTCTAAATGATGGGATGTGATTAGAAAGAATTTTATTTAAGAGCATGGCACACTTACGTTTGTAATTTTGTAATTACCCAAGGAATTCTGTAGGGATTGAACTACAAGGAAGTACCAGTCAGAAGAAAACCTCAAGGGAGATGTGTCATAGGGGTGTAAGATAGGAATTCATGTGTGAGATAATCGTGGAAGGCTGAAATTTCCTTTAAGACCTAGAGAGTAAGTTGTTTGGGGGAAGAAAATCGCGGGGCAGAGAGGAGGCAAAAATGACTTGCAAGGGTTTGCAACTCCTGAATCTGACATGTGGGCAAGAACTATTCATGGGTGCAGACACAGTTCCCAGGCAGCTTACAGACCTGGCAGGGTGAGGCACCACCAGTGATGAGGGTATTAATCTGTTCTCATGCTGCCAATAAAGACTTACCCAAGGTTGGATAATTTATAAAGGAAAGAGTTTTAATGGACTCACAGTTTGACATGGCTGGGGAGGCCTCATGATTATGGCAGAAGGTGAATGAGGAGTAAAGGTACATCTTACATGGCAGCAGACAGGAAAGAGTGTGCAAGAAAACTCCCCTTTATAAAACCATTGGATCTCCTGAGACTTATTCACTATCACTAGAACAGCATGAGAAAGCCCTGCCCCCATGATTCAATTACCTCCCAATAGGTCCCTCCCAGAACTCATGGGAATTATGGGAGCTACAATTCAAGATTTGGGTGGGGACACAACCAAATCATACCAATCAGCAAGTAATTGATCAGAGCCCAGAGGTAGCCTCAAGACAATGTCTTTTGCAGAGTTGTTTCAGGCTTGTAGCCTAAGGGTTGGTACTGGCCTGAGGCATCAAAGAAAAGAAGAAAGTCAGGTGGAGATAGTAGACTAAGATCAAAGAGATGGGGAAGGATTATGAGGGTCTTGGGGAGAGAGGGCTAAAGCTAAAGTATTATGGTCAGATGCTGACTGCAGTGAAATGTAAGATTTCAGAGATAATATAGATGTTGTGGTGATAAGAAGGACCAGGGTGAAGACATGACAGCTGTCTCTTTTTTAAGCTATTTGAGTGAGGTTACAAGATCACTGCCGGGGAGGAATTCAGCACTGGGACATTCATGTCCAGCTGGGAAGTGACTTTTGTGTTCATTATATCTGGACACAGATGTAGCAATGGAGTCTTCCCAGTCTGTGAAAAGGTAGAATCCTAGGTCTTGGGTCCATGATGAAACCTACAAATTGCATCTCCATGTGGTCAGGCACGAATGAGAACCTGTTTCTGATTTGCAGCTACTATTTTTATGGTATTCAGAGCTCCAAGTTTCTTCTCAACCTTATAATTGCAAATAGCTCAGGGATTATCTATGGCACTGGAGCAGATCTCATCTCCAAGTCCAAGATTATGGGGACTGGCTCACCCCAGGGGGTTGGAATTAGAAGTGATTACGGCATCTCCTCCCTTAAGATTTAAAAAAAAATTAGTGAGGCTGATTGCCTCAGTCCTGTAATCCCAGCACTTCAGGAGTCCAAGATTGGAGGATTCTTCAAGCCCAGGTGTTTGAGACCAGCCTGGGCAACACAATGAGAACTCATCTCTACAATAAAAATTTAAAAATTACTCAGGCATGTGGTAGTACATGCCTGTGTTCCCAACTATTCAGGAGGCTGAGGTGGGAGGATCCCTTGAGCCCAGGAGGTTAAGGTGCAGTGAGCCGTGATTGCACTACTGCACTCCAGCCTAAGCAACAGAATGAGACCCTGTCTCAAAAAACAATGAACTAGAAATTCTCCATAGCAGTAATATTTTTGTGTATACCAAGACATAGACAGGCATCTTCACTGGATTTCCCCATCATTCTAGCCATCTCCAAACACTCACCCTAAAAATTCAGTACCTAGTGGCCAGCAGCAGGATTCATGTCCAGTGCAGGGATTTAGGATTCTGTGTGGTAGGTCATGTAGACCCCACTGTACCCAATGAAGTGGCCAACACTGTCTTGGGGTGGCGAGGCTTTAAATCATCCCCTGTGGGGTTACACTGTTCTCATCAGTCAGGTTGTTTGTCCACCATGTTGACCTCTGCCTCCTTGGTTGGTCCTGACAGATGCTGTGTCTTACTATTGACCAGGGATGTAAATGAGATATGGGAAGTCTATGAACAACTGAAGCTTCACCTTTCGTCATTGTCCCAGAAGGATCCCATGGAAACAGACAAGGGAGAGAATGAGCAGAGGTTGGCCATAGGACTGTCTGTGCACCAGGGTGAGGATGGCAGGAGAAGGACCCACAAGGAGCAGAAGACCCTTTCCCATGTTATTTGTGGCCACAGAAGTCTGTGATTCGGCACTTTGTTGGTGACACTTTCTTATGGCAGCCTTAGTGTCATGGTCTGAATGTCTGTGTCCTCCCAAAATTAATGTATTAAGCTAGAACCTTCAACATGATGATGGTGGAAGGTGGGGCCTTTGGGAGGTGATGAGGTCATGAGGG
Organism: Homo sapiens; assembly: GCF_000001405.40. Classification (NCBI taxonomy): domain Eukaryota; kingdom Metazoa; phylum Chordata; class Mammalia; order Primates; family Hominidae; genus Homo; species Homo sapiens. The sequence continues at coordinate 7,445,743 of NC_000024.10, read as the reverse complement.
TGGAGACTCACAAATGGGATTAGCACCCTTATAAAAGAGATACACGGCCAAGCGTGGTGGCTCATGCCTGTTATCTGAGCACTTTGGGAGGCCAAGGTGGGCAAATCACTTGAGGTCAAGAATTTGAGACCAGCTTGGGCAACATGGTGAAACCCCATCTCTACCAAAAATACAAAAAATTAGCCAGGCATGATGACACACACCTGTGGTCCTAGCTACTTGGGAAGCTGAGGTAGGAGGATTGCTTGGGTCCAGGAGGCAGAGGTTACAGTGAGCTGAGATTGAGCCACTGCACTCCAACCTGGATGACAGAATGAGACCCTGTCTAAAAAATAAAAAATAAATTTTTTTTACAAAAGAGTCACAATGGTTCATGCCTATAATCCCAGCATTTTGAGAGGCTGAGGTGAGAGGATTGTTTGAGGCCAAAGGTTGAAGATCAGTCTGGGCAACACAGCAAGACCATGTATCTACAAATACTTTTAAAAATTAAATGGGCATGGTGACATACACCTGTAGTCCCAGTTACTCAGGAGCCTGAGGTAGGAGGATTGCTTGAACCCCAGAGTTTGAGGCTGCAGTGAGTTATGATCATGCCACTGTACTCCAGCCTGGGCAACAGAATGAGACTGTCTCAAAAAATTAAAAATAAAAAATAAAAATAACCATTTTCATGTTTTTATATCAAACTTAAATATACATATAAATATAGGTATGAAACGTACACTTTGAAATTTTAGTGAAATAAGCTTTTGTGTACCCTATGTGAAAAAAATCCAGCATTTCTTCCTAAATTCTTCCCTCCTAAAAAACAACAGTAGTAAAAATAATAAGTAGCAGGTTTGCTAATTGAAAAAACTAGCACAACAGCCAGAAGGAAGATCAGCAACACTGACATTTAAAGGAGGACTACAGTTTTAAGCAAGAGCTTGTGGTCAATTTATTTGCATTATGTTTGGCTTTTCAACTCAATGTGTTCCAGAAAGTTCTCAGACTTATACTGAATAGGACTTTTATAAGTTGGATAGTGATGTTATTATTTGTTTTTGGAAAGCAGTGATATTGATGGCCTTAGAGGCTAGGTACCTTAGAAATGATATATCTTCATGTGCATAGAAAGATTCCTCCTTCCCTCCCTCCCTCCCTCCCTTCTCCCCTCCCTCCCTCCCTTCTCCCCTCCCTCCCTCCCTTCTCCCCTCCCTCCCTTCCTTAAGAGCCATCATTAGCTCAAGGAGAGGGAGTGCTTCCTTGCTAACAGCCTTGCAAGGCACAGGATTCTACAGGCAGGACGAGGAGCTGGATGTTTCCAGAAACCTGGTCAGATAGTTCTGCATTCTTCTAAAGGATTTGCTGAGACACATCCACGTGCTGACCTTATGGCAAGATTGCGTAGATCTTGTTGCCATCTTCTGTGTCTCAGTGAAATAACCCTGAGCAAAATCCCACATTAATCTTCTGGCTGCAGAGTTAACTCATCTGTTCTCAAACAACCTGGCTTACAGAAGTGGATGCTAATCCAAAGCATGCCTGTAGGGCACATTGGTATTCTTTAATTAGCCAACCTTCATTACATGAGACACTCAATTGTGATCATTGGTGAATTTATCAAGTTGGCAGGGCATGTTTCCACACAGTCATCCTTTTTATTCTTCAGACATCTTCACTCTTTCATCAGCCCGGAGAAACAAATGTTTAGAGATGATGATATTTTCTCAATGTGTACTGCAGTTTACAATGCAGAACCCCTAACATGGACACCAGCTTTTATGGCCTGAATGCTTTGATTACTGTAGATGATCAATTCAGAGGTATTAATAGATATCAGAGTGAATTGTTTTTTGGGTTTTTTTGGAAGATGGGAAAGGTGGAGTTCACCAAGAGTCACTCTGCTCCAAGACCCTCAACTCTCCATGAAGTTCTTCATTTTTGTCTCAAGTAATTCTTTTAAGTATATGTGCTCACCCAATAAAAATCTCTGTCTTGGTGAAATTGTGGAGGCATAAAGTCAGACAGAGAGAGAAACTCTTGTTGCCTTCTTTAAAGGATAAACATGCCTTTTTCTGATATAACTTGAGACCCTCCAAAATTAAATTAGTTGGAAGTGTGTGACCCTAGGGGAAAGAGAAAGAAAGAGAGAGAGAGAGAAAGGAAGGAGGGAGGGAGGTGGGAGGGAGGGAGGAAGGAAGGAAGGAAGGAAGGAAGGAAGGAAGGAAGGAAGGAAGGAAGGAAGGAAAGAGAAAGAAAGGAGGGAGGGAGGAAAGGTGGGAGGAAGGAAGGAAGGAAATAAGGAAGGAAGGAAGGAAGGAAGGAAGGAAGGAAGGAAAGAGAAAGAAAGGAGGGAGGGAGGAAAGGTGGGAGGAAGGAAGGAAGGAAATAAGGAAGGAAGGAAGGAAGGAAGGAAATAAGGAAGGAAGGAAGGAAGGAAGGAAGGAAGGAAGGAAGGAAGGAATTCCTTCCCAGAATCATATTTCCTATCATGTCCCCCTCTACGAGTATCTAAACCCCATCTGTGCCTGAATTCCCCACTTTTTGTTTTGTTTTGTTTTGAAGACTGGGCCTTGTTCTATCACCCAGGCCAGAGTGCAGTGGCGCTATCTTGGCTCACTGCAACCTCCACTTCCCAGGTTCAAGAGATTCTCTTGCTCCAGCCTCCCAAGTAGCCAGGACTACAGGCTCCTGCCACCACACCTGGATTTTTTTGTATTTTTAGTTGAGATGGGGGTTTCTCCTTGTTGGCCAGGCTGGTCTCGAACTCCTGACCTCAAGTGATCTATCCACCTCAGCCTTCCAAGGTGCTGGGATTACAGGCATGAGCCACTGCGCTCAGCCAGATTTGTTTTTCAATCAAATTGAAATGCCCCTAATGTAAAAATGACCATTTTAAAGTGAACTCTTCAGTGACATTTAGTGTCTTCACAGGGTTGTGCAACTGCCACTGCTATCTGGTTCCAAGACACTTTTATCACTCTAAAAACAACCTTGGACCCACCAAGTAGCCACTCCCTCTTCTCCCCCCTCCCAGCCCCTGGAAGACACCAATCTGCCTGCTGGCTTTATAGGCTTGCCTCCTCTGAAAAGTTCCTGTAAGTGGAATCCTACACTGTGTGGCCTTTTGTGTCTGGCTTCTTTCACTGAGCATAGCCTCTTCAAGGCTCATCCACATAGAAGCATATAACAGAACTCCATTTCTTTAAAAAAAAAAAAAAAAAAAAAGGTCATCTGGGCGCGGTGGCTCACGCCTGTAATCCCAGCACTTTGGGAGGCCGAGGCAGGTGGATCACGAGGTCAGGAGATCGAGACCATCCTGGCTAACATGGTGAAACCCCATCTCTACTAAAAATACAAAAAAATTAGCCGGGTGTTGTGGCAGGCGCCTGTAGTCCCAGCTACTTGGGAGGCTGAGGAAGGAGAATGGCGTGAACCCAGGAGGCAGAGCTTGCAGTGAGCCCAGATCCTGCCACTGCACTCCAGCCTGGGCGACAGAGAGAGAACTCCGTTTCAAAAAAAAAAAAAGTTATTGGAAAAGAAGCACCAGTTGTGTTTTCTCAGCACTAATAAAAACATTTATTCAAAGACTAAATTTCAAGCATGCCAGCATATACCATCCATGACAGTGGTGAAGTACCAATACAGAAACAAAGTCCAGGGTATAATTCATGTGTGTTTTGTACTTAGCCCTGAAACTTTCTTGTCATTATCCATAAAGTTTCTTCGCCATTCATCTCCTGAAAATGTCCTAGATGTTTCTAATTTTATTTTATTTTAAGTTCTGGGATACATGTGCAGGATGTGCAACTTTGTTACATAGGTAGACGTGTGCAATGGAGGTTTCCCGCACCTATCAACCCATCACCTAGGTATTAAGCCCAGCATACATTAGCTATTTTTCCTGAGGCTCTTATTCCCTACCCACCACAGACCCCAGTGTGTTTGTTTCCCTCCCCCAGGGTCAAGAAACAACAGACGCTGATGAGGCTGTGGAGAAACAGGAATGCTTTTACACTGTTGGTGGGAATGTAAATTAGTTCAACCATTGTGGAAGACAGTGTGGCAATTCCTCAAGGATCTAGAACCAGAAATACCATTTAATCCAGCAATCTCAGTAATATCTATTACTGGGTATATACCCAAAGGAATATAAATTATTCTATTATAAAGATGCATGCATGCATATGTTCATTGCAGCACTATGCACCATAGCAAAGACATGGAATCAACCCAAATGCCCATCAATGATAGACTGGATAAAGAAAATGTGGTCTATATGCACCATGAAATATTATGCAGCTATAAAAATAATGAGATCATGTCCTTTGCAGGAACATGGATGAAGCTAGAAGCCATTATCTTCTGGTTGTGTTTTACCAGGAAAACATACCAGCCTCCTGGTTGGGTGCCCGCTGACTTCAGACAATCTGTTGTCACCACATGCTTTGATTTAATGAGGATGGAAAAAACAGCATTGCTTTTGATCTGGGCTCTTTTTCATGTTTCTTTCTTTCTTTCTTTCTTTTCCTGATGGATTCACCCACTCAGTGCAATTAAAAGAAACTGGGAGGCTCTCATCTTATAAAATTCCCAGTAGTAGGACATTCTGCCTACTTCCCCAAAGCATCTCTGTAGATTTAATTGTTGTCGAGACAGCACTAAATGTTTAGGTTATACACACCAATCTATTCTGTGCATATTTTTCTTCCACCAGCCACATAATAAATTATAGGACTCTTGAAATCTTACAAAACAGAGGGAAACAGATCTAAGAAAACGTTATGAAACCTGATTTTGTGTTACATAATGCCGGGAAATGGAATGTTGGAACTTAGGCTTGCCAAACAGTCATCATTTTCAGGCAGCATTTGAAGTTAAGGAAACAGAAAAATACACATATCTCCCCACCTATGATTATCTGATGGATAAATGGGTTTTTTAAAGACATTTCAAGAGAAGCCAAACAATAGCAATAACAACGAGAAATGTCTATAAAGATTTCAAGGCAGGTGTCTGGAATTGCGATCATATGTTTTTGTAAAACAGCAATGCAGAAATAAGCATGTTTGAAACTCTCTTATGTCTTTGATTTCATTGTTTTACTTTAAATAAAATTAACCAAATTTCAATGAAAACAAAACTTTCCAAAAACAGTGGCCAGAGATGCATATTTATTTCTTCAAGTGCTGCATTTTAAATGGGTGGCCAGCCAAGAGGGAAAGAAAAAGACAGTTTAGTTGTCTAACTTGTAATTTTTATTTTATTTGTTTATTTGTGTACTTTAGAGACAGGGTCTCCCTCTGTCTCCCAGGCTGGAGTGAAGTAGCACAATCACAGCTCATTGCAGCCTTGAACTCCTGGGCTCGGGTGACCCTCCCACTTCAGCCTCCCAAGTAGCTGGGACTACAGACATGCACCTCCACACCTGGCTAATTTTTTTCTTATTAGTTTCTGTAGAGATAGCGTCTTGCTATAATGCCCAAGGTGATTTGCAACTCCTGAGGTCAAGTGATCCACCTCGTCCTCCCAAGGTGCTGGGATTACAGGGATGAGACACCATGCCCAGCCCTGTAACTTTTTAAATAGATTTTATTGTGTACATTTAAGATGTGCAGCAGGACTTTATGAGATACATATATAGTAAAATAGTTACTATAGTGAAAAATTAACATATATACCATCTCACATAGTTACAAATCTTTTTTCTCCTCTGTAGCCAGAGCAGCTATGATCTACTTATTTAGCAAAAATCTTGTATACAACACACTATATCATTTTGCTTTTTTAAAATTTGTTTTAGTTTGTATTTCCATAGGTTATTGGGGAATAGGTGGTATTTAGTTACATGAGTAACTTCTTCAGTGTTGATTTGTAAAATTTTGGTGCATCCGTCACCTAAACAGTATACACTGAACTGAATTTGTAGCCTTTTATCCCTCACCCCTTCCCACCCTTTCCCTCTGAGTTCCCGAAGTCCTTTGTGTCATTCTTACACCTTTGTATCCTCATAGCTTATCTCCCACTTATGAGTGAGAATATACAATGTTTGATTTTCCATTCCTGAGTTACTTCATTTAGAATAATGGTCTCCAATCCCACCCAGGTTGCTGAGAATCACATTAATTCATTCATTTTCATGGCTGAGTAGTATTCCATCATATATATATATTTGCGCATGGTGGCTCATGGTTGTAATCCCAGCACTTTGGGCGGCTGAGGTGAGTGGATCACGTGAGATCAGGAGTTCAAGACCAGCCTGACCAACGTCGTGAAACCCCATCTCTCTCTCTCTCTCTCTCTCTATATATATATATATAATCACAGTTCATTTATCCACTTCATTGATTGATGAACATTTGGGCTGGTTCCATAATTGTGCAATGGCAAATTGTGAATACAACACAATATTATTAACTATAGTCCTCAGGTTATGCATTAGATCTTTGGACTTTTTTATCCTATATATCTGCTACTTTCTGTCCTTTATAAAAAGCTACCTCATAGGGAAAACAGCCTAAGCAAATGTCTTGATTGAAAACAGAAAAAAAAAAACTCATAACAAAAATTCAGTTACCCAGTGTTTTGTAGTTGTTTGTCATTTATAGTGAGACGTATTTCAGTTCTAAATTTAATCCACTCAATCAATCGTCATGACAACAGGTACATTTAGTTTTTCTACTTGTATAACTGGATGTTAGCATAAATGCATTCCTACAGAGACAAGAAAACAAACACCTTCCTATTTGTTGAGGACACACCTCACTCCATCTGCAAGACAAACACAGATCACTTTTTCCTTCTTACATGTAAGAGAATTTCTCTTCACTGTTTGATACTAGCCATCCTAACAGGTGGTTAGGATCCTAACACTATCCCATGGTGGTTTTTTGTTTGTTTGTTTGTTTTGTTTTTTTGAGATAGAGTCTTGCTCTGTTTCCTAGGCTGGATGGAGCACAGTGGCATGGTCTTGGCTCACTGCAACCTCCACCTCCTGGGTTGAAGCGATTCTCCTGCCTCAGCCTCTGGAGTAGCTGGGACTACAGGCACATGCCACCATACCTGGCTAATTTTTGTATTTTTAGTAGAGATGGGGTTTCATCATGTTGGCCAGGCTGGTCTTGAACTCCTGATCTCAGATGATCCACTCACCTCAGCCTCCCAAAGTGCTAGGATTACAAGCGTGAGCCACCACGCTCAGCGCCAGTGGTGGTTTTGATTTGCATTTCCATTACAATTAGTGATGTTGGGCACCTTTTTCTACATCTCTCGGCCACATTTTTATGTCTTCTTTGGTAAAATATCTATTTAAGTATTTTGCCCATTTTTAACTGGTTGTTTGAGTTTTTCATTTGTTCATTTTTGCCTATTGAGTTGTATGAGTTCCTTATATGTTTTAGATATGAACCCTTTATCTGATATGTGGTTTGCAAATATTTTCTCCCAATCCTCAATCTACCTTTTCATTTTGTTGACTCTTTTCTGGGCTGTGCAGAAGCTTTTTAGTTTGATGTAGTTCACTTATTTATTTTTGCTTTTATTGTCCATGCTGTTGGCATGATATTCAAACAATCCTTGCCAATCTATGTCAAGGCATTTATCCTCTACGTTTTCTTCTAGGATTTTTATTCCTTTAGGTTTTACCTTTAAGTCTTACGTTCATTTTGAGTTGGTTTTCTTTTTTTTGTATGAAGTAAGGCAGGAGTCCAATTTTATTTTTTCTCATGCAGATATCCAGAGAAACAGGGAACAGAACAATGATTCCCAGGGGTTGGGGGCTAGGAAAACTGGGATGATGTTCGTCAAAAGGTACAAACGTGCAGATATAAGTTGAATAAGTTTTGGACACCTAATATACAGCATGGTGACTATAGTTAACAATATTGTATTGCATATTTGAAATTTGTGAAAGAGTAGATTGCAAATGTTCTCACCACACAGAAAGAAAAAAAATTAGGTAGGCCAGGCACGGTGGCTCATGCCTGTAATCCCAGCACTTTGGGAGGCTGAGGTGGGTGGATCACCTGAGATCAGGAGCTTGAGACCAGTCTGGCCAACATGGCGGAACTCCATCTCTATTAAAAATACAAAAAACAAGCTGGGCATGGTGGCAGGCACCTGTAATCCCAGCTACTCAGTAGGCTGAGGCAGGATAATCACTTGAACCTGAATGGCAGAGGTTGCAGTGAGTGAAATCACGCAATAGCACTCCAGCCTGGGTAACAGAGTGAAACACTATTTCAAAAGAAAAAAAAAAGTAACTGTGGGGTAATGGATATGTTGATTGAGATCATCTTCCCATAATGCACACCTATGGCAAAATAACATCATATTGTACAACTTTATAGAGTTTTAATTTTGCAATCATACCTCAATAAGACTGGACAAATTTTTCAAAGAGGATTTCTAAGTCAAAATAGGCTTTCTCAGATAAATGGGTTGCAAGTGTTTCATAAATGATGTCATTTTGCCCCAAGCAACTTAATTACTGAATGTTTTAGATGGATGTGTGTGCTTGTGTGTGTGTGCATCTGCACTGATTTTGTGGGGTTTTTTTTTCAGGTTGGGGAGTGGTTGTTGTTTTTTTTGTTTTTCGAGATGGAGTCTGGCTGGAGTGCAGTGGCATGTTCTAGGCTCACTGCAACCTCCACCTCCTGGGTTCAAGTGATTCTCCTGCATCAGACTCCCAAGTAGCTGGGACAACAGGCACCTACCACCACATTTGGCTAATTTTTGTATTTTTAGTACACATGGGATTTCGCCATGTTGGCCAGGGTGATCTCGAACTCCTGATAGTAAGTGATTCTCCTGACTCAGTTTCCTGAAGTGCTGGGATTACAGGTGTGAGCCACTGTACCTGGCCTAGTACAGGGTTTCTTAATCTGAGCATTTTGGGTAATTCAGGGCTGAACGACTGTCTGTGGTGGGGTGTCCTGTGCACTGTAGGGTATTGAGCAGCGTCCCTGGGCTCCACCCACCCAATGCCAATAGCACCTATTCCCAGCTGTGACAACCAAAATATCTCCAGACATGTTACTTAGGGGACAAATGACCCGTGTTAAAATATCCTGATGTAAAAAAATAATGAAATAATATATTTTGCCACAACTTGGATGAAACTGGAAGCCATTATTCTAAGTGAAGGAACTAAGGAGTAGAAAACCAAATACCACATGTTTTCACTTACAAAAGTGGGAGCTGGTAGGGCACGGTGGCTCATGCCTGTAATGCCAGCACTTTGGGAGGCTGAGGCAGGAGGATCACTTGAAACCAGGAGTTCAAGAACAGCCTGGGCAATGTAGTAAGTTCCCATCTCTACAGAAAATAGAAAATATTAGCTGGGAGTGGTGGTGTGCACCTGTGGTCCTAGCTACTCAGAAGGCTGAGGTGGGTGGATTGCTTGAGCCCAGAATGTTGAAGGTGCAGTGAGCCATGATCATGCCACTGCAATCCATGCTGGGTGACAGAGTGAGACCCTGCTTCAAAAAAAGATGTGGGAGCTAAGTTGTGGGTATGCAAAGGTGTACACAGTAGTGTAACGGACATTGGAGACTCCAAAGTAGGAAGGTGTGAGTGGGGTGAGGGATGAAGGACTACCTGTTAGGTACCATGTACAACACCCAGGTGATGGGTGCACTAACATCCTAAACTTCACTCATCCACATAACCAAAAACCACGTGTACCCCTAAAGCTATTCAAATTAAAAAAAAAATCAAAGAACTCCTGATACAAAATTTCACATGTTCTCACTCAAACGTGGCAGGTAAAAATGTTGAAAACTTGCACTCATGGAGATAAAGTAGAATGGTGGTTACCAGAGGCTGGGAAGAGTATTGAGGAAGAGGCGATAGAGTGGGGATAGTTAATGAACGCAAAAATACAGTTGGATAGAAGCAAAAAGGTATAGTATTTGGTACAACAACAGGGAGACTATAGTTAACAATAATTCATTGTATATTTTAAAATAAGAGAGTGGAATTGCAATGTTCCTAATACAAACAAATGGTAAAAGGCTTGAAGGCATAGATACCCCAATTACCCAAATTTGATTATTACACATTGTAAGCTTGTGTCAAAATATCATATATACCCTGTAAATAAGTACAACTATTATGCATCCATGATGATTAAAAATAAAATTTAAGCCAGGTATGGTGGCTTATGCCTATAAGCCCAGCACTTTGGGAGGCAGAGGCAGGAGGACTGCTTGAAGCCAGGAATTGGGGACAACCAGGCTGGGCAACATAGTGAGACCACATTAAAAAACAATTTTTTTTTCTTGTTTTGAGATGGAGTTTCACTCTGTCACCCAGGCTGGAGTGCAGTGGTGCAATCTTGGCTCACTGAAAGCTCCACCGCCCCCCCGTCCCCCTGGGTTTACACCATTCTCCTGCCTCAGCCTCCTGAGTAGCTGGGACTACAGGTGCCCGTGACCATGCCCAGCTAGTTTTTTGTGTTTTTAGTAGAAATGGGGTTCCACCATGTTAGTCACGATGGTCTCAATCTCCTGACCTCATGATCCACCCTCCTCCACCTCCCAAAGTGCTGGGATTACAGGCGTGAGCCACTGCACCCATCCGACAAACAACTTTTAAAAATGAGCTGGGCATGGTGGCAGACACCTGTAGTCCCAACTACTCAGGAGGCTGAGGCAGGAGGATCGCTTGAGCCTGGGATTTGAAGGCTGCGGCGAGCTATGATCACACCACTGTACTCTAGTGTGGGCAACAGAACAAGACCTCGTCTCTAAAAATAATAAATAATAAAATAATGTTTAAAAAGAACCACTGTTCTAGTCTAAAACTGCAATGCATGTCTATTCTTTCTCAAATGTCTCCTCACCAAGCGAGGTTGGGTTCTTTGTTGTAGCATCCCATTATTTTTCTTTACATTACGAAGATAACATCCATTTTCCCAGTTCAAGCCTCTGTCCTAAGATATTCACTTCCCTCTACACTTGATATAATTTCAGACTACAATGTGGAAATAAGGGAGGGATTAAGGCAGCCTGATATAAGGTCAATCTTTCCAGGCCAGGAGTGGCCCCAGGAAAATTGTTTTTTCTTTTTGGGTTCAGATAAACCACAGCGAATAACCACAGTCCAGCACCGCATGGCTTTCCAGCGAAGACAGGACCTCCTCCCTCCAGGGATGGCAGGAATGTAAAGTGAAAGCCTTACCAGAAAGGGGTCCCAGTCCAAACCTCAAGAGAGGGTTGTTGGATCTCGTGCAAGAGAGAATTCAGGGCGAGTCCACAGAGTAAAATGAAAGGAAGTATATTAAGAAAGTAAAGGAATAAAGAATAGCTGCTTCATAGGCAAAGCAGCAGCATAGGCTGCTGGCTGCCTATGTTTATGGTTATTTATTGATTATATGCTAAACAAGGGGTGAATTAGTCATGAGTTTTCCAGGAAAGGGGTAGGTAATTCTGAGGGTTCCTCCCCTTTTTAGACCATAGAGGGTGACTTCCTGAGGTAGTCATGACATCTGTAAACTGTCCTGGCTCTTGTGGCAGTGACTTTTAGCAGCTAATGCATTATGAATGTATAATGAGCAGTTACAATGACCAGAGGTTACTCTTGTCACCATCTTGGTTTTGGTGGGATTTGGCTGACTTCTTTACTGCAAACTGTTTTATCAGCGAGGTCTTTGTCACGTTGTATCTTGTAATCTTGTACTAAGTTCCTATCACATCCTGTGACTAAGGATGCCGTAACTCTTGGGAATGCAGCACAATAGATCTCAGCCTTATTTTATTCAGCTCCTATTCAAGATGTAGTCACTTGTGTTGCAACACCGCTGACAAAAGCGTGCTTATTGTGCTAACCAAGGAGGGCTGAATGAAATCCAGCTGGATTGGACAGGGAACTAAAGGAAGATGTTCATCCATAAAATCAACATGATAAATGTGATAAATACAGCAAGGTCTGTGCATGGATGGACATACTTTTTTTTATATATACACTTTAAGTTCTAGGGTACATGTGCACAATGTGCAGGTTTGTTACATATGTATACATGTGCCATGTTGGTGTGCTGCACTCATTAACTCATCATTTACATTAGGTATTTCTCCTAATGTTATCCCTCCCCCCGCCCCCACCCTATGACAGGTCCTGGTGTGTGATGTTCGCTTTCCTGTGTCCAGGTGTTCTCATTGTTCAATTCCCACCTATGACTGAGAACATGTGGTATTTGGTTTTCTGTCCTTGCGATAGTTTGCTCAGGATGATGGTTTCCAGCTTCATCCATGTCCCTACAAAAGACATGAACTCATCCTTTTTTATGGCTGCATAGTATTCCATGGTGTATATGTGCCACATTTTCTTAATCCAGTCTATCACTGATGGACATTTGGGTTGGTTCCAAGTCTTTGCTATTGTGAGTAGTGCCACAATAAACATACAAGTGCATGTGTCTTTATAGCAGCATGATTTATAATCCTTTGGGTATATACCTAGTAATGGGATGGCTGAGTCAAATGGTATTTCTAGTTCTAGATCCTTGAGGAATCACCACACTGTCTTCCACAATGGTTGAACTAGTTTACAGTCCCACCAACAGTGTAAAAGTGTTCCTATTTCTCCACATCCTCTCCAGCACCTGTTGTTTCCTGTCTTTTTAATGATCACCATTCTAACTAATGTGAGATGGTACGTCATTGTGATTTTGATTTGCATTTCTCTGATGGCCAGTGATGATGAGCATTTTTTGATGTGTCTGTTGGCTGCATAAATGTATTCTTTTGAGAGGTGTCTGTTCATATCCTTCGCCCACTTTTTGATGGGGTTGTTTGATTTTTTCTTGTAAATTTGTTTAAGTTCTTTGTAGATTCTGGATATTAGCCCTTTGTCAGATGGGTAGAGTGCAAAAATTTTCTCCTATTCTGAAGGTTGCCTGTTCACTCTGATGATAGTTTCTTTTGCTGTGCAGAAGCTCTTTAGTTTATTTAGATCCCATTTGTCTATTTTGGCTTTTGTTGCCAATGCTTTTGGTGTTTTCGTCATGTAGTCCTTCCCCATGCCTATGTCCTGAATGGTATTGCCTAGGTTTTCTTCTAGGGTTTTTATGGTTTTAGGTCCAACATTTAAGTCTTTAATCCATCTTGAATTAATTTTTATGTAATGTGTAAGGAAGGGATCCAGTTTCAGCTTTCTACATATGGCTAGCCAGTTTTCCCAGCGCCATTTATTAAATAGGGAATCTTTTTGGCATTTCTTGTTTTTGTCAGGTTTCTCAAAGATCACATGGCTGTTGTGGTATTAATTCTGAGGGCTCTGTTCTGTTCCATTGGTCTATATCTTCGTTTTGCTACCAGTACCATGCTGTTTTGGTTACTGTAGCCTTGTAGTATGATTTGAAGTCAGGTAGTGCGATGCCTCCAGGTTTGTTCTTTTGGCTTAGGATTGTCTTGGCAATGAGGGCTCTTTTCTGGTTCCATATAAACTTTAAAGTAGTTTTTTTCCAATTCTGTGAAGAAAGTCATTGGTAGCTTGATGGGGATGGCATTGAATCTATAAATTACCTTGGGCAGTATGGCCATTTTCACAATATTGATTCTTCCTATTGATGAGCATGGAATGTTTTTCCATTTGTTTGTGTCCTCTTTTATTTCCCTGAGCAGTGGTTTATAGTGCTCCTTGAAGAGGTCCTTCACATCCCTTGTAAGTTGGATTCCTGGGTATTTTATTCTCTTTGAAGCAATTGTGAATGGGAGTTCACTCATGATTTGGCTGTCTGTTATTGGTGTATAAGAATGCTTGTGATTTTTGCTCATTGATTTTTCATCCTGAGACTGCTGAAGTTGCTTATCAGCTTAAGGAGATTTTGGGCTGAGATGATGGGGTTTTCTAGATATGCAATCATGTCATTTGCAAACAAGGACAATTTGACTTCCTCTTTTCCTAATTGAATACCCTTTATTTCTTTCTCCTACCTGATTGCCCTGGCCAGAATTTCCAACACTATGTTGAATAGAAGTGGTGAGAGAGGGCATCCCTCTCTTGTGCCAGTTTTCAAAGGGAATGCTTCCAGTTTTTGCCCATTCAGTATGATATTGGCTCTTATTATTGGTCATAAATAGCTCTTATTATTTTGAGATATGTCCCATCAATACCTAATTTATTGAGAGTTTTTAGCATGAAGGGCTGTTGAATTTTGTCAAAGGCCTTTTCTGCATCTGTTGAGATAATCACATGGTTTTTGTTTTTGGTTCTGTTTATATGCTGGATTACATTTATTGATTTGTGTACGCTGAACCAGCCTTGCATCCCAAGGATGAAGCCCACTTGATCATGGTGGATAAGCTTTTTGATGTGCTGCTGGATTCAGTTTGCCAGTATTTTATTGAGGATTCTTGCATCAATGTTTATCAGGGATATTGGTCTAAAATTCTCTTTTTGTGTTGTGTCTCTGCCCGGCTTTGGTATCAGGATGATGCTGGCCTCATAAAATGAATTAGGGAGGATTCCCTCTTTTTCTGTTGATTGGAATAGTTTCAGAAGGAATGGTACCAGCTCCTTTTGTACCACTGGTAGAATTCAGCTGTGAATCCTTCTGGTCCTGGACTTTTTTTGGTTGGTCGGCTATTAATTATTGCCTCAATTTCAGAGCCTGTTATTGGTCTATTCATGGATTCAACTTCTTCCTGGTTAGTCTTGGCAGGGTGTATGTGTCCAGGAAGTTATCTATTTCTTCCAGATTTTCTAGTTGATTTGCATAGAGGTGTTTATAGTATTCTCTGATGGTAGTTTGTATTTCTGTGGGATTGGTAGTGATATCCCCTTTATCATTTTTTATTGTGTCTATTTGATTCTTCTCTCTTTATTAGTTTTGCCAGCAGTCTATCAATTTTTTTGAGTTTTTCAAAAAAACAGCTCCTGGATTCATTGATTTTTTGAAGGATTTTTTGTGTCTCTATCTCCTTCAGTTCTGCTCTGATCTTAGTTATTTCTTGCCTTCTGCTAGCTTTTGAATGTGTTTGCTCTTGCTTCTCTCATTCTTTTAATTGTGATGTTAGGGTGTCAATTTTAGATCTTTCCTGCTTTCTCTTGTAGGCATTTAGTGCTATAAATTTCCCTCTACACGCTGCTTTAAATGTGTCCCAGAGATTCTGGTATGTTGTGTCTTTGTTCTCATTGGTTTCAAAGAACATCTTTATTTCTGCCTTCATTTCGTTATGTACCCAGTAGTCATTCAGGAGCAGGTTGTTCAGTTTCCATGTAGTTGTGTGGTTTTGTTCTTTTACATCTGCTGAGGAGTGCTTTACTTCCAATTATGTGGTCAGTTTTGGAATAAGTGCAAAGTGGTGCTGAGAATAATGTATATTCTGTTGATTTGTGGTGGAGAGTTCTGTAGATGTCTATTAGGTCTGCTTGGTGCCTAGATGAGTTCAAGTCCTGGATATCCTTGTTAACTTTCTTTCTTGTTGATCTGTCTAATGTTGATAGTAGGGTGTTAAATCCTCCCCTTATTATTGTGTGGGAGTCTAAGTCTCTTTGTAGGTCTCTAAGGACTTGCTTTATGACTGTAGGTGCTCCTGTGTTGGATGCATTAATATTTAGGATAGTTAGTTCTTCTTGTTGAATTGATCCCTTTACCATTGTCATGGCCTTGTCTCTTTTGATCTTTGTTGGTTAAAGTCTGTTTTATCAGAGACTAGGATTGCAACCCCTGCCTTTTTTTGTTTTCCATTTGCTTTGTAGATCTTCCTCCATCCCTTTATTTTGAGCCTATGTGTGTCTCTGCACGTGAGATGGGTTTCCTGAATACAGCACACTGATGGGTCTTGACTCTTTATCCAATTTGCCAGTTTCTGTCTTTTAATTGGGGCATTTAGCCCATTTACATTTAAGGTTAATATTGTTATGTGTGAATTTGATCTTGTCATTATGATGTTAGCTTGTTATTTTGCTCATTAGTTGATGCAGTTTCTTCCTAGCATCGATGGTCTTTAAAATTTGGCATGTTTTTGTAGTGGCTGATATCAATTTTTCCTTTCCATGTTTAGTGCTTCCTTCAGGAGCTCTTGTAAGGCAGGCCTGGTGGTGACAAAATCTCTCAGTATTTGCTTGTCTGTAAAGGATTTTTTTCTCCTTCACTTATGAAACTTAGTTTGGCTCAATATGAAATTCTGTGTTGAAAATTATTTTCTTTAACAATGTTGAATATTGGCCCCCACTCTTCTGGTTTGTAGAGTTTCTGCCAAGAGATCTGCTGTTAGTCTGATGGGTATCCCTTTGTGGGTAACCCAACCTTTCCTTCTGGCTGCCCTTAACATTTTTACCTTCATTTCAAATTCAGAGAATCTGATAATTATGTGTCTTGGAGTTGCTCTTCTCAAGGAGTATCTTTGTGGCATTCTATGTATTTTCTGAATTTGAATGTTGGCCTGCCATGCTAGGTTGGGCAAGTTCTCTTGGATAATATCCTGAAGAGTGTTTTCCAACTTGGTCCACTCTCCCTGTCACTTTCAGGTACACCAATCAGATGTAGATTTGGTCTTTATTTAGCCATTTGTCTAATCTTTTTTCAAGATTTTTAGCCTGTTTGTGATGGGTTCGAACATCCTCCTTTAGCTTGGAGAAGTTTGTTATTACTGATCTTCTGAGGCCTATTTATGTCAACTCATCAAAGTCATTCACTGTCTAGCTTTGTTCTGTTGCTGGATAGGAGCTGTGTTCCTTTGGAGGAGAAGAAGGTGCTCTGATTTTTGGAATTTTCAGCTTTTCTGTTCTGTTTTCTCCCAATCTTTGTGGTTTTTATTTAACTTTGGTCTTTGATGGTGGTGACCTAGAGATGGAGTTTTGGTGTGGATGTCCTTTATGTTTGTTAGTTTTCCTTCTAACAGTCAGGACTCTCAGCTGCGGATCTGTTTGAGTTTGCTGGAGGTCCACTCCAGACCCTGTTTTCCCGGGTATCATCAGCAGGGGCTGCAGAACAGCAAATATTGCAGAACAACAAATGTTGCTGCCTGATCCTTCCTCTGGAAGCTTCATCTTAGAGGGGCACCCAGCTGTATGAGGTGTCAGTCAGCCCCTACTGGGAGGTGTCTCCCAGTTAGACTACTTGGGGGTCAGGGATCCACTTAAGGAGGCAGTCTGTCTGTTCTCAGATCTCAAACTCCATGCTGAGAGAACCACTAGTCTCCTCAAAGCTGTCAGACAGGGACATTTATGTCTGCAGAAGTTTCTGCTGCCTTTTATTCAGCTATGCCCTTCCTCCAGTGGAGTCTACAGAGGGAGGCAGGCCTTCTTGAGCTGCAGTGGGTTCCACCCCATTTGAGGTTTCTGGCCACTTTGTTTACTGGCTGAAGCCTCAGCAATGGCAGACGCCCCTCCCCCAGCCTTGCTGCCACCTTGCAGTTCAATCTCAGACTGCTGTGCAAGGCTCCGTGGGCGTGGGACCCTCTGAGCCAGGTGTGGGATATAATGTCCTGGTGTGCCATTCGCTAAGACCATGTGAAAGGAACAGTATAGGATGGGAGTGTCCCGATTTTCCAGGTACCATCTGTCACAGCTTCCTTTGGCTAGTAAAGGGAATTCCCCAACCCCTTGCACTTCCTGGGTGAGGTGATGGCACACCCTGCTTTGGCTTGCCCTCCGTGGGCTTCATTCACTGTCCAACAAGCCCCAGTGAGATGAACCCAGTACCTCAGTTGGAAATGCAGAAGCTACCTGTCTTCTGCGTCGCTCACACTGGGAGCCGTAGATTGCAGCTCTTCCTGTTCGGCCATCTTGGAACCCTCTCCTTTTTTTTTGTTTTTTAAGACATGATCTCACTCAGGCTGCAGTGCAGTGGTGCAATCATGGCTCACTGCAGCCTCAACCTCCCAGCCTTAAACAATCCTCCTACCTCAGCCTCCTGAGTAGCTGATACTACAGGGATGCACCACCATTCCTGGCTAATTATTTTTATTTTTTGTATGGATAGCCCAGGCTGGTCTCATACTCCCGGGCTCAAGCAATCCTCCTGACTCAGCCTCCCAAATAGCTGAGACTCAAGGCACATGCCACCACACCTGGCTCACTTTTGTATTTTTTATAGAGAGCAGGTTTTGCAAAGTTGCCCAAGCTGGTCTAGAACTCTGGAACTCAAGTAATCCACCCACCTCAGCCTCCCAACATGCTGGAATTACAAGAGTGAGCTACTGAGCCCAGCTGAGATATCTCTTTTCCTCTCACCAAGGGCTCCTAAGTGGGCACCTGATTCCTAGATGATGATTTATTTTTTCTGAGTTTCTTTTGAAGTCATTTTGAAATGTATGTTAAGTCTTGAGCATGTACTGTCTTTGACTTTCAAACCATCAGGAGCCATTTGCAACCTCTGGAGACATTTTGTGTTATGATTGGAGAGTGGATGTTCCTTGCTTCTGGTGGGTGGAGCCCAGGGATGCTGCTCAACACCCTACAAGTGCACAGTACAGCCACACCACAGAGCCTCCTCCAGCCCCAAGTGTCAACAGCACCCACATTGAGAATCTTGAACTAAATAATACAAAGATTTCATATCTGAGATCATGCAGTATGTGTCATTACGGAGGAAAAGTTAAATACATAAATTCGAACTCAATTGAACATGGACACAAACAATGGTCACCAAGTCCCGGAAAAGGTTGTGTGAGTCCCTTGAGGCATTTATCCAGTGCTGTTATGGAGAAATAGTTATTGAAAGATAATTGCAAAAACAAGTTGACTTTTCTTGTGTCCCTTGAGCCCAGTCACGATCGGCTCTCATGACTGGGCCTCATGCCAAACAACTCATTACAAAAAGAGCTAGGGCCCCAGACTGTGCCAGAGTTTCATGAGACCACTCCTTGTCTGTGCACAGACAGGTGGCCGACTTTGAATCCCAGGCAGTTGCTTCCCAGTCTGGTGATGAATCATCCGTAGTCTGTTGAGTATATATATTATATATATAATATATATATTGGGTATAATATATATGTTGAGTATAATATATATTATATATAATATATATATAGGGTATAATATATATTATATATAATATATATAGGGTATAATATATATTATATATGTTGAGTATATGTAAATATATATATATGATATACGTGATATGAGTGTATATATGTATGATATATATATATCTTTTCCCTCTCCCCTTCCCATTGCAATTTGCTTATTATATCAATTTGCTTATTATATCACTTGCTTATTATATCTCCATTGCCATTTACATGGGATAAAGGTTGTTTACCCTTAAAGGTATTGTGTGTGTGTCTTTTCTTCTCCCCTTGCACATCTCCTGCACAGAACAGTCATTCTGTGCCTGGCTTATTTCACTTAGCATAATGTCCTCCAGGTTCATCCATGTTGTTGCAAATGCTAACACTTCTTTCTTTAAGACTTAATAGCATTCCATTGTGTATACAAACCACATTTTCTTTACTCATTCATCCACTGATAGACACTTTGGTTGGCTCCACATTCTGGCTATTGTGAATAGTGCTGTAATGACTCTGGGAAAGCAGATAAATTAGACATTCTCAGAAAGCTAATAGAAAAACAAAATCTAAAAGTCAATGAATATTTGCTTGAAGTCTTCAAAAGCTGTTTAAACTATCCATAAAAAATATAAATTATCAAAAAACCATATGAAATATAAAAATGGTAAGCTAGATATTTGTTGAAATTTTTTAAAGCTGGTAAAATTATCTACCTATCTATTCATCTATCCATCATCTTTCTATACCTATCCATCCATCTATTCATCCATTTATCCATCCGTTCATTCATGTATTGAATGTACCTGTGTAGCTAGCTAGCTATTTATCATCTATCCATCCATCTACTGAATCTATCATCTATCCTTATCTGTCTATCACATACCTAGCTATCCAACCAGACATCTACTGAATCTAATCATCTATCATTATCTATGTATCTATCATATATCTATCCATCCATCCATTCATCTATTGAATCTATCATCTATCAATATCTATCTGTCTATCCAACCATCCATCTACTGAATCTATTATCGGTCATTATCTATATATTTATTTATCTATCTATCTATCTATCTATTGAATCTATGTATCATCTATCATTATCTGTCTAATCAATATAAGCTGTCTGTCATCTATTATATTTTATCTATCGATTCTATTTATTCTCATCTCTTTATTATTATATGTATGTTGATATATGCAGAGAAAGACTGAGAGATAGAGATTTATAAAATGTACCAACATTTTAAATGAAACACTTTTTTTTTGGAAAATGAGTGAAATGGTAAACAAGGACATTCACTGACTGGCCTCATCCACTTCCTACCCACCCTTCAAATCTAATCACTCCTAGGGGGTGTTTCCGGGAACAGCTTTTCTCACCGCCTCTGTCTCTTCGCCCTAACACCACTTTCTGCCTGCCCTCTGGCCAGCCCAGCTTCCCTGAGGCCCCTCCCTGTCCCCTGCACCCATCACACACCATGTCCATGATGATTGTTGTTTATGTGTCCACTCCCCCACCACACATATAGAAAGCACCTAGAGGCTCAGGGGTCTTACCTGGCATGATGCTGGTAAATGGTAGCGCTGAATAACTATTTGAGTAAATGAATAGACTACTTAGTTCCCTTTACAACTGCCAATGAAGGAATGATAAATGAAGGTGGTGATTTTTAAATCCTAAGGTCCAGTAAGTCAGGGGTACAGGTTTTTCATTTCCAGCTCCAGAAAACTGCTGAAAGGAGATGGGGAAAAGTAGCTCATTTCTGAAAGTCCCTTCAGCGTAATTTGCAATACAGTAGAAGTTCTTCAGCTAGCCCGCCTCAACCTCCTTCCCAAGGCATCTGGTTCTAGTTAAGGGCAAAGGAGATTAAGTGTTTCATTACAATGCTTCTGTACACACACACATGCATTTATGTAGGGTAGGGACCTTTGGGGGAATTTTACTAATATTTGCTAACTTTTTATTGACTTACATAGAAAGAAAGGTAAACTTAATTTTACATTTACTTATGAATTGTGAACTTAATTTTCATTTCCCTATGTTGCCCTCAATTTGCTCAATTCCTTCCTTGTGATTGCGATAAATTTTTTCTAGAAAATCATCACCCAGTTTAAATCATATTTTTTAAGTATGTCCTGTGCCGGGGGAAAGAAAGTTTAAAATGATCCTTTAGATTATTTGTATATTTTTGAAATGTTACAAAGAGGTTAAATATAATTGGAAGGAAAAGCTATGCATCATATAAAATTAAATCTTAGATGAGTTGAAGAAAAAATAAGAATTTGTGCAAGGCCAGGGAGTCAAAATCTGATTTTAGAAACCAAGTTTAGAAACCATTCAAGTTTAGAAACCATTAAAAATTCATGGATTTGCTGTTTTGATCATCATTTAAATCTCTTCCAGATTTCTACCTTTAGGAAAAAAATATGACTTTATGCTTTTAAAGAAGAAAGGTCAAAATAGTATATTAAGTAGTCTCAGAAGACTTGTACATATAAAAAATATTCAGTGATTTAATACCAAATAAATAAAAAATGAACAATCTTCTTTCCTCATCATTAAGCAACGAGTGACTGTAAGTCTATTTCACTGTGTGTAACTTCCCCTGCTGTAAGGGAACTGCCCTCGAAACCCAAGCTCACCTTGGTCCAGACCCACAATGCAGCAATTTAGGAAGGGTATGCTTCCCTGAGGAGGCACTTTAGCTCAAACCAGCCACCACTTGCTCACTGGCTTTCTACTACCTTCACGTAAGTTTTAGCCTCACAGAATCAATAGTGAGCTTCTTTTCCATGTTGGAACTACTTATAAATATAGGAGTGGGAGCTTCCATATTTCCATGGAGCCATATCCATTATCTATTGCTGTGTAACAAACACCCCAACACTTAGGAGCTAAAGACAATCACCGTTCTATTTGTGCATCATTCTTTGGGTCAAAAATTTCAGGCTGAGCTCAGCTGGATGGTTCTTCTGTGGGTCTTCGTGAAGGTCGCTTACATGGTCTCAGTCCTCTGACAGTTTGACTGAAAATGGATGGTGTAAACTGGGAGCCTACTCACATGGCTGGCCATTGGTGCTGGCTGTCAGCTGAATCTTTCTCACGGTGACTCATTTCAAAAAGGCTACCCTGGCTTCTTCATATGGGGTGGCCTCAGTACTCGAGGCTGACAGACAAGTCCACCAAACAGATGTGTTCATGAATGTACCTTAGACCATCCAGTCTCATCAAGCTGCCAGAAAATGGAAGCTGCATTAAAGACCCCAGGCAAGACCAATAGAAGAACTGCCCAACTGAACCCAGTCCAAGTTATTGATTCACAGACATATGAGCAAATACAGTGTTTGTGATACTGAGGCACTAAACTTGCAGTTGATTTTATATCAAAAAATAGGTAACAGATCCCAAAATTCATACTGAAGTGGGTGGGGGTTCCTATTATACCAAAGCTTAAAACATGTTTCATTGGCTTTGAAACTGAGTGGTGAATGAAGTTTGGGAAAATAGTAAGGTAACTGCTACCGAAGGCTAGGAAAAAAAATGGTAACCAGTGGTATGTTGTGTTGGAAGAGTAAAACTGTAGCCTGCAGTGACTTGGAAGACTTCGAAGGTTAAAAATGTACCTAATGTGCTGACTTTGGCAACATATATACTAAAATTGGGATGATACAGATAATATTAGAAAGGCCCATGCAATGATGACAGGTAAATTCGTGAGGCATTTCATTATTTAAAAAAAAAAAAAGTAAAATAAAGTCAAAAAAGAAAAGAAAAGAAATGTACCTAATAAACTTGGACTTAGAAGATGTAGGTTTTTGTTGTTGTTGAGCACTCGCACCATTGACAGTTGGGGCCAGAAAATTATTTGTCATGGAAGCTGCCATGTGCATTGTAGGATTCTCAGCATCATTCTGGGCCTCTACTTGGTAGATCTCAGAGCACCCATTGAGTACAGCCTGAATTTTTGTCCCAAAGGATGGTGAGTATATAACATAGATTTTTTTAACCCACTGCATATTTGGATTCTTTGTTATGTGCCAATAGCTCTGACTGACACAACCTCTTATATTGTAACAGAAACAGAGAATTTGCTCATGCCAGTTCCTTTTCCTGCTTCAATGGTTCATTCTGTAAATACTTGCAGTGCATTCCTTGAAACAAATCATATCTGAATTTGGGGATAAATACGTTTTAAGTGATAGCCCCTGACTTGCTGAGGCTCCTTTGGAAGCACTGAGGTTAGAACAGCATCTTAGCCAGTAAGAAGTTTCCTTCTGGGGAAGGGAGAGGGGGCAGGGACTTCTAGGCAGAGAATGCAATACTCCCTAAAAAAAATAAATTTGCCATTTATGCAACAACTAATTGTAGAGCTGCTAGTATGTGCCAAGTTCTGGACATAGGGAAGAGGATAAGACAGACAAGAGTCATGCTTTCATGGTGGTTACAAGAAGTCAACAAGAAGATGAATGATATAATTTTATATCCTTATAAGATGAAATACACAGCTGGGTGTGCAGGCACATGACTAGTCCCAGCTACTCAGGGAGACTGAGACTGGAGGATTACTTGATACCCGGAAGTTGAGGTTGCAATGAGGTATGATTGTGCCACTGCACTCCATCCTGGGCAATTATGGAGGCTGAAAACTGACCCACTATCTACAACTGGAGACCCAGGAGAGACTGTGTTATAGATTCCAGGGTAGATTTCAGTCAGATCCTGAAGGTCTGAGAACCAGGAGAGCTAAGGAAGAGATCAGCGTCTCAGGGCAAGGACGCAGATAGTTAATTCAACTTCCTGTCAACGTTTTGGTCTAGTGAGGCCTGCAACAAATTGAATACCTAACCATATAAGGGGGATAATCTGCCTTAATTATTCCACCAATTCAAATGCTAATATCCCTTCTAAAAACACCTTCACAGACACATTCAGAAACAATGTTTAACCAAATATCTTGGCATCCTGTGGCTCAGTCAAATTGACCTATAAAATGAACTATTATGGTGCCCTCATAGGAGGCACAACAGAGCTCTCTCTCTCTCTCTCTCCCTCCATCTCTCTCTCTCTCTCTCTCTTTCACACACACTGAGAAAAAGCCATGTGAGGGCACAGGAAAAAAGCAGGCATCTACAAGTCCTCACCAGACACCAAAGCTGCCATGCTATGGTCGTGAACTTCCAGCTTCCAGAGCTGTGAGCAATAAATACTGGCTGTTTATAAGCCACTCACTCTATGATATATTGTTATCACAGCTGATATTGTTTGGCTGTGTCACTACCCAAATCTCACCTGGAATTGTAATAATCCCCACATGTCAAGAGCAGGGCCAGGTGGAGATAATTGAATCATGGGGGGCAGTTTTCTCCATAGTGTTCTCATGGTAGTGAGTAAGTCTCATGAGATCTGATGGTTTTATAAATGGGAGTTCCCCTGCACAAGCTCTCTTGTCTGCCATGTAAGACATCCCTTCATCTTCTGCCATGATTGTGAGGCCTCCCAAGCCATGTCGAACTGTGAGTCCATTAACTTATTTCCTTTATAAATTACCCAGTTTCAAGAACGTCTTTATTAGCAGCATGAGAACAGACTAATACAGCAGCCCAAGCTGACAAATATACCATCCCCGACCCCGCTTCCCATCCTCTCCAAAAAAATTTATTCCTTCATTTGTTTGAATCTACTATTTCACAGGTTGCTTTGATGTAGATACACTTTTGCTAGTAGATTTGCATGCTTATAACATGTATAGACACAGGTGTATGCTTATAATATGTATAATCTACTGTTTCATGGGTTGCTTTGATGTACATGCACTTTTGCGATGTAGATGCACTTTTGCTATGTAGATTTGTAAGCTTATAACATGTATAGACATACTATGAATGTGTGTCTTTATATGTGTATGTTACAAATTTGTCATCTTAACTGTGTCATTTTTCTTTTAGGGACAGGACCATATACTTACAATACCTTGATGTACCCTTAGAAATTCCATGATGTACCCCTAGAAATCTGGAATGTTTGAAGTTTGGATAAACTGACCAAAGTGCCAAAGATCTTATGGAGAAATCCTGTGAAGAAAAGTTAAATTTGACACTTTTCATTTAATTATTATTTATTTTTTCAATGTATTTCAGGGGTACAAGTGCAGATTTCTAACAAGCACAGATTGCATAGTGGTAAAGTCTGGGCTTTTGGTGTAGCCACCACTCATGAAAAGGAGAAGTGAAAACCCATAATCATTGACTTTAGTCTTGTACCTCTTCCATTCAAGTTTGAACAGCTCTAATAAACCAACGTTATTAATGCACCGTTGCCATGAATGCTAAGGCAATATGATTGCTTGTGAATAATTAAATTTTTCTTAAGACTTAGACATCATGGTTTTCTTTTAAGAGGTGGGGTCTAGCTCCATTGCCCAGGCTGGAGTGCAGTAGTGCAATCATGGCTCCTGCAGCCTTGACCTCCTGAACTCAAGTGATCCTCCTGCCTCAGCCTCCCACGTAGCTGGGACTACAGATGCATGCCACCATGGTCGGCTAATATTTAAAATTTATTTTGGGCTGTGTACAGTGGTTCATGCCTGTAATCCAAGCACTTTGTGAGGCCAAGGCAGGCAGATCAAAAGGTCAGGAGTTCAAGACAAGACTGGCCAACATGGTTAAACCCTGTCTCAACTAAAAATACAAAAATTAGACGGGCATGCTGGTGCATGCCCATAGTCTCAGCTACTCAGGAGGCTGAGGCAGGAGAATCACTTGAACCCAGGCAGTGGAGGTTGCAGTGAGCCAAGATTGAAACACTGCACTCCAGCCTGTGCAACAGAGTGAGACTCTATCTCAAAAAAAAAAAAGATAATTTAAAAAAATAATAAAATTTATTTTGTAGAGATAGAGACATTGCTTAAGCTGAACTCCAGGCCTCAAGCAACCCTCCTGCCTTGGCCTCCCAAAACTCTGGGATTGCAGGTATGAGCTGTTGCACCTGGCTATAATTTCTTCTATCTAATATATATATATGCATGATATATATGATACATATGTGTATGATATATGATACATGTATCATATGTATGATATATATGATACATATATGTATGACATATGACACATATATCATATATGTATGATATATATGATACATATACATATGATATATATTTATGACATGATAATCTACATTTTAGTAAATCTTGTAATGTAATTTAATGTAAATATCAATCTTAATTCTGATCATTGTGCCACAAAAGGAAGAAAAATCTCTTAAATAAAGCTAACACAAAATCCAGAGGGCTCTTGAAAGAGAAAGAAAAAGGAATATTTTGTATTTTGTTCATATAAGGGAGATTTTATTTTTAGTACAAGACTAGTCAGACCATGTCAAAGGAAGAGAGTTCACATGGCAGAGGGGAAGTCATCGGGGAGCAATTTAACAGCTGCCTGCACACTATTTTCCTTTCTGTGCTCATGCGTTTGGAGAATACATCTATGGTTAAGGAATTAGATCATCTCTAATCTTAACCAATGATATTAACTATAAACAGGCTCCCTGTAAGCTTTGGTTATTTGAACTTTAATTTCTGTAGTGGAAGCAAATTTTAAAAATGGAAGGTCAAACTGCGGCTCCCATCTGGGCACCATGTGTCTGGAACGACCGTTCTGAAAATGGGTTACCTCATGCGTGGCTTAGGCTGGCGTTTCAGCAGCTTTGAGGGTTGGCCCATTAGCCAGGTGCATGCAGGACCACAGTATGTGGGAGAAATAAGGCAGGAAGGAGCATTACAAGGTGGCATGCCTTGTACCTGGCTAGGAGGTATATGAACCACACACAGAGGGAGCTGGGGGGAGAGTTTTCTCTACGAAATCCTTCTTTCAAGAAGGCAACGTTTGGGGTAGACAGTCTGGAAGTCCGTGTTAATTGGTGTTTTACTCAACTCCTCTATAGAATATGTCTCTGGGACTGTGAATTGATCAATCAATGCAATCAACACCAATAGTATGTAAGATTTCCTTCACGAAATCTCATGGAGGAAGACCCATGCATGCCCAGCATTAGAGAATGGATTTTATTTGCACACAAACGCATAGAGAACAAATAGCGTGAGGACATACATGTGGTAAAGGAAGCAAGGTGTGGGGCCGGCGCGTGGAAAGACAAGCCACTTAGTGTGGGTGTTGTGAAGGGCGGGGTAAGAAATCATAAGTCATGGAAGTAGGCAGGGGCGCATGTTTGAGGACCTTACCACAAAAGCAGGAAGCATGCACTTGATTTGTTGAAAACCAGAAGCCATTGAAGAGTATTGATGGAAACCTTAACAGGACCATGTGAAATCCCATTGTATTACTAATAATGTAACATGAAATTGAAGGTGCCTAACTGCTCAAGAAAGAAAATCATCCGTCATACTTTAACTCTGAGAGGAATGAGAGGTGGGCACAGACACGAGTGGGCTCAGCCCGTGTGAGTGAGGGGAATTGAGGAATCACTGGGGTGCGCGTCCTGCGTCTCGACTGCATGTTTGCTGCAGAGCACGTTTTTCTTTCTTGCCTCCATTGGGTTTTCTTCAATTGCGTTCAGTATATCTTCTGGAACTAATCATGCCCTGTGTTGCCAAGTCTCTAAAATGTTAAGATCCGAGCAAAGTCAAGCGGCTTACACTAGGCTTTTTTATAGCTGTGTTTGAGAACGTTTCCGAGTGGACCAGGGCCTCGAGGAGCGTCTTTTTCAGCAAATTCAGCAGATGTGTTCAGCAGTTCCCTCGGTTTTGTATTTGACACCTTCATTTAAAATGCTAAGATGCAATATCATTCACTTCGAAGTAGGGAAAATGCAGAATTGTGTTTCCTTTTCATCCATGTGATTCCCTAAGAAACAGGTTTTTAAAATATGTGTTCTAAATTTTTTTTATTCTGTATTACTGCTTTGGCCATGTGGCTTTCATGACTTTCATTTTACCAGATTCTCAGCTCCCTGAAAGGTGGGGATGAGAAGCTCTGGAATTACAGCAAGGTTTTTGTTCCATGAGCACAAAACTGTATCATTAACATTTTTAATGGTATGGATTTTATACCATCTGTGTATGTTTGCAAATATTAAGTTATTACATTTTAAAATGAGTGTTTTTCATCCTAAATTTTATATGTTTGCAAATTTTTTTAAATAAAATTTCAAAACCAAGTTTTAGCACCTAAAAAAAAGGGACACTGTTTTCCCTGTTATATTTAAATATATATAAACATATACATATATTTATGTATAAATGTATTTATATTTATAAATTGACAATTATATATAAATATGTAGAATTATATAATATTTCTATGTATTTATAGACATAGGTATGTATATATACTTATATTTATAAATTTTACATAATTACCAATAATATATATTTTTATTTGTGTAAATGAAATATCTACATTTATAAAATTGTATAAACTTTACACAACTATAAAAACATTATTTATACTATATACTTATATATAATTTAAAAATATATAATTGTATATTTATAACATTTATAAATTTATATATATATATATTTTGAGACAGGGTCTCACTCATCTAGGCTGCAGTGCAATGGCACAATCACAGCTTAATGCAGCCTCAACCTCTGGGGCCTCAGTTGATTCTCTCATCTCAGCCTCCCCAGCAGCTGAGACCACAGACACTCACCATCATGCCAGCTAATTTGTATTTTTTTTACAGAGATATGGTTTCACCATGTTGCCATGTCAGGTCTCGAACTGCTAAATATATTTTAAAGTATTACTTCTACACTGAATCTTAAGCTATTGTAGACAGGTTTTTGCTTTCTTTAAGCTTGTTTTGTGTTTTGACCTCTATTGGATCAGCCATGACACTTGAGACATCTTTTGAAAGTGATTAGAAGTCCAAGCTCCTAATAAGAAATTGTAACACTGCAAAGTCTTGAAAGCATTTTAGGATTCATGCATTTATTCCTAGACAGAATTAGGAAAAACATGGCTTGGCCTGAGTTTTTTTCCTAGTCCTATTGTTCTATAAACCTATGCAAACATATTCCGTTCCATAACTTGGGAGGCCAACCAAATTTCAAAACAGGTACCTATAACTCAAGCCATGCTGATTTTAGTGAACACTGCTCACAGGCCTTGTGGGAGGTTTGACTGTGTGTTTGCTACATTGCCTTCCAGTTCTGTGGGTTTATGAGCAGGTGCAAACACAGCTAAGAATGCAGGCTGCTTGTGTTGTTTCAATGTCACATGTTTTGAACGGTGAAATGTATGTTCTTTGTGAACTGAGGACACATGCCAACATGCTATGGTTCTTATTTCCCTTTGCTTTAAGGAAATGATTCTCATATGTTAATATGTTGAACATGGAAGTTAACGTATTTAGCACATCCTATATCAAAACCATTAAAAAACTGAGAGAAAATGCTAAAGGGAAATAATTGTATTCCAAACAACTTGCCTTCTTCTATCTCTATAAACCTTTTTATTTATTTATTTTTAAATTTTTCTGGAGACAGGGTCTCATTCTTGTCACCCAGGCTGCAGTGCAGTGGCATAATCATAGCTCACTGCAGCCTTGAACTCCTGGGCTCAAGCAATCCTCCTGCCTCAGCCTTGTAAGTAGCTAGGACCATTGGCATGTCCCACCATGCCCAGCTATTTTTTTCATTTTAATTTTTAGTAGAGATGGGGCCTCACTATGTTGCCCAGGCTGGTCTAGAACCCCTGGGCTGAAGCCATCTTCCCACCTTGACTTCCCAAAATGTTGGGATTACAGGCATGAGCCATGCTGCTGAGCAATATTTATAAACCTGATTCTACATAATTGTATTTTTGAAACCCATACCTTACATATTTGCTTGTTTTCATTGCATTTATTAATCATTTCACAAGCCCCAAGGAACTTCCTATAGGTTAGATGAGCAAAAGCCCAGTTAACTTGGGCAGTCTCTCCTAAATGTTCCCTTCTTGAAAGAAAGAAGAATGTGCTGTGCTTGAGAATGCAAGAACGTTTTCCATCCCTAAAAACCAGCATTACTGGTCATAGATGACTCCTGTACAAATAGCCTTTTGAAATGTTTTTGTGGATTTCAGTTTTTGTATTGATAATATCTAGCAATGCACGCTTCTTTCTGCAAATGAGAATCCACATTTTCAGATTTTCCGGCGTAGGGAATTCATTCAAGTTTTTGTGCAATTGGGAGCCTTCCGCAACATCGATGAAAGATGTGTGCAGGCTTCATGCCCTAGTGTTGCAATTGATAGGCAAACAGATGGTGCTGCGGAAGCCATTCTTAGGTAAATAAAATCTGTGGTAACAACACAAAAGCCAAGGTGGGGAAATATTTGAAAGCGGCCTCTTGGATATTGGGGCTTTCTGTTTCAATATGGCCTTTGCCCCTCCTAAGATGAGTTTGTAATAAACTCAGATAGATGCCCTTGTCTGAACAAACCACACCTAGGATTTGCAAGCCACTGACCATCACCCATTGGTTGGAGGGGGACAGCTGTAGGAGACAGCTGTTTGCGGTTAAAGGCATAAACCACATTTATATGTTGTGAAATCATTTTTTCAGGGATCCAGCCCTGGAGCTCTTTTTCCCATGGTCTTCATTTCAGTGTCTTGGCCCACAGAGGTCACTGCATTGGACACGCCAAATTACGTCTATATTGCATCAATTTGGATAAAAGAATATTCTTGAAAATTTTTTTTTATTTTTCTCTTTAGCAAATTGCATGTGTTGAAGTAATTTCCCCTTTTGTTTTCATTATCATTAGCAACCTTTTAGCCAGAGGGATCTCATTAAAACTTGTCATATTTTCTGTTTTGGGCATAAGAGTGTAATGGGATATTTTCCCATTCATCTTGTCTGTTATTTACTGTTCAAGAAAATTACCTTTCCTCTGGGAACAAAAGAGGAGTGGCACAGTGTGAGCCAGAAGGTTGGACAAAGACAGGATTATATAGGGCTTTGTGAGACTTGGAAAAGTGTTGGTAGTTTATTGTTATTTTATTATTATTATTATTATTATTCTAAATGCAAAAAGAAGAGATTATAGAGAGTAACTTATGATTTCAAAGGCTTTGATGTATTATGAGTGATGAATAGTTTGGAGAAATTTATAATGAGAGGAACAGGCAGTTCTTCCAGTACAGCCAGGAAGCTGAGGATGCAAGCTTAAACTAAAATGGTCAGAGTGGAAATAAACAAAAATGAACTCATGAGATATATATGTTTGAAGGCAGAATGTTTCATCAGTATGTTGTTTATTTGCACCATAGAATTTTTAAAATTCTGTTATTTATTTCTTTTGGAGTTGAACGTTTTATAAAAACTGTAAAAGATTTAATAAAAAATATTGGAAAAGGCCAGGCACAGTGGTTCATGCCTGTAATCCCAGCACTTTGGAAGGCCGAGTGAGGCACATCAGTTGAGGTGAGGAGTTCAACACCAGCCTGGCCAACATAGTGAAACCCCATCTATACTAAAAATATAAAAACTAGCTGGCTGCAGTGGCACATGCCCATAATACCAGCTACTTGGGAGGCTGAGGCAGGAGAATCACTTGAACCCAGGAGGCAGAGATTGTGGTGAGCCACGATCACACCACTGCACTCTACCATGGGTGACAGAGCAAGACTCTGTCTCAAAAAAAAAAAAAAAAAAAAAAGAAAGAAAGAAATATTGGAAAAGCAGATAGCACTAAGAAGCGTTGGTGCTACTTCTAGAGCAAATAAAATTTGTCTCATTCTGGAAATAAAATGTCTTTTCTAAGTTAAATTAAGAGACAAATGTTTGGGGCTTTCTACTGTATTTTGGGCACTGAATAAAAATAAGAATACAATTTCCATATGTAATATAAATAAACATTCATGTAAAAATATGAACAAACTTCTAGGTAGGATGGTAGCAGGAGACTGGGCATATAAACCCACAGATCTCCAAGAAAACCCATGTCATTAGGCAGAATGCCACAATATTACCCAAACTTCACAGAATTTACCCCATTCAGAATTTGGCAGAAAGAAAATGAAGGGTTATGGAGAAGTAATCTGCAAACCACTTTCCTCTAATCCTAAAGAGCAGTAAACCAGTGCTATGGTCTGAAAGTTTGTGTTACCCCAAGATTCAGATGTTGAAATCTTAATTCCCAAGGAGATGGTGTTAGGAGATGGGGCTTTTGGGAGGTCATGAGATCCTGAGGGTGGAGCTATATGAATGAGACTAGTGCCCTTATAAAAGGGACTCCAGAGAGAGCTCCTTTGTCCCTTCCGTCATGGAAGGACACAGCAAGAAGGCACCATCTCTGAAGGAGAGAACCTTGATCACATACCAAATTTTCTGTCACATTAATCTTGAACTTCCAGCCTCCAGAAGTGTGAGAAATAAATTTCTATTGTTTATATATTTCCAGTCTATGGAAATTTATAATTGCAGCCCAAATGGACCAAGAAAGCTGGCAGAGTTGGGGGAAATGCAGAAAAGAGAAATAAAATGGATTCTCACTAATGCCCAAGGAATTGCAATGAAGGATTGACCATGGGGTGAACATTCACACAATCAGAAGACTAGAAAAAGAACAATGGCTCAGGTGCTGTCATTCACACCTGTAATCCTAGCACTTTGGGAGGCCAAGGAAGGCAGACCACTTGAGGTCAGGAGTTTGAGACCAGCCTGGCCAACATGGTGAAACCCTGTCTCTACCAAAAATACAAAAATTAGCCAGGTGTGGTGGCAGCGCCTGTAATTCCAGCTACTCAGGAGAATTGCTTGAAACTGGGAGGTGGAGGCTGCAGTGAGCTGAGACTGTGCCACTGCACTCCAGCCTGGATGACAGAATGAGACTCTGTCAAAAAAAAAAAAAAAAAAAAAAAAAAGGAAAGGAAAGAAAAAGAACAATGGTTTTCTGAGTTACTTCCACTCCACTAACCTTCCTTTTTAACCAATCCTGTCAACAGAGGAAAAACTACCGCTCATCCGAAAGAGGGAAGAGGACTCCGGGAATAAAGACAAATTGCTATTTCTGAAAAGGTTTATTGTGAAAGCATGCAAAATTTACTAAATTATGGTGAAATGCATAGACAAGAAAACCTACACTGATGTGGATAAATTTTCTTAGGAAGTGGCAAATGTCAGATTATATCCTGCAGAATATCAAGGCTGAGAAATGGAAGAAAACTCAGGAAGTTCAAAATCAAGAGAACAGTTTAATGTAATGAAATAATAGGTTTGTTGTTCAGCAAGAATATATAAAAAAAAGTTATCCCAGAAGACAAGTATATTCAACCAAAAGAAATCACAAAAAGAAATAAAAGTTTCTTGAATTGATGGAAGACCTAAGTCAACAGATGAAAGCAGCCCAATGAATTTGAAGATATGACAAGATGCATTAATTTTGAAACCTTAAGGCACATGATACAAGTAATTATGATAGAAAGGCAACATTTTAAATTCTAAAATAATGAGCTAATATGCAAGTTCACATTGATAAACTCTGGATAGCGAATGGGAGTGGCTGAGGATTTTCACACTCAGATGTCTAGCCAGTGAGTTAATGGCTGAGGCAGTGTGGGCTAAGGAGATGTAGGTGTAAATGCTAATATTTAGAACTGCATGCTGAATCACACTGAATCAATTTTAACTGACAGTTCTTACTCCAGGATGTCAGCCAGAGATGGTGGGATTTTTTTAAGGGAAATCACCCAATACAACAGTTTTATAATTCACAAATTCTTATTACATTTTGGAGAATTCAGCACTTCAAAAACCACATATATAGGCTGGCAAGCCCTGTTTTGCCCACAACTACTGGGTAATGACCTCAGCTCTGCATATCTGCCTCCCCCAAGCCACACACATGTAAAAAATGCTCAGCTTCTTTCCACTTGATACACACTCCCCTGTGCATTTCCTCTTTTCTCCTGTTTTTGAAGGTTGTACCATATCTTCATGTATGTCCCATGATGTCACTCTTCTGTTGGCTTTCTCCGTTCCCCATCTGCCACCTAAATTTGTAAGATTAGGACCAGCAGAGACAGAAGAGGGAAGGTGATATGGCTAGGCTTTGTGTCCCCACCCAAATCTCATCTTGAATTGTAATCCCCATAATTCCCACATGTCAAGGAGAGACAAGGTGGGTAATTGGATTGTGGGGATGATTTCTGCCATGCTGTTCTTATGATAATGAGTCAGTTCTCATGAGATCTGATGGTTTTATAAGGGGCTCTTCCCCCTTCACTCAGCACTTCTCCTTCCTGCCACCTTGTGAAGAAGGTGCCTGCTTCCCCTTCCTCCATGATTGTAAGTTTCTGGAGTCCTCCTCAGCCATGTGGACTGTGAGTCAATTAAACCTCTTTCCTTTATAAATTACCCAGTGTTAGGCAGTTCTTTATAGCAGTATGAAAACAGACCAATACAGAAGGGAAGAAAGGTAAACCTAACATGTGTATCCCAGTGTCTATGTCAGGAAATGCATCAGAAGGGAGCAGAATTGCCATCCCTAATAGAGCCAAGGAATTTGGGGGTTGTTGCCTGGCAGCAGTCCTTGAAAGAGGAGAAGGTAAATGGGAAAGAACCTCAAATAGAGAGATCAGGATGGCAACAGCACCCCAGGTCTTAAAGAAAAAGAACCATGGAGTGATTCCCCTTGACAGGAATAGTGAAGGGAGTTTTACAATCAGCAAATTCTGGTGTTCGTGTTGTGATGTCTATGGTGCTCTCACTGTATTACTAACAAGAAT
This sequence comes from Homo sapiens, assembly GCF_000001405.40. Lineage (NCBI taxonomy): Eukaryota > Metazoa > Chordata > Mammalia > Primates > Hominidae > Homo > Homo sapiens. The sequence continues at coordinate 7,411,048 of NC_000024.10, read as the reverse complement.
GTAATGTCTACAGGTTTAACAAAGAAGGGACAAACAGAAACAAGGGGAATGACGAAGGCAGGCTTCTGAACACAGATAGTATGAAGGAGGAAGGAAGGGCGTAGTGGTTGCGCCAAGAGGCAGAATTTGGAGAGAACGTGTCTTGGAGAATATAAGTGCCACTGCTGCCAAAATCCGCTTCCAGATAGCCTTGGAAATATTGGGAAGGTCATGAAAAAGTCCCTGTTGCAATGGAATGACTTCAGATCTTTTATCTGGGTAGAAAAGGGAAACGTGACCTCAAGTGATTGAAGAGCTCTAAGCACTCAGGCAACACTTCCCAATGCCAATCTGATAAAATCCCCTCTTGGGACTCTGTAGATGGTTCAAAATAAAATCCCAAGTTTTTTGTAAGACACCCAAGACTTTACTCTTCAGTCTCCTCTCTTTATGTCATCTTGATTTTCCTCTATTGGGCATCCCCAACAGGAGAGATTTCCTCTCCATCACCCACAGAGGACAGGAAACACTTTCTGGAGAGAGTTTTGGCTTTCACATTTGGGGTGCTAGTAGCATCTGGTGGGTAGAGCCCAGGGATGCTGCTCAAAACCCTAGAAGGCACAGGCTAGTCCCTCAGGACAAAGGATTATCCAGCTGTGAATGGTGGTAATACCAAAGTGAATAAACCTTGAAGTATATCCAGGATGTTGTTTCTAATCTCAAACCAATTATATACCCTTCTTTTCTTCCCTACCCCTTTGTGTTCACCTGGCTAAATCCTAATTATTCATACTTTTTTGGTGGTTCTTTCAATTTGGATATCAGTAGCAAGAGTTGAGTTGACTGTGCTTCTTATTCACAATCACCATCACCTATGGCAAGACCCTTTCCTTGTTAATATGTTTCTTCCCAATTCACCCCCAGATCCCCACTCCTGGAAACTCACAGTCCCCTCATGAAATCTGTTTGACACGTGGCCCTTAACTATGCCTGTTGTTTGTAAAATTGATAGTGTTGCCTTATGAGTGTATGTTTTTCATTTAGAGAAATGGTATTGTGCTATAAATGGCATTCTGGTTCTTCACGTCACTAACTCAATAAAAATGTTTGCAAGACTCAATGATGTCTCAAACTCCTAACAAGTGATCTGCCTGCCTCGGCCTCCCAAAGTGCTGGGATTACAAGACTGAGCCACCACACCCGGCTGAGAATTCTTTTAATAGTGATCTCCAGTTTAGACCTTATAATAGTGTGAATACCAGGCACACTAAATAGTAGAAATATGAACTGGGGTCTTCCCAGAAACTTTCTGCTATATCTTCTTGTGAAGGCAAGAAAAGGCTTAGCTATAAAGAAGCAATAAAGCATATTCACTACAGTTTTTAGCAGTTATTTTGCAATAATGAAAATTCTGGTACATTGCCTCTTTCTTCTCACTGGTTTCAAAGAACATCTTTATTTCTGCCTTCATTTTGTTATTTACCTAGTAGTCAATCAGGAGCAGTTCGTGCCGTTTCCATGTAGTTGTGTGGTTTTGAGTGAGTTTCTTAATTCTGAATTCTAATTTGATTGCACTATGGTCTGAGAAACTGTTACGATTTCCACTCTTTTGCATTTGCTGAGGAGTGTTTTACTTCCAATTATGCGGTCAATTTTAGAATAAGTGCAATGTGATGCTGAGAATAATGTATATTCTGTTGATTTGGGGTGGAGTTCTGTCGATGTCTATTAGGTCTGCTTGGTCCAGAGCTGAGTTCAAGTCCTGGATATCCTTGTTAATTTTCTGTCTCATCGATCTGTCTAATAATCACAGTGGGGTATTCAAGTCTCCCATTATTATTGTGTGGAGTCTAAGTCTCTTTGTAGGTCTCTAAGAACTTGCTTTATGAATCTGGGTGCTCCTGTATTGGGTCCATATATATTTAGGATAGTTAGCTCTTCTTGTTGCATTGATCCCTTTACCAATATGTAATGCCTTTCTTTGTCTCTTTTGATGTTTGTTGTTTTAAAGTGTGTTTTATCAGAGACTAGACTAGGATTGCAACCCTTGTTTTTTTTTTTTCTGTCCATTTGCTTGGTAAATATTCCTCTATCCCTTTATTTTGAGCCTATGTGTGTCTTTGTACATGAGGTGAGTCTCCTGAATACAGCAAGCACACTGATGGGTCTTGACTCTATCCAATTTTCCAGTCTATGTCTCTTAATTGGGGCATTTAGCCCATTTACATTTAAGGTTAATATTGTTATTGGTGAATTTGATCCTGCCATTATGATGCTAGCTGGTTATTTTGTCTATTAGTTGATGCAGTTTCTTCACAACATCAATGGGCTTTACAATTTAGTATGTTTTTGCAGTGGCTGGTACCGGTTGTTCCTTTCCATGTTTATTGCTTCCATCAAGTGCTCTTGTAAAGCAGCTCTGATGGTGACAAAATCTCTCAGCATTTTCTTGTCGGTAAAGGATTTTATTTTCCCTTCATTTAGGATGCTTAGTTTGGCTGGATATGAAATTCCGCATTGAAACTTCTTTTCTTTAAGAATGTTGAATATTGGCCCCCACTGTCTTCTGGTTTCTAGGGTTTCTGCAGACAGATCTGCTGTTAGACTGATGGGCTTCCCCTTGTGGGTAACCTGACCTTTCTCTCTGGCTGCCCTTAACATTCTTTCCCTCATTCCAACCTTGGTAAATCTGATAATTATGTGTCTTTGGGTTGCTCTTCTCAAGGAGTATCTTTGTTATGTTCTCTGTATTTTCTGAATTTGAAGGTTGGCCTGTCTTGCTAGGTTGGGGAAGTTCTGCTTGAAATATTCTGAAGAGTGTTTTCCAAGTTTGTTCTATTCTTCCCGTCACTTTCAGGTACACCTATCAAATGTACGTTTGGTCTTTTCACATAGTCCCATATTTCTTGAAAGCTTTGTTCATTTCTTTTCACTGTAATCTTGCCTTTTCACTTTATTTCATTGAGTTGATCTTCAATCCTTGATATCCTTTCTTCTGCTTGATTGATTTGGCTATTGACACTTGTTTATGCTTCACAAAGTTCTCATGCTATGTTTTTCAGCTCCATCAGGTCATTTATGTTCTTCTGTAACTTGGTTATTCTAGTTAGCAATTTGTCTAACTTTTTTTCAAGGTTCTTAGCTTCCTTCCATTGAGTTAGAACATGCTCCTTTAGCTCAGAGTAGTTTGTTATTTTCCACTTTCTGAAGTCTACTTCTGTCAATTCATCAAAATCATTCTCTGTCCAGTTTTGTTCCCTTGCTGATGAAGAGCTATGATCCTTTGGAGGAGAAGAGGCATTCTGGTTTTTGGAGTTTTCAGCCTTTTTGTGCTGGTTTCTCCCCACTTTTGAGGATTTATCTACCTTTGGTCTCTGATGCCAGTGACCTTTGGATATGGTCTCTGAGTGGATGTCCTTTTTGTTGATGTTGCTACTATTCCTTTCCGTTTGTCAGTTTTCCTTCTAACAGTCAGGCTCCTCTGCTGCAGGTTTGCAGAGTCTGCTGGAGGTGCACTCCAGGCCTTGTTTGCCTGGGTATCACCAGGGGAGGCTACAGAACAGCAAGGATTGCTGCCTATTCCTTCCTCTGGAAGCCTTATCCCAGAGGGGCACCCACCAGATGCCAGCCACAGCTCTCCCGTATGAGATGTCTGTTGGCCCCTACTGTGAGGTGTCTCCCAGTCAGGATACTCGGAGTCTGGGACCCACTTGAGGAGGCAATCTGTCCCTTATCAGAGCTCAAATACTGTGCTGAGAGATCCACTGCTCTCTTCAGAGCTGACAGGCAGGGACAGTTAAGTCTATTGAAGCTTAGTCCACAACCACCCCTTCCCCCAGGTGCTCTGTCCCAGGGAGGTGGGGGTTTTATCTATAAGTCTCTGACTGGGACTGTTGCTTTCCTTTTTTTTTTTTTTTTTTTTAAGATGCCCTGCCCGAAGAGGAGGGAATCTAGAAAGGCAGTCTGGTCACAGTGGCTTTGCTGAGCTGCGGTGGGGTCTGCCCAGTTCAAACTTCCCCATGAATTTGTTCACACTTAGGAGTTAGAGGCCAACCTGGCCAACATAGTGAAATCCCATCTCTACTAAAAGAACAAAATAATTAGCCAGGCCTGGTGGCACATGACTGTAATCCCAGCTACTCAGGAGGCTGAGGCATGAGAATCGCTTGAACCTGGGAGGCTGTGGTTGCAGTGAGCCGAGATTGCACCACTGCATGGCAGCCTGTAGGACAGAGAAATACTCTGTCTCAAAATAAATAAATAAATAAATAAATAAATAAATAAATAAATAAATGTCAGATTTCACTTTTACCTGCTATGAGTCTCAATAGGGGAAGTCCTTTTATTCCATCTGTATTCAATCATTGTCCCAGTTTTCTGAAAACTAGGAATGTGCTTTTGTGGTTTAAAGAGTTAATTCATAGAAGAGCTTGCACATCTAGTGAAATAAGATGCCCTCTGTCTGCTCATCATATCCCATGGAGTGTTTTAATATTGCTGATATCACTAAAACGAGATCATATGAGAAGATTCAATGAGAAGACAAATTCATTTAACACATATTTATTAAGTGTCTATTATGCTTCAAGCATTGTGTTAGGCACTGGGGATACAAGGATGAACATAGCTATAAAGAGTCTATTTTCATGGAGCCCACAGGCAGCTGTGGGAAACAAACAGCAATCAAACAATATCACTATGAAATTCCAATTACAACCTGAGGTGAAGGTTTGAAAGTAAAGGAAAATAAATCCAGAAAGCAATTGACAATAGAACAAAATCTACCTGAGTATGATGAAGAAGGCTTTCATTAGCAAGTAACATTTGAGCTGACATTTAAAAGATGGGAAAGAGTGTTAATTAGGTGAAAAAAGGAAGGTGAAAGAGGAAGACTTCTGAACCAGCAGCTTTTAAACCTTCTTGTAACCACAAATATGTACAAATATTTTAAATTATAATACTCATGCAAACATATACATATATTAAATTTAAACAAAAAAAGACTCAATGATGTTGCTGAATATGCAACAATTGTGCTGCTTATTGGTGCATGGTAAGCATCTACCACATTTTATGAGCTTGTAGAGTGATGAGTGCCTGAGATGACCTTCATATTCTATGCCACATGGAATATCTGGAAGGTGTCCCTTCATCCATCTCTAGATGCATGAAATTATAAGGTGCACCTTATAATTTCTCTAGGATTTATGCCAAGAAGTTATATTGCTGGGTCATGAGATGTCCACTTATTTCACAGAAAGCTAAGGCCTGGCAAGAATGCTCTTCAGATAGCCATCCCAATATTCATCCTTATCAGGTGAGCAGAAAAATTCCCATCCTCTCATACTCTTGAGAACACTAGGTATATTCCAGTTTTACAGAGTTTGCAATATTTATAGGTATAAAAATGTCTCTCATTTGTTCCTTTAATTTGCAATTCTCTGATCTTAGCTGTTGATAGGGCTTACTCTTCTTTGCATTGACTATTCAGACCTATTGCCTTTTTTTGTTTGTTTCTATAGGGTTTCCCATCTTTTTTCCCATTACTTTGAAGAAGCCCCATCTATAGTCTAGATAATTTCAGTTTTTTTTTAAATTTGGATTTCACAAAGAACTGCTGTCATCCTCTCAACTGTTAAACTTTGTCCGTGATACCCTTCCCAGGATAGAACATTTTAATTTTGACATCTTCAAATTACTCGATGTTATACCTAAGAATTTGTGCTGTTAGAAACTTGCTTTAAAATCTTTGCCCACTTCTAAGGCTGGAGAGGCATTCCTCTTCATTTTCTTTTACAAATTTTATGACTTGATCTTTAATACTTTAGTCCTGAATCCATCTAGAGATCATCCTTCTAAGGAATGATTAGACAAAGACTCAGCTTTCTTTTCCTTCATATAATGAATTAGTTTCCACAATGCTATTCACTATTAATGTGTAATGCCCTTTTTCTCATATAGAGAAGGCAGTAACTTGGGGCATTCCATTCTGTTCTATTTTTATGTTTAGTATATACTAGTCTGTTTTCAAGCTGCTAATAAAAACATACCCAAGACTGGGTAATTTATAAAGGAAAAAGGTTTAATTGACTCACAGTTCCACAGGGTTGGGGAGGCCTCAGGAAACTTACAATCATGGAGGAAGGGGAAGCAAACACGTCATTCTTAACATGGTGTTAGGAGAGAGAGGTGCTGAGCAAAAGGGGAGAAAGCCCCTTATAAAACCATAAGATCTCGTAATAACTCACTCACTCACTATCACAAGAACAGCATGGGGGAAACTGCCCCCATGATTCAATTACCTCCCACTGCGTCCCTCTTACGACACATGGGAATTATAGGAACCAAAATTCAAGATGAGATCTGGGTGGGGACAGCCAAACCATATCAGCCACATTCACCACCAGGAGCGTAAATTCTCTGGCTACTCTGATGTTTCACTATACTGTAACATTCGTTATACAAATCCCTTTCCTTGAATTTTATTTTTCCTCTACAATTGACTTACTTCTGTTTAGGAGTATTTTTAAAAAGATCTTTTAGAATTAGTTTCGCATTGTTAAGCTTAGTTAAAAAATATTTTCAATGGTAGTGTATCTTACCGTATAGTAATTTGCAAGGGAATTCTCTTTTTCATTTTTGCTTGGGTTCTCACACAAAAAAAGCATGAGACAAAAGCTTCAGTGTAGGTAAGTTTTCGGAGGATGTGCTCCCCAGGAGCAAAGCAGGAGAATGAGAAAGAACACGGAATGAGGAAGATTCAGTATAAGAATGCAAAGGATGCTGGGTGCAGTGGCTCACACCTGTAATCTCAGCAGTTTTGGAGGCTGAGGCAGGTGGATCACTTGAGGTCAGGAGTTTGAGGCCAGCCTAGGCAACATGGTGAAAATCTGTCTCTACTAAAACACAGTAGTGCACATCTGTAGTAGCACCTACTCTGGAGGTTGAGGCAGGAGAACTGATTGAGTCAGGAAGGAGGAGGTCTCAGTGAGGCCGAGATCACACCACTGCATTCCAGCCTGGGCAACAGAGCAATACCTTCTCTCAAAAAATAAAAGTAAACAAGCAAAGCCTGAGTCATGTGCAAGCAGGACCTCCTGGGAAGCTTATTGATTACTGATTGCTGCCATCAATTCTATCTTTTTTCTTCCAAGCTTGGCTCTTGTCTTTTTTTTTCAAAGCCCTCTTTGCATCTCAGCCCTGTCCCATCTGCTCTATTAGGTGATGCTTGTTAGTTGTAGCACCTGCCCTTCCAAACCAGGAAGAGGAAGTCTAGAGACTTTAGTTTCTCCATTATTTCTTCCTACAAGTTCCCCTCAATCCTCAAATAATGTCCATAAAAATCGGGTGTTCCCATGAATGTCCAGAGATCCCCTCTTTTCTCCAATGTGACATCTTCTGTTTCCTGCAATCAAACACTCAACAATTTTTACTGAAGTCATTTCACTCTTCCATCCCCAAAGTGCACACAAGAGCTGTCCCAGTTTTCTTTCTTTTCATTCCCAGATGGCCCTGTTAGTGTTGAGTTTCTTGGCTAGACAACAGCAGATGTACTCTCACACAGACAACAGCCTTTTGTACTATTTTGTATTGTAGAATTGTGCAAAAAGAAAGAAAGTGAGAAAGGGAGAATGGGGGACAGAGTAGGAGAGATTGCAAGGAGGGAGGAAAGGAAGAGAGGGAAGGAAGAAGGGAGAGAAGGAGAAAGAAAGAAAAAAGAAACAAAAAAGAAAGACAAAGGAAGGAAGGAATGAAGAGAGAGAGGAAAAAAGAAACAGGAAGGGAAAGAAAAAGAAAGAAAAACCAGGAAGAAAGAAAAATAATAAAAAAAGAGAAAGGAACTGAGAGAAACAAAAGGAAAGAAAAGATAGAAAAGAACAATTGAAGAAAGGAAAGAATGGTGAAAGGAGGAAGGGAATGAGAGATGAAGGAAGAAGGAAAAATGGAGGAAGGAAACAATTTTTAAAAATAAATAATATAGGCATTATATAACTACCTATGACCTCGAAGCCCCTACTTCGATTTGTTCCACCTTTCCCTATCAAACCATTGGACACCTTACATGCATGGATGGATTTAACTCCTAAAATAGAAATGTAATATAACCGCTTAGTTTTTCAAATTCATTCAATTCATTATGGCATGCTCTCTCTCTTACACTAAATTTTTTTTTTAAAGGTAGAGATACAATTATTATCTTCTTCCAGCAATAGAGACTTTGGCAGTATATAGTTTAGGCACAGGCTCAGCCACAATGACATCATCTAAGATCAGAAAGAGAACAGAAAGAAAAGGAGCCACTGCAGAGTGCACTAAGTTAGGGCAGAGTCAACCCTACTACACCTGCAACCCACAGCCTCTCCTCTGTGGGACTCACTGCTTCCTCCCCTCCATCTCTCTAGTGCATGAACCACATCTCTAATAAACACACGACTCTTTCTCTCCTGCCCCACATCAGGGATCCCCAAGCCCTAGGCCACACATGGGTACCAGTCCCTGGCCTGTTAGAAACTGGGCTGCGGGCCGGGCGCGGTGGCTCACGCCTGTAATCCCAGCAAGTTGGGAGGCCGAGGCGGGTGGATCATGAGGTCAGGAGATCGAGACCATCCTGGCTAACAAGGTGAAACCCCGTCTCTACTAAAAATACAAAAAATTAGCCGGGCGCGGTGGCGGGCGCCTGTAGTCCCAGCTACTCGGGAGGCTGAGGCAGGAGAATGGCGTGAACCCGGGAAGCGGAGCTTGCAGTGAGCCGAGATTGCGCCACTGCAGTCCGCAGTCCGGCCTGGGCGACAGAGCGAGACTCCGTCTCAAAAAAAAAAAAAAAAAAAAAAAAAGAAAAGAAACTGGGCTGCATAATAGGAGGTGACTGTGGGTAAGCAAACAAAGCTTCATCTCCCCATTGCTTGCCTGAGCTCCCCATTACTGCCTGAGCTCTGCCTCCTGTCAGATCCGTGGCAGAATTAGATTCCCATAGGAACTCAAACCCTATTGTGAACTCCACATGCAAGGGATCTAGGTTGCACTCTCCTTATAAGAATCTAATGCCTGGTGATCTGTTACTGTCTCCCATCACCATCAGATAGGACTGTCTAGTTGCAGGAAAACAAGCTCAGGGCTCCCACTGATTCTACATGATGCTGTGTTACATAATTATTTCATAGGTAGTATGACATAATAATAGAAATACAGCCAGATGTAGTGGCTTATGCCTGTAATCTCAGCACTCTGGGAGGCTGAGGTGGGTGGATCACCTGAGATTGGGAGTCCGAGACCAGCCTGACCAACATGGAGAAACCCTGCCTCCACTGAAAATATAAAAAATTAGCCAGGCATGGTGGTGCATGCCTGTAATCCCAGCTACTTGGGAGACTGAGGCAGGAGAATCTCTTGAACCCAGGAGGTGAGGGTTGCATTGAACTGAGATCACACCACTGCACTCCAGCCTGGGCAACAAGAGTGAAAATCTGTCTCAAAAAGCAAAAAAAAAAAAAAAAAAAAAAGAAAAGAAAGAAAGAAAGAAAGTGCACAATAAATGCAATACACTTCAATCACCCCGAAACCCTCTCCCCCAACCTGGTCCATAAAAAAACTGTCTTCCACAAAAACAGTTTCTGGTGCCAAAAAGGTTGGGGACTGTTGCCTGACACCATCTCTTTGTCCTTCAATACTCCTCTTATCTCCTGCCTCCTTCTGTCAGAGGCATTTGAACAAGAGCAACTCCATTTTGAGTGGGGACTATAAAAATGAGGTTGAGTCTTGCTGCAGTCCCAGAAAATTAGGCATTCCTAGACTCTAGATATTTATGATTAAGAAAACAAACTTATGATGTTTACTGAAACAGACTCAGACTTGGGAGTGTCGAGGCATCCTGTTGTCTGGAGAACAAGGGCATTCCTAATTTTGCTTTAAATATAATAATATCAACTCTTGCAACATATAGTAATTAGGAAAATTAATGCTTTATCACAAACCCATGTAGCAGAGCACATCTCCCCAAGAGCTATTTTTATCTTATGTATACACAAGTGTTAGAAACAAGTGCTCAGTGCTACAAAGAAAAACCCCAGCAATTAGACAGAAAATTTCTCAGCAAGGCAACTTTATTTCTGCAGAACAGTGCTGCCTGTGCCTGATGCAATTGCAAGAGCAAATCGAACAAAGGAAGGGGCTTTTAACCCTAATGCAGTCCCTGCTTCTGTGTCCTTCCCCTATTGGCTGGGGTTGGACCTCACAATCAAAGTTGATCCCGGTTGGCTTAGACCTAAATTTTTTCTAAATAGGGTAAATGTGCAATTTGTGAGAAAAAGAGAAGAAGGGAGAAGACAGTAGGGTTGATTTACAACTTGTATAACTTATTCCCAGGAAGTTGAGTCTTTGAAGAGGAACTTAGTTGTCCCAACAATTTCCCACTTTTCTGTTTTGTAGTTCTTTCTCTGCAAATTTCTTTAACAAGATCTGGCTTTGTTGCTCTTCTTGATCATCTAGGAACAAGAGCATATCTGAGTAGCAAGGGGAAGCAGTAGGGGGAGTTTTTGTTAGAGCTGGTTCTATGAGTCTTTGGGTTAACCCGTGAATACAAGGTATGATACAGCAGCCCACAAGGATAAGTACATCTGTAACAATTGCCAAGGAGGTAAATATTGAGGTCATGAATCCCTTCCATTTTCCAAACCACCTTTCCATGAGGCCCTTAAAGGGGTCATCTATTCCAGAGTTTTTGGCTAATTCATTTGCTAGGGTGGTAAGGTCTTGTAAGGCTTTTGTGATTGTTCCATTGGAGGCTGTAAAATTATTTGGGATAAAAGTACAACATTGGACTCCAATTATGACACAGACCCCACTGTTTTCTGCCAACATCATTTCAAGGGCTATCTGATTTTCCCAGGCCATTTCATGTGTGGGGCCTAACTGTTCAGCGATTCCCTTGATGGCATCTCTGGTATAATTGATGAATTGCTGTTGATTATAGTGTATAGTTTTTCCAGTCTACATTTTTATTCATAGTTGGCCACCAGAACAAAACAGATTTTAACCCAGCGGCTATTTGATTTTGAGGTTTAAATTCATTTAGTACCCCTCATGGGACCCTGATGGCATCTATGTAAATATGGGGGTCAAATGACCGGTGAGAGGTCTCTCTCTTTTTCCAGGTTAGTTCTCTATTCTCTTGTGGATGAAATGCCAGTGTGAAAGGGATAGCCAATTGGATTAGAGCACAAGTGCTGCTCCAATTGCTTGGCAATGTACCAGTAAAGGTCCTCCACAATACCACCACACATCTCCTCTGGGGTGGACAAGGGCCAACTGATTAGTGAGCTCTTGAAAGGCTTGGAATCACTACACCCCATTAGATTTCCAAGGGATGTCAAATTTTCAACTTTTCCTGACAGACATGAGGTAAAATTGGCATTGGGACCTAGAAACTGAATGGACCTTGTGGGCTGACCCACAGGACTCTTGATTTGTGGAAACAGTAGTGAAAGGTTAGGGCATGCCTTGTTTCCCTAGGCTGTGGGGTGCTGAAAGAGAGCCACCATATTGACCATAGCTGGCTGGTTAGCTTATCCGAGTGGAAAAGGAAAAATTTGGGTTTCTAGCCTGCCCATTGCACAAGGGTAACAATTGCTTTTATTTAGGGTGTAAACAGAATATTTAATCTATTCCAGCCAGGCCTTTGGATCTTGGTACCTGGTTTCAATGGCTAGAGTTTAAGTTTTTGACTTCTACTACAACACTTTGGTTTTATCACTGGGCATGGAGAGAGAAATGGTTTGATTTGGTGGGCTTGGGGAGTAGGAGGCAGTAAGAAGTAGAGGAGGGTGAATGAATTGCATTTCAAAGTAGCCTATAGGATCCCACCCAGCAACATTGCTTCCCATGCCATAGAAGCATCTTAAAGTATGACTAGAATTGTGGGGACATTAATAGAGATTTGCACTGGGTTACATTGTCGGAGTTGGCAATTAGAGGGGGTAGTTCCTTTGGTAAAGAGGACGTAGGGCTTTAAAGTGGTGCAGAAACCTTGTGTGGAGGTCCAGTCCTGATACTCAGTAGTCCAGAGAACATTTTCCCAAGAAGTACAGGACAGTAATTGGCCCCAGAGAACTGTTTACTACAAGGGTTGGGGCAAATATATTTTTTCTGAAGGGGCTAGCTGTCTTTGGCTTTGGAGATCTCCATAGGGTATGACAAGATAGGCATGAAGAAAACTGTTTGGGGAAAGGGTGATCAGGTTATATTGATAATGAAATGTCCTTGGGCAACTAGAGGGAGAAGTAAGAGACAGATTAAACTCTTTTGAATGTTAATTTGGAAGGTGTTGGTCCTGGAGTGATGGTCCATGATTCCACAAGGATGGGGCCCTTTTTACCCATGTGTGATGAATCCATCCTTTTTCGGCCACTCAAATTGTTGTTTTGGTTGTTATGAGCAACAGGTAAGGTCCTTCCCAGGTTGGCTGGAGTTTTCCCTTTTTTCAACTTCTGATAAGGACGTGATCCCCAGGCTGGTGTTGGTGAACTAGGAATTCAAGTGTTGGAGGTTGTGCGAGGAGGCCTTGAGTCCTGAGGGAGGAAAGGGTGGAAGACAGACCAAATATATAGTTTTTAAGAAACTGATCTTTTATTTTGAATGTAGGAAGGTCAGTAGTGGAATTTAGATAAGGCAGCCCATAGAGCATTTCATAAAGGGACAGGCCAAGATCTTTTGGAGGAGCAGTTCAGATTCTTGATAAGGCAATGGGAAGCCATTTTGTCCATGGTAACTGGGTTTCTAAGATTAATTTGGTTAGGTGGTTTTTTAGAGTTTTATTAATCCTTTGTATCTTCCCTGCTGAGGGTGGGTGCTGGGGGTATGATATTCCCATTTTATTCCTAATGCTTGGGTTAGTCCTTTAACGATGTGTGCACTGAAGTGGGTCTCATTATCTGAATCAATGTTCTCTATTAGTCCAAACCTGGGTATGATATGTTCCAACAGTACTTTTACTACCTTACTGACTTCTATGCTTGGGAAGGGGATGGTTTCTACCCAGTGGGTGAGGCGGTCTGTTATTACTAGTAAATATTTGAGATGGCCTATTGGGGACATTTCAGTGTAGTCAAATTGGACGCTTTGGAGTGACCCTCACCCTGGGTTTCTTCCCCTGGAAGGCTGCCTTTTTAGAGCTTGCTTATTAGTTTTTCTGCACGCTATAAAACCATCTGCCACTTGCCTAGCTACAGTATATATCCCTATACACTAATAGGTTCTGAGGGGCGCATTGCACATAGCTTGAGGACCCCAGTGAGTTCTTTGGTGAAGCTGTGACAGTATTTCCCAAATGAGGGGTTTAGACAACATTTCTCTTCCATCTGGTAATACCCACTTTCCCTCTGAGCTTTCCTCATCTCCTCATTTTTTTAGTTTTTCTTGGTCTGCGTGGGAGAAGATGGAGATTGCAGCTGGAGGGGAAGATGGGGGTTAGATGGAAAATGGGTGACTCCTGGGAAGAGGCAGCTTGCTTAGCTATTTGATCTGCAAAGTTATTTCCCTGGCTTTTAAAAGATTAGTTCTTTGGGTGTCCTGGGACATGGACAACTGCAATTTCTTCTGGCAGCTGAAGATTTTCTAGTACCTGTGTAATTAACTCCTTGTGGATGACATGTTGGCCTGTACTATTGATGACGGCTCATTCAGTCCAGATTTTTCCAAAGGTATGGACTATTCTGAAGGCATACTTAGAGTCAGTGTAAATGGTTCCCTCTTCATTTGCAGATATTTTAAGCCTTGGCTTAATGCAAAGAGTTCACGTTTGGGCAGATCAGTTATTTGGCAGTATTCCTCACTCTACTTCTGTGAGGGTTTCCCACCAACTACACAATACCCATTGTGCCTTTTTGCTTCAATGCCTGGGAAGAGACATCTATAAAGAAGTGACACCCTGTTTGGAAGGCAGTCTTGCTTAAATCTAGTCTGACTCTGGTTTGGTAACTGATTGGATCTAAGCATTTATGTTCAGGTTCTTCTGGGTTTGTGTTTCCTGTTAGGAAAGCAGCAGGACTGAGTGAATGATCAGTGGTTAGTGTTACATCATCCCTCTCAATAGCTTCATATTTTAAAATTCTTGAGTCAGTGAGCCACCTGTCTGCCTTCTGATTAAGCATGGTTCTCATGTCCTTCGCCCACTTTTTGATGGGGTTGTTTGTTTTTTTCTTGTAAATTTGTTTGAGTTCGTTGTAGATTCTGGATATTAGCCGTTTCTCAGATGAGCAGGTTGTGAAAATTTTCTCCCATTTTGTAGGTTGCCTGTTCACTCTGATGGTAGTTTCTTTTGCTGTGCAGAAGCTCTTTAGTTTAATTAGATCCCATTTGTCAATTTTGGCTTTTGTTGCCATTGCTTTTGGTGTTTTAGACATGAAGTCCTTGCCCATGCCTATATCCTGAATGGCAAAGCCTAGGTTTTCTTCTAGGGTGTTTATGGTTTTAGGTCTAACGTTTAAGTCTTTAATCCATCTTGGATTGATTTTTGTATAAGGAAGGGATGCAGTTTCAGCTTTCTACATATGGCTAGCCAGTTTTCCCAGCACCATTTATTAAATAGGGAATCCTTTCCCCATTGCTTGTTTTTCTCAGGTTTGAAAAACACATGAAAAAATGCTCACCATCACTGGCCATAAGAGAAATGCAAATCAAAACCACAATGAGATACCATCTCACGCCAGTTAGCATGGCGATCATTAAAAAGTCAGGAAACACAGGAAACAACAGGTGCTGGAGAGGATGTGGAGAAATAGGAACACTTTGACACTGTTGGTGGGACTGTAAACTAGTTCAACCATTGTGGAAGTCAGTGTGGTGATTCCTCAGGGTCTAGAACTAGAAATACCATTTGACCCTGCCATCCCATTACTGGGTATATACCCAAAGGACTATAAATCATGCTGCTATAAAGACACATGCACACGTATGTTTATTGTGGCATTATTCACAATAGCAAAGAGTTGGAACCAACCCAAATGTCCGAAAATGATAGACTGCATTAAGAAAATGTGGCACATATACACCATGGAATACTATGCAGCCATAAAAAAGGAGGAGTTCATATCCTTTGTAGGGACATGGATGAAATTGGAAATCATCATTCTCAGTAAACTATCGCAAGGACAAAAAACCAAACACCGCATATTCTCACTCATAGGTGGGAATTGAACAATGAGAACACATGGACACAGGAAGGGGAACATCACACTCTGGGACCTGTTGTGGGGTGGGGGGAGGGGGGAGGGATAGCATTGGGAGATATACCTAATGCTAGATGATGAGTTAGTGGGTGCAGCACACCAGCATGGCACATGTATACATATGTAACTAACCTGCACATTGTGCACATGTACCCTAAAACTTAAAGTATAATAATAATAATAATAAAAGAATGGTTCTCACTTGGTGAGGGGTACTTATGATGAGATTTCCCCCAAAGGTTATTTTCCTGCTTTCTTCTGTTAGCAAGGCAATTGCTGCTATGGAATGGACACATCTAGGGACTCTGTAAACCCCTGAGGCAAGACTCTTCGTCGGTACTGTTGTTTTCGACTGGAGTGAAGGTCCTCCCACTCAAACGCAAACATGTCCCGGCTGTCCTCTGCCAAAGAGTAAGCTCAAAATGCATCCTCTAAATCTATCATCATGAACCATTGATGGCCGTGTGGGATTCTACTGACAATGGTGTCAGGATTGTGAACAACAGGTTGGGTGGTTTGAACTATTTGATTAATAGCCCGGAGGTCTTGCACTAGCCGGTATGACCCAACTGGCTTCCTTACGGCAATATTGGAGTGTTATAAGGAGACATACAGCATTCAAGGAGTCCGTCATGGACAAGGCTTTCAATTAGGCTTTCAATTAGGTTTCAAATAGGTTTAAAACCTATCCTGGCTTCCAAGGGAATAAAGTATTGTTTTCTTTTTACTACTTCCCTGGGAGTTATTAATTTGACATGGTTTGGGGGAAACTATAGTTTTCCTTGATTTCCTTCCTTTGACCATACATCAGGATGGATTAGGCTTTCTTCAGAAGTGGTGAGCAGGTTTAAGGAAGTAAGTTTTCCCTGATTAACATATGGGCCTATTTCTAACCCTAACATCAAGTCCCTTCCTAATAAGTTAGTTGCTGCTTCAGGAATCAGCAAGAACTTAATAGTGGGTGACTTATTATTATATTTGACTTCAGTTTACTCTAGAACTTTTGCCCTGAATCCTTCCCCTTTAACTCCTGAGACAGAAAGGTCCACTGCTGAGCATGCTAAACCTGATGGGAGAAAACATAGGGAGCAGCGAGCTGCTCCTGAATTGACTAAGAAAGTGACTATCTTTGATTTGGGTCCCATGTTAAATTTATCAAGGGCTCTTGGTGGGACTTGAGATGAAAGCTGTAGAGTGCCTGACCCCCTACTATTCTTCAAATGTCATGAATGGAAGGACTTTCTTTTCTCTCTCCCATTCAGGATATTCCTTTTTTAAATGACCTGGCTTTCCACACCTGAAACATTTGTTTTCCCTTCCCTATTTCCTGATTTTCAGATTTTATCCTTTTGCCTCCTGGGTAGGGTGTGCTAGCCGGGTACTTAGGTTTACAAGTTATACTTCCCTGGTCTCCCTGTTGAAGAGTTCCCTTTTGTAGGGTGGACAGCATAATTTCTGCCTTTTGCTTCTGCCTTTCCTCATCCCTCTGTACGTATACCTGTTGGGCCTCTCTTAAAAATTCCTCTATGGGATGGTCTTTTTGGTTTTCTATCATTTGTAATTTCTTTGTGATGTCCAGCCAACTATTGATGACAAAGTGGAGCTTTAGCATCACTTGTCCCAGTGGGTCCTCTGTGTCTAAACATGCATATTTTCTCATCTGTTTCTTAAGTCTGTTTAAGAATTCCAAAGGCCCTTCATCTTTCCCTTGTTGTACATTAAATGCTTGGGAGATATTTTGAGTTTGAGGAACTGATTCCCTAATCCTTTTAATTCTCATATCTCTGAGATCGCTCAAGTTCTCTCGGTGGGCTGCATGTTGTTATCCCGCTGAGGGTCCTGGGCCAGGAATTTATGCTCTCCTGCAAGGATATTTTGACCAGGAGGGTGTTCATGCTCCCAGATTGTCATAGTGGCCTTGTGGAACATGGTTCTTTCCTTTCCTGAGAATATCTAGGATAGACATTAATTCAGCTCAAGTGTACAATTGTGGCCCTAGAAATTGGTCAATTTGACTTTCAACTCCAAAAGATCATCTACCAGTGATCTGAGTTCCTTTTTAGATTCCTAATCTCTGAGCTTGTTAAGGGGGTATTTATGAAGCCAATATCACCCCCTCCTAGTGGTACTTCGTTTAAGAGAAAAAGGGTTGGAACAGACTTCTTTGAGGAAGAGGGGAAAGAAAAGTGTTGAAGATCCCTTTGGGATTGTTCCATTTCCTGTTGGAGCTTTTCTAAGGAGGGGGATGTTTGAGTGGCAATCCAGAAGGGGTGTGTAGTGTTAAGGTCCTTGGGGCAGGATTATATGGAGAAGGGACTGAGTGTTCAGCTTGAGGCAGAGGGTTAGGTGGGGAAAGGTGGTCTAAAGGATCCCATGCATCTTTAGATGTAGAATACAACTTAGCTAGGTTGACTTTTGGGGGCTTTGAGTTCAGCTTTGCTTTTTCATTCTTTAGGGGGTAGAGAAGGACAAGTCCCTGTCTCCATAATCTATCTCCTCTTGAGAAACTGGACTTTTATCATTTACATACTGGATTAGGAGTTGGCATATCCAGTCCCCGCTCAACCCTAACTGTGGCCAAAAGACCAAAGGTTTCAGGATGGGTTCCTTAGTCCAAATAAAACAGCAATATTTTATCATTTGCTGTCTTTTCTTGTGTTTGGTCCTTTCATTATCTTTCCGGTATCTTAACATAAGGCCTAGCGGACTGTCAGGGGGAATTTTATTGTCTGCTTGGTCTTTTGTAGTCCCTGTCTTACCTGTCATTTCCCATCCTGGAGGTTGGTGAGGCTCAATCTCTTGTATTAGAGATTTATTGCACTCCCATTCCTGGAGGCTAAACCTCCCATTTTGGTAGGGTTCAATCTCTTGTATTAAAGATTTCTTGCACTTTCGTATCCTGGAGGCTAAACGCCCCTTTTTCCCAATGGAGTTTTCTTACTCTCTGCTGAGCATTTGCTTCAACCTTATTGGCTGCTTTCCTTGTGGGAATTTTAGGTCCCTCTTAGCCTTGGCAGTTCAGTATAATCAACTGACAGGAAAATCGCGCCGGGGCCATAAAAACAAGGCAGTGGGATGCATCTTCCCATGAAATATAATCACTAGTCCTTCCTGAAAGAGAATGGGATCCCAGATGAGCCCCTAAGTTGTTAGAAACAAGTCCTCAGTGCCACAAAGAAAAACCAGAACTTAGACAGAAACTTTCTCAGCAAGGCAACTTTATTTCTGCAGAAAGGTGCTGCCTGTGCCTGATGCAATTGCAAGAGCACATCAAACAAAGGAATGAAGGGATTTTTAACCCTAAGGCAGTTCCTGCTTCTGTGTCCTTCCCCTGTTGGCTGGGGTTGGGCCACACAATCTAAGCTGATCCCACATTGGCTTAGACCTAAACTTTGTCCAGATAGGGTAAATGTGTGATTTGTGAGAAAAGGAGAAGGAGGAAGAAAAAGGGGGTAGGGTTTATTTACACCTTTTACAACTTATAACCAGGGAGTCTTTGAAGAGGAACTTAGTTGTCCCAACACAAGCATTTTACCTAAGGTGGACACTTTCCTCCTCTGTCAAGAACATCCTACTCTGTCTATGTAGTAGCTCTGTTCTTTCACCACTTTACTTTCTTAATAAACTTGCTTTTATTTTGCACTGCAGACTCACCCTGAAATCTTTCCTGTGCAACATCCAAGAACCCTCTCCTGGGGTCTGGATCACAACCCCTTTCCTGTAACACTTCCTCCTTGGCCCATGTTGATGGATCCCATGCTCACTCACTTCTGTATCTGCAGTTCTTTGCCCTGCCTGCAGGGATAGCATCATCACATAAATACCCTCAAACACGTGGGTTTTCTGGTGCATAATATAAGTTGAAAATAACCAATGGAAGATTGTATGAATATGTTTACTGTTGCTAATGAAAAATGTCAAACTCTGTAAAATGTTTGAAGAGATTTGTTCTGAGCCAGATATAAGTAATTAATAGCCTGTGACACAGCCCCAGGGGACCCTGAGAATATGTTCCCATGGTGGTTGGGGCACAGCTTGGTTTTATACATTGTAGGGAGACATTAGACATTAATCAAAACATATAACATGTACATTGGTCTGGTTTGGAAAGTCAGAACAACTAGAAGAGTGGGCAGCTTCCACATTACAGATAGATTGAAAGATTTCCTTATTGGCAGTTGGTTGAAAGAGTTATTATCTAAAGACCTGGAATCAATAGAAGGGAGTATGTGGGTTATTGTTGATGTAAAGAGTCAAACTCTGTCAAATATTTGAAGAGATGTATTCTGAGCCAAATATGAGCGACCATGGCCTGTGACACAGCTTTCAGTAGGACCTGAGAATATGTCCCCAAAGTGGATGGGGTGCAGCTTGGCTTTACATATTTTAGGAAGGCATGAGACATCAATCAAATACATTTGAGAAATGCAATGGTTTGGTCCAGAAAAGCAGGAAAATTCAAAGAGAGGAGTAGAGGATAGGGGCTTTCAGGCTATTGGTAAATGTGAACATTTTCTCATTGACAATTGGTTGAGTTTGTCTAAAGACCTGGGATTGATGGAAAGGAAATGTTCAGGTTGAGATAAAAGATTGTGAAGACCAAGGTTCTTTTGAAGTCTTATAGTGGCTGTCCTTAGAGACAATAGATAATGAATGTTTCCTATTCAGATCTTCAAAAACGTGCTAGAATCTACGTTACTCTCTTTAGAATTGGGAGGGTCTGGAAGAAAAAGATCTAGCTATGTAAATAGAGATTCTCTACAGATGCAAAATTTCCCCCACAAAGGATGGCTTTGTAGGGACATTTTAAAATATGGCAAAGAAACATGTTTTGGGGTAAAATAATTTGATTTTCTTCATCAGGTAATGTTATGCCAGAGTCAGACTGGAAAGTAAGTCATGACATATAGAGTTAAATAAATCTGATGAGAATTTATGATTTGTAGGCATCACTCCTCAGACCACTCAGATAGGAATTTGGGCAAGATAAGAAAAAATCAGAACTTTGTCTTC
This sequence comes from Homo sapiens, assembly GCF_000001405.40. Lineage (NCBI taxonomy): Eukaryota > Metazoa > Chordata > Mammalia > Primates > Hominidae > Homo > Homo sapiens. The sequence goes on along the minus strand of NC_000024.10, from coordinate 7,390,835 downwards.
ATTATGAGGAGTTGTGGAGCCCCAGGTTCCACAGATACAGATGAAGCCTCCAGGCAGCAGACTTAGGGAAGAATAGATTGTATATGTTTCTTTGTCTTTTTTTTTTTTTTTTTTTTTTTTTGAGATGGGGTTTCATTCTTGTTGCCCAGACTGGACTGCAATGGTGTGATCTCAGCTCACTGCAACCTCTGCCTCCTGGGTTCAACTGATTCTCCTGCCTCAGCCTCCCAAGCAGCTGGGATTAGGCATGTGCCACCATGCCTGGCTAATTTTTTGTATTTTTAGTAGAAACAGGTTTCACGATGTTGGTCAGGCTGGTCATGAACTCTTGGCCTCAAGTGATCCGTCTGCCTCGGCCTCCAAAAATGCTAGGGTTACAGACATGAGCCACCACGCATGGCCTAGATTGTAAATGTTTCTTGTCAGAGTTGATTCTCTCCTGGATTGAGAATCAGGCCTAGAAAAGGAATGGGACTCTCTTCAGAATGTAGATTTTTCCCACATGAGACAGCCTGGCAGGACTATTTCAAAATATGTTAAAGAAATATGATTTGGAGTGAAATGCTTTGATTTCCTTAGTGCTTGCTGTCTGTCATGGGGTGATGTGCCAGAGTCAGGATGTGCTAGAATCAGGCTGGAATGTGGTGTCTTACTGCTCTCAAGAGTCCACTTTGTCAGTCCTAATGAGAAGTGAAGCCGGCTGGACTTCCTGGGTCGAGTGGGGACTTGGAGAACTTTTCTGTCTAGCTAGAGGATTGTAAATGCACGAATCAGCACTCTGTAAAAACGCACCAATCAGCACTCTGTGTCTAGCTAAAGGATTGTAAATGCACCAATCAGCCCTCTGTAAAAATGCACTCATCAGTGCTCTGTGTCTAGCTAAAGGTTTGTAAATGCACCAATCAGCACTCTGTAAAAACACACCAATCAGTGCTCTGTGTTTGGCTAAAGGTTTGTAAATGCACCAATCAGCACTCCATAAAAATGTACCAATCAGTGCTTGGTGTCTAGTTAAAGGATTGTAAACGCTCCAATCTGCACTCTGTAAAATGAACCAATCACCCTCTGTAAAATGGATGAATCAGCACTCTGTAAAATGGACCAATCAGCTCTCTGTAAAATGGACCAAGCAGCAGGATGCGGGCAGAGCCAAATAAGGGAATAAAAGCTGGCCACCTGAGCCAGCAGCTTGGGTCCCATTCCATGCTGTGGAAGCTTTGTTCTTTCACTCTTCACAATAAATCTTGCTGCTGCTCACTCTTTGGGTCTGCACTAGCTTTAAGAGCTGTAACACTCACTGCGAAGGTCTGCAGCTCCAATCCTGAAGTCAAGCGAGACCATGAACCCACTGGAAGGAAGAAACTCTGGACATATTTGAACACTGGAAGGAACAAACTCCAGACATATCATCTTTAAGAACTGTAACACTCACCATGAGGGTCCGCGGCTTCATTCTTGAAGTCAGCAAGACCAAAAACACAACTGAAGGAACCAATTCCAGATACATTTTGGTGACCCAGATGGGACTATCAACTATCGCCAAGTGGTAACCACCATTGGACCCCTTTCACTTGCTATTCTGTCCTATTTTTCCTTAGAATCAGGGGCTAAATACCAGGCAGCTGTCAGCCAGTTAAAAGCAACTAGTGTGGACACTGGACTAAAGACATGAGTGTCAGGCTTTCTGGGAAAGAGCTCTCTAACAATCCCCAACTCTTCAGAGTTGGGAAAGTTGGTTTGCCTGGAACCAGCTTCTGCTTTTCCTGTACTTCTGGGCTGAGCCAAGAGTCGACAGAGAGGAAAGCCATTCAGCTCCTGGGTCCTGACGCAAGTTGGTTGACCCTGTGGCCATGAGTGGAACTCTCAAAGTCATGTCGCCCAAGCGACTTGCCCATCTATCCTATCTATCCTGATCCTTGCTTGCTGGGTCCTAATGCCTTTCAGACAAACTTCCTCTCTCCTCTCTTCTCTGAGGCTAGTCTCACTTCTAAAAACCTCTCCTGGTCTCTGGTGCTTTTCTAGTTTCTCCTGTAAGAATGATTTCTAGTATAAATTCCAGAACTCTGTTACCTTTTTAAAGCACCTGGGCTCACCAATCAGAAAGACATAATATTTGCCCAAAGCCCTGTTATAGAGGGGACTATCTGGAATTTTAGGATCCTCCTCAAACTAGCAGGCCTAACAAAAGCTATTCCTGAAGCTATGATAATGGTGAGCTTCAGAAATGATATCCTTCCTATTCAAGTGAGGACAAAAAGTGTCACTCTTCCAACCCTGGAGATGCTTCCCTCCCTCAGGGTATGGACCTCCACTTCATTTGTGGGGCATAACATCTTTATAGGACAGGGGTAAAGTCCAAATACTAACAAAAGAATGTTTAGGACTCTAACAGTTTTTCGAGAATGCGTTGGATAGGGCTACTAAATCCGATCTTCCTCGGTCCACCTTGTGGTCTAGGAGGAAAACTAGTGTTTCTTCTGCTGCATCGCTGAGTGCAACTATGCAGATCAGCAAGGTCCAGAGACTGTTGTGGGTTCTTGGGCAAGAGATGTTTCTGCTGCTATGTCGGTGAGTGCAACTTTTCCAATCAGCATGGTCCAGGGACCACTGTGGGTTCTTGTGTGGGTGGGCAAAACAAACCAAAACCACAGGCAGTTTTGTCTTTCAAATGGGAAACACTCAGGCATCAACAGGCTAACCTTTGAAATGCATCCTAAGCCATTGGGACCAAACTGACCTGCAAACCCTGAAAAAGAGGTGGCTCATTTTTTTTTTTTTTTTTTCTGCACCGTGGCTTGGCCCCAATATTCTCTCTCTGATGGGGAAAAATGGCCACCTGAAAGTACAAATCACAATACTATCTGGCAGCTTGACCTTTTCTGTAAGAGCAAAGGCAAATGGACTGAAATACCTTATGTCCAAGCTTTCTTTTCACTGAAGGAGAATACACAACTATGCAAAGCTTGCAATTTACATCCCACAGGAGGACCTCTCAGCTTACCCCCATATCCTAGCCTCCCTATAACTCCTCTTTCTATTAATGATAAGCCTCCTCTAATCTCCCCCACCCAGAAGGAAATAAGCAAAGAAATATCTAAAGGACCACAAAAACCTGGGCTATCGGTTATGTCCCCTTCAAGCTGTAGGGGGAGGGGAATTTGGCCCAACCCGGCTACATGTCCCCTTCTCCCTCTCTGATTTAAAGCAGATCAACGCAGACCTGGGGAAGTTTTCAGATGATCCTGATAGGTGCATGGATGTTCTACAGAGTCTAGGGCAAACCTTTGATCTCACTTGGAGAGATGTCATGCTATTGTTAGATCAAACCCTCGCCTTCAATGAAAAGAATGTGGCTTTAGCTGCAGCCTAAGAGTTTGGAGATACCTGGTATCTTAATCAAGTAAATGATAGAATGACAGCTGAAGAAAGGGACAAATTCCATACCAGTCAGCAAGCCATCCCCAGTATGGATCCCCACTGGGACCTTGACTCAGATCATGGGGACTGGAGTCATAAACATTTGCTGACTTGTGTTCTAGAAGCACTAAGGAGAATTAGGAAACATCCCATGAATTATTCAATCATGTCCACCATAACTCAGGGAAAGAAAGAAAATCCTTCTGTCTTCCTCAAGGGGCTATGGGAGGCCTAAGAAAATATACTCCCCTGTCACCAGACTCACTAGAGGGTCAACTGATCCTAAAACATAAGGTTATTACCCAATCACAGATATCAGGAGAAAGCTCCACAAGTGAGCCCTGTGCCCTGAACAAAATCTGGAGGCAACCTTGGTATTGTATAATAGGGACCAAAAGAAACAGGCCCAAGAGGAAAAGCGAGATGAAAGAAAGGCCACAGCCTTAGTCATGGCCCTCAAATAAACAAACTTGGTGGTTCAGAAAGGACAGAAAATGGAGCAGGCCAATCACCTGGTAGGGCTTGTTATCAGTGTGGCTTACAAGGACACTTTAAAAAAGACTGTCCAAAGAGAAACAAGCTGCCCCCTCATCCATGTCCACTATGCCAAGGCAATCACTGGAAGGCAGACTGCCCCAGAATGCATTGGTTCTCTGGGCCAGAAGCCCCCAACCAGATGATCCAACAACAGGACTGAGGGTGCCCAGGGCAAGTGCCAACACATATCACCACCCTCACTGAGCCCTGTGTATGTATAACCATTGAGGTCCAGGAAATTGACTTCCTCCTGGACACTGGCACAGCCTTCTCAGTGTTAATCTCCTGTCCTTGATGACTGTCCTCAAGGTCCATTACCATCTGAGGAATCCTGGGACAGCCTGTAACCAGGGATTTCTCCCACCTCCTCAGTTGGAATTGGGAGATTTTGCTCTTTTCACACGCCTTTCTTGTTATGCCTGAAAGTCCCACACTCTTATTAGGGAGGGATATATTAGCCAAAACTGGACTTATTATCCACATGAATATGGGGAACAAGTTACCCATTTGCTGTGCCCTACTTGAGGAGGGAATCAACCCTGAAGTCTGGGGATTGGAAGGACAATTTGGAAGGGCAAAAAATGCCCTCCCAGTCCAAATCAGGCTAAAAGTTCCCATCACTTTTCCTTATCAATGGCAATATGTCTTAAGGCCTGAAGCTCATAAAGGATTACAGGATATTGTTAAACATTTAAAAGCTCAAGGCTTAGTAAGGAAATGCAGCAGTCCTTGCAACACCCCAATTCTAGGAGTTCAAAAACCAAATGGTCAGTGGAGACTAGTGCAAGAGCTTAGACTCATCAATGAGGCAGTAATTCCTCTATATCCAGTTATACCCAACCCCTATACCCTCATCTCTCAAATACCAGAGGAAACAGAATGGTTCACTGTTCGGGACCTCCAAGATGCCTTTTTCTGTATTCCGCTGCACTCTCTCAGTTTCTCTTTGCCTTTGAGGATCCCACAGACCACATGTCCCAACTTACATGGATGGTCTTGCCCCAAAGGTTTAGGGATAGCCTTCATCTGTTTGGTCAGGCACTGGCCCACAGTCTAGGCCACTTCTCCAGTCCAGGCACTCTGATCCTTCAGTATGTGGATGATTTACTTCTGGCTACCAGTTCAGAAGCCTTATGCCAGCAGGCTACTGTAGAGCTCTTGAATTTTCTAGCTAATCAAGGGTACAAGGCATCTAGGTCAAAGGCCCAGCTTTGCCTACAGCAGATCAAATATCTAGGCCTAATCTTAGCTAGAGGGATGAGGGCCCTCAGCAAGGAATGAATACAGCCTATACTGGCTTATCCTCACCCTAAGATATTAAAACAGATGCAGGGGTTCCTTGGAATCACCAGCTTTTGCCGACTATGGATCCCCAGATACAGTGAGACAGTGAGATCAATTATGGGAAGAATAAGCATTTACATCACAGAAGCTGTCAAAGGCTACAAGTTGGGGCTTTATTTTACCCAGGGGAAATGGCTCACCAGCACAGCAGCCTCTTCCTCTTCTTTATTTATTTTATTTTATTTTATTTTTTGAGACAGGGTCTTGCTCTGTCACCTGCACTGGAGTGCAGTGGTGCAATCATAGCTCACTGCAGTCTCTACCTCTGGGGCTCAAGTAAACCTCCCACCTTAGTCTCCCAAGTAGCTGCAGCCACAGGTGCACACCATCACCACACTCAACTCATTTTTTTAATTTTTTGTAGAGACAGGGTCTTGCTATGTTGCCCAGGCTGGTCTTGAATTCCTGGGCTGAAGTGATCCTCCTGCCTTTGCCCGCCGAAGTGCTGGGATTACAGGTGTGAGCCACTGTGTCTGGCATAACAGAGTTTTCCATCTTCTTAATGTTGTTCTCTTTTTTTGTCTTGTTTTTTGAACCACACAGGAGACTTAATAATCCCTTACAGTCTTGAAAGGACAATGGTAGCCTGATATTTAAGGAGTTCTTTTCATCTGGCCAGCTACTGGCTTGTTTTTAAGTTGTCAAGAGAATGCCAGTGATAGTGGGGATATATCAAAAAGTAAATGTGTGACAAAGTCTGGAATGCCTGTAGGAAAAACTCTGAGGTACTAAAGAGTTCTGGAAAAAAGGAGATTTCCAGCAGCCTAAATGTAAATTTTAGCAAAAAATATATTCCATGAGCAGCTATCACTTAACCAATACAAAGCAGATGGGTAAACCTAGGAACAAAAATAATTCTCAATATAGAAATAAAATGCACTGTAATCTATTATTCAAAATAACTGGCAGAAGAGACAATAAACTACTTCAACACATCTACTAATTTACTTCCAAATGTTACCTAAATATGGCAGGTCCACAACTACTAGCGAATATTCACGTTACACACAGACTATGAAATAAAACACAAAATGGGCACTCATAAAAAATAAAATTAATGAAAGTTTTATTTGGCATTAATAACCTAACATGACATGGAAACCCTTTACTATGTGATTAGTTGCAAAGTTCAGAAGTTGAAGGAATAGGGAAAGATGGTTTATAACAATTGTTTAGTTTTTGTTTTGTTTTTTTTTTTTTTGAGACGGAATCTCACTCTTGTTGCCCAGGCTGAAGTGCAATGGCGCAATCTCAGCTCACTGCAGCCTCCACCTCCCGGTTCAAGTGATTCTCCTGCCTCAGCCTCCAGAGTAGCTGGGACTACAGGCGCATGCCACCATGCCCAGCTAATTTTTGTATTTTTAGTATACAGACAGGGTTTTGCCATGTTGGCCAGGCTGGTCTCTAACTCCTGACCTCAGGTGATCCACCTGCCTCAGGCTCCCAACGTTCTGGGATTACAGGCATGAGCCATGGTGCCCAGCCCTGATTATTTTATGTAGTATTGTTTGTAACATAAAAGTGGCAAACCATTTAATTCTCTTTTTCTTAGGCAACTAGATAAATTACAATGAACCTTATTCATAATGTCATACCATGACTGCAAATGAAAATACAGCATGATGGAGGAGAATCATCACTAATACAGTTTCACATGAGGAATGCAACACCTACGTTATCAGATACTGTTCTAGGTGCCAGGGTTTCAACAAACCCAACCAAAGACCAAATTCCTTGCCTGCCTGGAGTTTGCATTCTAGTGGGATGAGGAAGACAATAAACAAAGTAAGTAAGAAAAGGGTACAAACCAGTAGAAAGTGCTCAGTGATGGAGAGAAAAAATAAATAACTTTGGGAAAGTGGTAGACAGTGTTGGAAACAAGTTAAAATTTTAAATAAAGTGCTGGAGGAATTGAGAAGATATTTGAGCAAAGAGTTGAAGATGGTGAAGGTGAACGCTATGCTGGTATCTAGAAGAAAAGGGCCAGAGCAAAGGCCCCATGGCAGGAGCTTTTGGGATGTGTTCTAAATCAGCAGAGTCCAGGCATTGGCAGTGGATGCCCTGGAGAGAGACTCTGGGACATTATTGACAGCGGATAATGGAGATGCTCCTACACTGTTGTTATAATGTTATTTTGTCTTCTGAGTGCAACAGAGAGCTATTGGAGGTTTCTGATCAGAAAGGGAGCCCACAGCAATAATTACTGCCCCTATTTGAAGATGGATCCATTAATACGGAGAACAGCTTAAGAAACATGCCCAACACGATGGCCCCAGTGAGAAGCAGAGCCTGACCCACGTCTCTGACTCATGACTCAAGGCACTTTCAGGCACCCGAGGCTCTTACTTACAATTCACTACGCTGTTCATAGAAATATTTCCTGTTTGGCAAAAGATCAAATGTTGACTTGGCGACATTGACTAAAATCCTGAGATGAATTCAGAGAAAGGAAAGGCAACACATCAGAAAAAAATATCCTTCAAATGCCCACTGCAAGAGATCTTTATACCTCTTTTCTATTTCTTGTTGTGAAAGCTTAAAGGAAGATCACCATTCAAGTTCTGGTTCTTTGTTTTGCTCTCAGTTGATGGCTCCCAAATGGTCCCCAATCTTATTTTTCTAAGTAGTGGTTTTCAACCAGGGGAGATTTTACCTCCCAGGGGCTTTTGGCAATGTCTGGAGACATTTTTAGTTGTCATCACAGGAGTGGGGGCCAAGGGGGATACTGGTATCTAGGGAGTAGAGGCCAAAGATGTCTATCAGCATCCTATAATGCATAGAATGGCACCAACGACCAAGAATCACCCAACCTCAGATGTCAGCAGTGCTCAGTTAGAGAAACCCTTGGCTTTTGCATGACAAATTCTATCGTTCAACCTATCTAACCATCTATCATCCATCCCTATAAACCTATTGTCTATCATCTATCCCTGTCAACCTATTATCTAACGTCTATCTATTCATCTATATCTATCTACCTGTCATCTACCTATCTACACACACACACACACACACACACACACACACACACACCCCTCCTGGGCTCAAGCAATTTTCTTACCTCAGCCTCCTGAGTAGTTAGGACTACAGGCATGCACCACAACATCCAGCTAATTTTTTCATTTTTTTTGTAGAGACAGGCTCTCACTAGGTTGCCTAGCTCAAGTTTTATAAATTGTAATAGAACTGTGAAGCCCATATAACAATTACCAAAGTAGATACTGATAGAGAACTCTATACATGATGAAGTGGTTTTATTTCTGGGATATGTTTTAAGACTTATTTTCATTGTCACAAATGCTGTAACATTTACAATACGAAACATGACAATATTTACATATTACAATATTAAAAAATTTTAAAAATAATTAAGCCATTTAAAATATTGACTAATTCAAATTTGAAAAGCTAACCAAACCCCTCAAAAAGATATAAATTTTTTAAAAATGAGCCATCAAAATTTATTCTGCCTGTCTAGAAAGAGTATATTTACTACAATCTTTGCAGCCTAGAATAAGGATGATCTGTCATTACTTAAAGAACACATTTAAAGGCAGAAAGCTAAGCTAAACTTCGGTGAAGATAAAGGGACAGAAAATGTTAGGGAATAGCCAAATCAGGTGAAGAGTAAGAAAATAAAGGTATAGGATCAAGATATAGGCAAATGGTTAAAATGTTCTGTGAACCCTGAAGGAGTCATCGCTGAAGGTGGGTCCCAAGTCACTCAATGGGACTACATTGTCCAGGCTGGTCTCAAACGCCTGGGCTTAAGCAATCCTCCTGCCTTGGCCCCCGAAAGCACTGCACTTATAGGCATGCACCTCCGTGCCTAATTATAGCAGCTTTTTTGCACCCTGTGCAGCAGAGACTGTGTATCCTGCAATGCGGAATATCTGCCATGTGGTCCCTACAGATAATTGCCCATCCCTGGATTAGACCAAAGGAGAAAAGTCACAGCTTGTTTGGAAACAGAAGCGACAAAACTCAGACTTCTGAAAAGATATAAAGTTTTATTAAACAAACCTAGAATCATCAGTATTATTACATAAATTAGACAGCGGTAAAATTTTCCTAGGGCATATGTACAAATCACAGTGATTTCCATTGCGCAACAAACAAGATTAAAAATAGGCACTCCCCTCCCTGACCCCCCATGAGAAGGTGGGGTCACTCCGCGGGGTTCCCAGTTCTGGCTCGCCAAGGGGTGCACAAACCTGCCAAGGCACTCTGCCTGTGTGCACAGCATCCGGCAGCAGTCACAGGGGCCCCAGAAGCACGTTGGCAACAAGGTGAGGCTGCCCAGTGTTCAGCACAAAAAAAGAATTCAGCTGTGACAGCTGAGCAGAGCTCAACAGCCATCTCAGAGCACAAGGACTGTGGAAAAGCTTCAAATCCCACCTGCTAAAACACAGATGTAATGCTTTTTATATACAGAACAGACATGTCCACCATGGAAGATCAAACTAAGCCTCAACAGAACTTCCCAACACACAACAATTTACAGAGAAACATGACAGAGCATCCCCGTTATTAGGAAGGACTGTACTGCTGGGGGCAAGGCCAGATGGTTTGCAAAGCAAACTTGATTATGAAAAGGCTTGGTGAAAATACAGCCCACCTTCACCAAGACACACACACAGACAGGCACACACCCCAAAGTATCCAAATGCATTAAGACACCTGTTCATGTGCTTTTCTTCTTGCTTTTAAGTGAATCCCGTCCATTTAAGTTATACTAATTAGAAGGCGTTCTTGCCTCCATCAGCAAGAGAAAAACAGTGCATACGACTCCTCCAATGTGTGTAAAATGCATGCTAGGTAGATTGAAGGAAAAACGAGAGGAACCCGGGCACCCCATTTCAAATCTGTACAACTGGAGAAATCAAAGGCTGCAAGGACTGTGTAGACCTGATGCAAAGTTAACTGGCTGCAAAAATAAAACCCAAGCCAGTGCTGTCTTGCACTCTGTTCACTCAGCAGCTGGAGCAATGAATGATTGTGACATTCTGGTGGGGTATTTGTGCAGCCTGAGTTGCACCTGGCTACAGAGTGGAGCCTTGGAGTCTTTAACAGTGTTAAGCCATAGTTTCACAGTTACAATTGTCCAAAGAACTAGAGACCATGTAGGTCAAACACAGAAATGGCGAACAACACATCCCAAACCACTCAACTGTTTAGTTCCACTGGTGATTTTTTTTAATGGGTAGTGATTTCAAATGATTTGGTGTTTTTGTTGCTTTTGCTTTTTCTTCAAAGCAAACAAATAATTTGGTCTTTAAGTATGGACAGAAAGAAACAAAACGCTGAATGAGAAATTCAGTAACAAGTGATTTTGCAGTTGTTTGATGGGCATGGAGAGGGAGTGGGGCTGAACTGCATTTTGAGGGGATGAAGCGTGCAATCTTACCCCACTGCTGGGGGGTTTCTGTTTCTTATTCCATCATGCTGACAGCAAATATAATTTGCCCATCGCTGGCTATAGATATGTTTAGGCTAAGCAGGATTTAGACTTCTGTTGTGAAGGAATTAGAAGAATTCAGTAGATACAGTGTATACTATTCGGTTGTGACTTTATTTCCTTCCTGGCTTTATCAATGCCTATGAAAGCAGGCCGGTGGCATTTCCCTTCAGAAAAACAACCTCTTGTTACTTCTTGTTTTAACATTTCCATTTCCTAAAGATATTCTCTTACTGTATCCCAATTTAAGAAAATACTGCCAATTCATAAAATTACATGGAGCAAAGTAAATTTGTAATGTTTTTCTGATACAAATTTTGTGATTATCGTAAGAATTTTCCTCTACATTTTGCACAGTGATTGTTTCACGATCATCTATGGGAACATTTTGGAATGCCCACCCGGGTCAACTATTTTTATTTATTTTTTTTTTTATTTTTTGAGATGGGAGTCTCACTCCTTCGCCCTGGCTGGAGTGCAGTGGCGCAATCTTGGTTGACTGCAGCCTCCGCCTCCTGAGTTCCATATTCTCCTGCCTCAGCCTCCCGACTAACTGGGATTACAGGCATGTGCCACCACATCTGGCTAATTTTTGTGTTTTTAATAGAGACAAGGGTTTCATCATGTTGGCCAGGCTGGTCTCAAACTCCTGACCTCAGGTGATCTGCCTGCCTTGGCCTCCCAAAGTGCTGGGATTGCAGGCATGACACACTCTGCCAGGTAAACTCTTTTTAAATTATTCAGTGATTGTTCCATGTTTTAGCTCATTTTGATTAAATTAACCTCTATATGACATTGGGACATTTAAATTATGACCCCGCCATGGGCAGTTTCCAGGTAGCCTGTGTCTCTTCAAATGCTGAAATGTGTGTGACGGTCAAAAGTGGGTTTCACACCATCACACGTTCTTGGAATTGCTTCTAATTTCTCATTTGTTCTGTATGGCTGGAGGCTGATCATGATGTCTGTAAAGAACAAGGTCACCAATGTGCTTACATATTTCATTTTCCTGCGTATCAGTTCACAATTAAGGCATTTCAGGCTTTCCTGATGCTAATGCTCATCTGAGTATGAAATCCTGGATAATAAAACAGACAACATAAAATTACACATATGGACTCATGGGTTTATGTACTTTTTAAAGTGTGCTCAAGTGTTTCATTTATGGTTTTATTAATAATTTTTAAAGTAGAATGTTCAATAATATTATTACTATGATTTATTTTTATAGTCAGCAAACATGAGACTTCATGCTTTTCCTTCTAGCTCCACGTCGGTGCACAGTGTAACCTTTTTTTAAAAAAATATGGAATGCTGCATGAATCTGCGGATCTTCCTCGCGCAGGGGGCCATGCTAATCTCCTCTGTGTCATTCCAATTTTAGTATACCTGCTGCCGAAGTCAGCAACAGTTTCACCTTTTCACATTCACAGTAAAACTGATGGGAAACCGCACGCTAAATGTTTAGGCAGCGATGGCCCTCAACTGTTAATCCCAACAGGATGGTGAGTGAGAAGCACAGGCTGAAAATAGAGTTGTCTAAAACATTTCCACATTTCACCATCTGAACATCATTTTCCACTGAGTTATTAATTGTAAAGAGTTTATTCTGCTGAACCTACTAATTATTCTCACCTACTGAGTTGACCGTCACGTGAAGAAAAGGTCACTGATGAAACAGGGTGGCTATGTTCTGTTTCTGTAATTTCACTGTTTTAACATCTTTTTTTTTATATAGAGATGGGGTCTCGCTATGCTGCCCAGGCCAGTCTCAAACTCCCAGGCTCAAGCAATCTTTCTGCTTCAGCTTCCCCAAATCCTAGGATTATAAAAGTGAGCCCTACAACCAGCTTCACTGTCTTTTAAAGCCTTAAAGTGGACGTTCTCTTCATACCACCTTCAAAAGCAAAAAGCCATTGAGGTTTTTTGGGTTTTTTTTTTTTTTTGGAACAGGGTCTCACTCTGTCACCCAGGCTGGAGGGCAATGGTGTGATCTCAGATCACTGTGGCCTGGACCTCCTCAGGCTCAAGTGATCCTCTCATCTCAGCCTCCTGAGTAGCTGAGACTACAGGCATGCTCCACCATGCCCAGTTAACTTTTTTGTATTTTGTAGAGATGAGGTGTTTCCCAGACAGGTATTGAACTCCTGGGCTCAAGCAATCCTCTCGCCCCAGCCTCCCAAAGTGTTACTTAGGATTACAGGTGTGAGCCTGGCCCAGTGCCTTCTTATCTGTAGGCGAACTCTGGCCAAATCTGATTACATTTCCCTTGACATTTTGCTACATTTTTAAAAATGTATGGCTTTTCCTAACAGAAACTCTCCACAGTACTGATGTGTGATATGTGTGCAGAAGAGAGGTAGCAAGTGCTAGAGGGAGAAATCTCTTCCCAGATATTGCTTGGAAAAACAGCTCCAATAGCAAGGAATGCACCGGATGGCTCCAGAGAACCTGAGCTACTGAGTTTTGAGAAGAGATTAGGAGCCGAGGGGACCCAACTGGCTTCTCACTGCACACATTTTCACTAACACATGGCAAGGGTATACTCCACCCCTACTCTGGGTGCAGAAGGAGACAGATGAAGGCAGGGCATGAGAAAAAGAAGAGGTGGAGAAGAAAGTCTTGGAGGTCTGTGTGAGTGTACCCCTGTTGTCAACAAGGAATTCCTGGAAGGCTCCAAAACCTACTTCTTCAATGCACTCACCCCTGCCACAGCTGGGCCCTGTGACCTCATACACAGCAGATTTGAGCAATGCCATATTTGAGGTGAGTCACAGTAAAGAGAAAAGGTGCACCCTCTTCAGATGTCTACAGCCAAGTTTCCAGCCAGGATGGTCCAGAGAAAAAGCAAGGGAGAAAATGAGTTATGTACAAAGCCAGAACCCACACCCTCAGTTTATGCTGTGTCTAGCATGACCCACATTTAGCAAGAGATGTTTCAGAACAAACTCACTGTATGGCTGTCATGACATCAACACCCAGGGAAGAACATCTGGAGGTTGCTCCTTTCAGGTGTCTCCCCAGTCATTTCCCAAGAGAACACTCTCACGCCTGGATTATTCTGCATAAAACAGCATGACTTGTCGAGGAGAGTATTAGGCACACTCAACATGAATATTTAAAAGGAGAAATTAGGAACAGGTGAGGTTCCTTTTGACTCTGCCACCCACTCACATCCTATAGATCATCTGTTTCTCGCTTTTCCCAAAACTAAAGGTGAAATAAAATCTCTGCATGAAGGTCAGCCTTATAGATGAGCTGATCTTAAAAGTTATTTGTGAACTGTGGGAGGTGTATTTTTTCAAAAAATTTCAACTGGGACTTTAATAGGTAGCCATTTCCCTGTGCAGGATGAATTTTTTTTTTAATACAGGGTCTTGCTCTGTCGTCCAGGCTGGAGTGCACTGGCACAATCAGGGCTCACTGCAGCCTCAACCTCTTGAGCTCAAGCCATCCTCCTACCACAGCTCCTGAATAGCTGGGACTACAGGTATGCACAATGACACCCGACTAATTTTTATAATTTGTGTAAATTCCATACAGACAGGGTTTCACTATGTTGCCCAAGCTGGTCTCAAACTCCTGGCCTTAAGCAATCCTCCCAACCCAGGTTCCCAGAGTGCTGGGACTACAGGAACAAGCCACTGCACCTAGCCTAGATGAAATTTTTTAATGTGACACAGGTTTTCTGAATACAATGCATTGCTCCAACAACTTCAAAGTCATTGTGGATTCCTGCAATAAATTCGCTCCCACATCTTCTCCATGTTTCTTCTTTTAAAGTCTCAAGTTACTAGGTAGGAAGAACTAAAGATACTGAATGTAGACACCCCCGGCCCCCGGATATCTTATTCCCCCAAACTATACAATGCATATGAGATGATTTTTTTAAAAATGCATGCAACATACCCTTCAGATGTTGTCCCCAAGAGAAGGGAAGATAATTTGAGAAACTGAATTGAAAAATAAAAATAATAGGCTCTGTGAAGTATGTATATTTACATCACTGCACAATTTGTGCATCTGCCATAATGACTTCTATATATACACACACACACACACACACAATTTGTGGTTATAATCAAATAAGTCCAGTTCAAACTTATAAAGTCTATGAGAAAAACCAAGACAACACCAAAAGATAAGATAAAATCTATAACGAAACAATTTTCAAAACCTTCCTACAGTGTGGAATTCTGGTTGCTTAAATAATGCCAGTTCCATGAATTTCAACTGTGCTCTGATCTATTTCTATACACACAGGTACAGAGAAAACTGGAAATGTCCTCAGGCCGTGAAGAAGACATTTTGCTTCTGGTCTGCTTAGGTGCAGTTCTTTGTTCCAGGCAGATTCCAATCTTCCTGTTTCTAGCATGAAATAGGATGAAAGATTTTATGAGTTGCTCAGTAACTGGATGAATTTTGTAATCATCATCTCAATGATAATACAAAGGTTTCCTTTTCCTAAGTGATAACAAAGAAAACTTCCCTTTGTAATTCTTTTTGCAAGGATCCATAAGCGTGAATTCTAAAAGGAGAGGCCAATAAAAAGGAAATGAAGAATGTTTTAAAGGTAAGGGGTTTTTTTGGTTGGTTTGTTTGAGACGGAGTACAATGGTGCGATCTCAGCTCACTGCAACCTCCGCCTCCAACTTCAAGTGATTCTGCTACCTCAGCCTCCTGAGTAGCTGGGGTTACAGGTGCCCGCCACCACGCCTGGCTAATTTTTGTATTTTTTGTAGAGACAGGGTTTCACCATATTGGCCAGGCTCAGCTCCAACTCCTGACCTCAGATAATGTGCCCACCTCCGCCTCCCAAGGTGCTGGGATTACAGGTGTGAGCCACTGTGCCCAGCCCTGTTTTCATTTTTGAGATAAGTCTAACTCTGCTACCCAGGCCAGAGTACAGGCACAATCACAGCTCACTGCAGCTTCAACTTTCCTGGCCCAAGCGAGCCTCCCACCTCAGCCTCTAGAATAGCTGGGACAACAGGTATGTATCACCACGCCTGGCTTTTTTATTTTTTGTAGAGATGGGGTCTCACTATGTTGCCCAGGCTTGATCTCAAACTCCTGACCTCAAATGAGCCTCCCACCTTGGCCTCCCAAACTGCCAGTATTACAGGTAGGAGCCACCACACCCAGTCTAGAGAATGTCCTATCACATGCTTATCTATAAATAGATAAATTTATCCACCGATAGATGAACTACACAAGAAAAATGGGATCCCTAATTCAATATGCTTCCTCAGAGAACCTTACAGCAAGACAGAAAATATTTTATTACAAAGTAAAATAAAAGACATAATGAGTCAGTTCTCCTAAATTCCTCCTCCACATTCAGAAAGTCATGCAGGGTGATTCAAACAAAGATGAACAGCTAAAGCATAGTGTGGTTTTTTTTGTTTTGTTTTTTGAGGAGTCTCACTCTGTCGCCAGTCTGGAGTGCAGTGACGTGATCTCAGCTCACTGCAACCTCTGCCTCCTGGGTTCCAGTGATTGTCCTGCCTCAGCCTCCTGAGTAACTGAGACTACAGGCGTGTGCCACCATGCCCAGCTAATTTTTTGTATTTTAGTAGAGATGGGGTTTCACCACGTTGGCCAGGGAGGTCTCAATCTCCTGACCTCGTGATCTGCCCACCTCGGCTTCCCAAAGTGCTGGAATTACAGGTGTGAGCCACCACGCCCGGCCTAAAGCACAGTTTCTAAGCTGCCTTCAAGTGCAGTGATTCATCTGAACTGGTGTCTTATTCACAGGAGAAGATTTGGTTTCATGAAGAAATATCTTCCTGCATAAAATTCCTGAACCTAATCTCTCTTCACTGAAAATGCCAGAGATGTGTTTGGTGTACAAATTACTTTCGATAAAATTACTGAGATAGATTAAAATATTGCATATGGGCTGGGAGCAGTGGATCACACCTGTAATCCCAGCACTTTTGGAGGCCAAGGCGGGTGGATTACCTGAGCTCAGTAGTTTGACACCAGCCTGGCCAACATGGTGAAACCTCTACTAAAAATACAAAAACTTAGCCTAGTGTGGTGGCATGCACCTGTAAACCCAGCTACTCAGGAGGCTGAGGCAGGAGAATTACTTGAACCCAGGAGGCAGAGGTTGCAGTGAGCCAAGATAGTGCCACCGCACTCCAGCCTGGGCAACAGAGCATGACTTTGTCTCAAAATAAATAAATAAATAAATAAATAAAATAAAATTCATTAAACAGAGCCCTGACCACTAGCCAAACTATATTAAAAATGATTCCAGCCGGGCACAGTGGCTCGCGCCTGTAATCCCAGCACTTTGGGAGGCCAAGGTGGGCACATCATGAGGTAAAGGGATCGAGACCAGCCTGACCAACATGGTAAAACCACATCTCTATTAAAAGTACAAAAATTGGCTGGATGTTGTCGCATGCACCTGTAGTCCCAGCTACTAGGGAGGCTGAAGCAGGAGAATCACTTAAACCCAGGAGGCGGAAGTTGCAGTAAGCCGGGATCATGCCACTGCACTCCAGCCTAGCAACAGAGTGAGACTCTGTCTCAAAAAAATAAACAAATAAATAAAAATAATTCCACTTAGCAAAAATAATACTTACACATGCTTTCTCAAGAATACATACCAGACTGAGAAAGGCTAGACCTATGTGTGAAATCTTTTTCAGGGACAGTAGGCGCAGCTGTGGACAGTATGTGATGAAACTATTCACTGATTATGAGACAAAAATCCATCAAGTGGAAGCTTTTTTGTTCTTTAAGTAAATTTTATACTTGAAGGGGTCTCTATTAGAGGAAATATATGGTTTATCAACTAGGGGTCCTTCATACTAAAGCAAACCAGTCTTTACATCATTTTAAAGATTTCCTGGAGAGACACAATTTGTAAGATGTTATGGGCGAGTCAGCTAAAATGTAAGCCCCAGAGTAGAGCAGAGAAACAAAAAGAAGAAAATAATTCAGGAACATCTTATGATTTTTAAAACCCATAAATGGATTTCATGAGCATTTATGAAGTTGGTAAAGTTACACGCTCTCATGTTAATACAAACCAGTCACCACTGTAAAAGCGTTCATCACACACTGAGAGGTGAAGCCATGCCATGGAGACAGGTTATCTTCTCAAGGTCATAGCCACCTATTCCTCTATCATTTTTTTGTCTATTATTTCAATTTGTATCCAGCTTTCCTCTTGGTACATCCATGTAAACACCTGCCCAGGACGGAGGGCTCTCATTCACCACATCTTTCAGCAGGTTGGTTCCTCTCCCCAGTCAGCAATTGTGACATTTGGTGTCTGTTTCAAATGGTGTTGGTTAGCCAATTGGCTTTCCACTTCACATAACTGGGAAGACTACAGGAAAATTACGGGAATGGAAATCAAAATGGGAAAAACAAGCTATGTCAATGAATAGACACATCACTGACAATATTTTGCTTCACTGGTATTTTTCTTGCTTGTATGTTACAGGAAGAAAGATCTAGTTAAAGACATACAAGCAGTTTAGAATTGAGGAGTAACTGGAAGCTCTTTTTAATCCATACTTAAAAACTAATAATAGATTTTCAAAGGCCCAAGGAAATAACACAGTCAAAACCCTTTTTCAGTCATCTTAAATTAAAGCTTAGCAAATTTCATGAGGGATTCTTAAAAAATATTATTATTATTTAAAAAATAATAGACCTTCAAAGCCTCAAAGAAGTAATAGATTCAAAATCCTTTTCCAGTCATCTTCAATTAAGCTTAGCAAATTTCCTATGAGAGTACATTTCTTCTTACTATTTTTTAACCAAAGGAGACCTAAAGAGACTTTTGAAAATACTTGTTAATTATTCTAAGGAAGCTCGCCTGTCACTCAGGGTTTCTGGAACAGGGACCAGAGGAGCTGGGCTTCTCAAATATTCAGGCACACACAAACCACCTAGCGGTCTTATTTAGACATGCAGGTTCTGATGCATGTCCAGAACATGGATTCTGGACTGTCATGCTGATGCCTCTGACGGTCACATGCTGACCTGGAGTCACAGGCATGGCTGTGTTTATTTCGCTGACCCTTGCAATCAATCCCCTTTGCTCTGCTTCACTGCTGACCTCTGTGTGCATGAGGTTAAGCCCCACTCAGTAAACACAGCCTCACCTGGATGTGGGGTCCAGCCAGTCTCATTTTCTGGTAATTACTAAATATAAAGATATACCTTCCAGATGTGAGCTCGTCCTCAGAAATTCTTGAAGATTTCTAAATCCTTCTGCGGCACGGGCGCGGCTGTGTCCCAGTCATGCTCAGGGTAAGTTTCGAAGTTGGAAGTGTCGCCGTTGCCAGCTATCGTGGGCACGATGGGAGGCTATAAGACATGGCCGAAGCATGAAGGCATGGTTAGAAAGGAACAGGACGCTTGGACGCTGCATATACCCCTTTACTTCTGTCACTGTACCTAAAAATGAAAATGATTTGCAAAACACTAAAGCTGTCTTCCCTTCATTTATGAATGAAGCAATCTTGGAATTAAAATATTGTGAATGAGGCTGCGTGTGGGGACTCACACCTGTAATCCCAACACTTTAAGAAGCTGAGGCAGGAGGGTCGCTTGAGCCTCAGAAGTTTGAGACCAGCCTGGGGAACACAGGGAGTCCCCTGTCTCTACAAAAAATACAAACAATTAGCTGGGTGTGGTGCTGTGTGCCTGCAGTCTCAACTACTCAGTAGGCTGAGGTGGGAAGACTGCTTGAGCTCAGGAGGTCGATACTCCAAGTGAGCCATGATTGCACCACTGCATTCCAGCCTGAAAGACAGAGTGAGATCCTGTCTCAAAATATATACATATATAGTATTAAGTAAGCTATGGTACAGTCATGTGATGGAATACAATGCAGTATTTTTAAAATGAGGAAGCTGGCTGGGTGCAGGGGCTCATGCCTGTAATCCCAGCACTATGGGAGGCCAAGGTGGGCGGATCGCCTGAGGTCAGGAGTTCAAGTCCAGCCCGGCCAACATCTCGAAACCCTGTCTCTACCGAGAATACAAAAATTAGCCAGGCATAGTGGTGGGTGCCTGTAATCCTGGCTACTCGGGAGGCTGAGGCAGGAGAATCGCTTCAACCTGGGAGGTGGAGGTTGCAGTGAGCCGAGATCGCACCACTGAACTCCAGCCTGGGCAACGGAGTGAGACTTTGTCTTAAAAAAAAAAAAAGGAAGCTAGCCAGGTATGTAGACAGGTCCAAATTATACAGTCAAGTGCAAAAAGCAAGACTATAATCATGTACATACTATGCTACTCTAGATTTGTATAAATGAGTGGCAAAAATAAGAATGCATGTATCCATGTGGGTTTTTATTAGCACAAAGAAACTCTAGAAGGATACACAGAAAAATTTAATAAAAGATGATTACCTACAGGTGGCTTGGAGGGGGTAAAAGGGAGACTTGGCAATATATCTGTTTTAATATTGACTTGGTTTTTGACCAATGTGGATAGATAAAATGTATTCAAACTGTTTTTTTAATGCAATTTAATACAATAAAGTATCTGAAAAGGTAAAACTTTGTGAACAAAATGATGTGCATCAGCCCAGTCCCGGTGGTTCACGCTTGTAATCTCAATACTTTGGGAGGCCAAGGAGAGTGGATTATTTGAGGTCATGAGTTAGAGACCAGCCTGGCCAACATAGTGAAACCCCGTCTCTTCTACAACTACAAAAAAAATCAGCTGGGTGTGGTGATGCACACCTGTAATCCCAGCTACTTGGGAGGCTAAGGCAGAAGAATCGCTTGAACCCAGGAGATGGGGGTTGCAGTGAGTTGAGATTGCTCCACTGCACTCCAGCCTGAGCAACAAAGTGAGACTCCATTTCAAAAAAAAAAAAAAGAAGTGTATCATCCCAGGCTCCAGCCCCAGACTCTGGTCTGAGCTGAGGACAGGTAATTAGCACTTCTAAGCATTCTCCATTCTTTTGACTCTGAAGTGCAAAGGTGAAAACACTACCATTGAACACTCCCATCAGTAACATATGCAATTCAGAGTGTTCACAAAAGCCAAGATATGGAATCAACCTAAGTGTCCACCAATGGATGAATGGATAAAGAAAGTGTGGTCCATACACACAATGAAAAACTATTCAGCCGTAAAATGGAATGAAATCCTGTCATTTACAGCACCATGAATGGAATGGGAGATCATTATGTTAAGTAAACTAAGCCAGGCTGGGTGTGGCAGCTCATGCCTGTAATCCCATCACTTTGGGAGACCAAGGCTCATGGATCACTTGAGGTTAGGAGATTGAGACCAGCCTGGCCAACATGGTGAAACCCCATCTCTAGTAAAAATACAAAAATTAGCTGGGCATCTGTAATCCCAGCTACTCAAGAGGCTAAGGCATGAGAATTGCTTGAAGCCAGGAGGTGGAGGCTTCTGTGAGCAAGATCGTGCCACTGCACTCCAGCCTGGGCAACAGAGCAAGATGCTGTTCCAGAAAACAAAAATAAATAATAAATAAACTAAGCCAGATGCAGAATGAGAAATACAAGCACATTCCCACTCACATGTGGAAACTAAAAATGTTGATCTCATGAAGCTTGACAGTAGCATGATGATTACCAGAGAGTGGGAAGGGTGTGTGGGTGGGGGATGAAGGGGAAATGAAGAACTCTTGGCTAAAGGGTACAAACATTCCGATAGATAAAAGGAGTAAGTTCTATTGTTTGACAGCATAGTTGGGTGGCCAGAGTTAACAACAATATATTGTATATTTCAGAATAGCTAGAAGATTTGCAATATTCCCAACCCATAAAAATGATAATGTTTGAGCTGATGGATACCCTGATTACCCTTAGTTGATCATTACACATTTTTTTTTCTTTTTTTTTTTCCTCCTTTTTTTTAGATGGAGTCTCGCTCTGTCGCCCAGGCTGGAGTGCAGTGGTGCGATCTCGGCTCACTGCAATTTCTAATGCCTGCATTCAAGGAATTCTCTGCCTCAGCCTCCAGAGTAGCTGGGATTACCGGCAAGTGCCACCATGCTCAGCTAACTTTTGTATTTTTAGTAGACACGGTGTTTCACCATCGTGGCCCAGCTGGTCTTGAACTCCTGACCTCATGATCCACCAGCCTTAGCCTCCGAAAGTGCTGGGATTACAGGCATAAACCAGTATGCCTGGCCAATACATTCTATGCGTGTGTTGAAATATAACATGTACACCCATAAATATGTACATGTGATAGTTACACCGCTTAGCACCTATGTAACCTTCAACACACTGCTTAACTTCTCTGAGGCAGTCTACTCATTTATAAAATGGACAAGTATTACATATTGATAAAAATGCCAGATTTTTTTTTTTTTGAGATGGAGTTTCGCTCTGTCACCAGGCTGGAGTGCAGTGGCATGATTTCAGCTCACTGCAATCTCCGCATGCCAGGTTCAAGCAATTCTCCTTCCTCAGCCTCTGAAGTAGCTGGGACTACCAGCATGCACCACCATGCCCAGTTAATTTTTGTATTTTTAGTAAAGACAGGGTTTCACCATGTTGGCCAGGATGGTCTCGATCTCTTGACCTCGTGATCTGCCCACTGAGGCCTCCCAAAGTGCTCGGATTGCAGGGTTTTTTTTTTTTTGAAATGGGATCCAGCTCTGTCACCCAGGCTGCAGGGCAGTGGCACAATCTCAGCTCACTGCAACCTCCACCTCCTGGAATCAAGCAATTCTCATGCCTCAGCCTCCCAAGAAGTTGGGAAGACAAGCATATGCCACCACGCCTGGCTAATTTTTGTATTTTTTGTAGAGATGGGATTTCACCGTATTGCTCAGGCCAGTCTTAAACGCCTGAGTTCGAGCGATCTGCCCAAACTGGCCTCTAAAAGTGCTGCAATTATAGGAGTGAGCCACTGCACCCAGACAAAAAGCCAGATGTGCAGTTTGGCCAGAAATGTTCCAAAGAATATTCTCCATGTAACACCACCATCACTGAACAATGACCATGGTGCTAGACACTTGCTTATCTCTGTAATCCTGCTTACCACTTTCCACTAGAGGACGGAGTGGGATTCACTAGTCACAGAGCTAGTCAGGAATC
The DNA here is from genome assembly GCF_000001405.40 of Homo sapiens. Classification (NCBI taxonomy): domain Eukaryota; kingdom Metazoa; phylum Chordata; class Mammalia; order Primates; family Hominidae; genus Homo; species Homo sapiens. Next base: position 7,368,018 of record NC_000024.10, on the reverse strand, counting down.
GGGCCAGGTCTTCTAAAATCTGCTTCAAAATCTGGGACGAGTGTCCATCCATGGATGAATGGACAAAGAACATATGATATATGACTGGGTGTGGTGGCTCCTGCCTGTCATCCCTGCACTTTGGGAGGCCGAGGTGGGAGAATCACCTGAGACCAGGAGTTCTGATCAGCCTGGGCAACATAGTGAGAACCCAATTCTTAAAAAAAAAAAAAAAAAAAAAAAAAAAAACAAGAAAGAAAAAATGTGGTATACAGACATGGTAGAATACTACTAGGCTATAAAAAAAAAATAATGAAATCTTGTTATTTGCAGCAACATGGATGGAACTGAGATCCATCTGTTAAGTAAAATAAGCCAGACACGGAAAGACAAACATTACATGTCCTCACCCCTTTGTGGGAGCTAATTAGCACTAAGACACTCATAGAGTGGGTAACTTGGCTTATGAATGGTTTTAGACAAAGAGTTGTGTTACATAAATTAATTACGTCTCAGTCATCAATAAAGAAGTCCCAGGATTCAGAGGCAGTCCCTGTTCATAAGAGAGCTCGGGCATACTGAGTCACCCACTGATACATGTTGTACCTTCAGTTTTCTCTGCGGAACAGCTTTCCAGTCCACGGAGCGGAACCACCGATGGTGTTTCACATCATTCGCCCCGTTCTTCAAAAGAAACAACACGTGTCGTCAGTGTACAGAATTTTGACAGGGCAGGAAAGAAAAATACCCCAAATAATCTCTACATTATTTTAGTATTGAAACAAACAGACCAAGTTTGCTGCATTTTGGAGAACTGTGCCTGGAGGGTGAGCTGCCAGGAAAACCTGCAAGCAAAGCTGTTAGTGTTTTGTTTGCCCTTTTTTGTCGCAGAAACAAATCCAGTCATTCTGCTCCTGTGCAATGCATTTGCATTCCGGACCAAAGACGAAAAAGGTAAATACGATTCCATCTCTCGACATAAAATTGAACAGCCAGTAATTTCTCAGTTTGTCTCCTGTTTTCGTCTTGGCAAACTTACTCAGTATTTTACAGACATAGAAACTAGGGTTCAAGGAATGATGTTAATTTGCTCCGTAGGACCCAGCAAGTAAATAACAAGACTGGGAACTCAAACCAAGGATGTCCAGTTTAAGAGACCTTAGGAACGACATTGCACGGCCTGGCAATTAACAAGGTGTGTTCAAGTCGGCCTGCTTCATGCTCAAGGGTAGCACCAGGCATCGCTGGCTCACACTGTGGCCATCACGACCTCTGAAATCCCTCCCAAGTGCTCATCCGTAAACCTCACTCTGCTTCCTTTTCTTATACTTGTAGTGATGTTGTTATCAATTAAATGTGGGACAGCAGAAGAAATAAACATAGGTTCCATGAAACAGAAGCCAGTACGTCTGAATTTAACACGTCTATCAGTTAGCATTTCTGTAGTTTTAAATTTCTTATCCTTAAAGAGGACTACGTCCACGACCATATCTTCAAAAGGAAAAAATGTGAATTTTTTCTATTGTTTTCCCATCCAGTTGTTTTGACAATTTTTTCTTTTCTTATTGCAAAACAGGTATTTTTGATCTATAGCTAAGTCAGGCAACAAACAATAGCTGTTGAGTTTTACCTTCAGCAATGTTGTGAATAAGAATAAATAAGAGTGCTGTGAATAAAATAAGAGAATAAAATAAAACAAATTTTATCCATCAGATAAAATTCTAATTTGGATACTAAAGGATGTGTGTGTCTGGGTATACTCACATGCATACATAGTAATAAATAAACACATATATTTATATACACACATATATATTTATATATACACATACTTATATACATACACACATTAATATATACATATATATGTATATATACACATACTTATACGCATACACACGTTAATATATACACATATTTATATATACAAATACTTATATGCATACACACGTTAATATACACACATACATTTATATATACACATACTTATATGCATATACGTTAATATATATTTATATACACACATACTTATATACATACACACAATATATACACATACATATATATACACGTACGTATACACATACACACATTTATACACACATATATTTATATGTACACATACTTTTAAATACACATAAGTATCCAGATTAGTGTGTGTGTGTCTGTGTGTGTATGATATAAAGTGTGTGGGGGGTGGGAGCAGTGGCTTACATTTATATTCCAGCATCTTGGGAGGCCAAGGCAGGAGGAATGCTTGAGCCCAGGGCTTTGAGACTAACCTGGGCAACAAAGTCAAACTTGGTCTTTACAAAAAAATATTAAAAATTAGCCAGGCATGGTGGTGCATGCATGTAGTCCCAGCTATTTGGGAGGCTGAGGTGGGAGGATCACTTGAGTCTAGGAGGTCAAGGCTGCAATAAGCTGTGATTACACAACTGCACTCCAGCCTGGGTGACAGAGCAAAACCTTGTCTTAAAAAAAAAAAAATTGTGTGTATGTGTGTGTCTACAGTCATGGGCCTCAAAATGACACTTCAGTCAACAATGAATGTCATATACAGTGGTGCTCCCATAAGATTATAATGATCTTAAAAACTCCTATCCCCTAGTGACATCATGGCCATTGTAACCACAGGACAGAGCATCCCTCCTGTTGCACTGCCAGCCATGTAACAGTCTAACACATACGTTATCTGCAGCACCTAATAGTTGGTAATGATAATAAATGACTGTTTCCCTGATTTATCTATTTACTATATTCTACTTTTTTTTTTTTTTTTTAAGATGCAGTTTCACTCTGTCATCCAGGCTGGAGTGCAATGGTGCCATCTTGTCTCACTGCAACCTACCCCTACTGAGTTCAAGCAATTCTCGTGCCTCAGCCTTCCAAGTAGCTGGGTTACAGGCATGCACCACCATGCCTAGCTAATTTTTGTATACTGTGTAGAGATGGGGCCTCACTGTTGTTGCCCGCACTGGTCTGGAACTCCCAGGATCAAACAATCCTTCTGCCTTGGTCTCCTGAAGTCCTGGGATTACAGGTGTGAGCCACCACACCCAGCATCACACTCTATATCTATATACCTATATTATATATCTATATATTTATACTTATATATGTATTATATTATATATTATTTATATTTCTAAATATAAATATATTTACATATTTCTAAGTATGTACACTATATATTTACAGATATATAAATATCAATATATAAATATATAAATTATAGATAAATCTACATAATGCACAATTATCTATTTATATAATGTACAGATAAATCTATATTCCTTTGACCTTTTTGTATGCTGGTTTGTATATGAAGTGTATAAAAATGCAATGTGTGTATATAGATACCCTTTATATTATATAAATTTGTACATAAATCTTTATATATTTTATATTATATAAACTGTGTGTGCCAATGCATGTGTGTGCCAATGCATGTGTGTGTATAAGGCCAGCTAATAAGAAAAAAAGGAACCCATGTGCTGGGGATTTTCCAAGCGTGAAGGGCACAGCAGTGTCCACAGAGGATGAAGGAGTTCAACAGAATGGATGTGGTTCCAGAAGAAGGAAAGACCCCCGAATGAAGAGGTGCCAAGCAAAGAGAGAAGAACAGCAAAGTGCGATGGTGACAGGTGCAGGAGCAGGTGGCTCATCCATCCTGGCTGCATGAGGGTTCACGGGGAAGACCAGGGAATCATCAGACGAGAAGCACGGGATGAGAGGAAACTGGAAGGTTCTGAGCACCAAGGTAAGGCCCTGGGGCTCCAGGCTATGAATGACAAACCCTTCTTCCTGGTGAAGAGGAGGGATTGATGGGGAAAGTCAGGGGCATGGGGGGCAGTGCCACAGGCAGCTATGAGAACTGCCTGAGAACGCAGTGATACACTCAGGCTGAGGATGGTGGTGCAGCTGAGAGTGGAGAGGTGGTCACAGCAGGAAAAAGAGTAAGTGTTCCTCTCCAGGGCACCCATAGACCAGGGGCTACCCACGAACATAACTCCATTTTAATCAGACAGTTTCTTCCCTGAGAACCTAAAAATAGAATGTAGGCTCCAGCAATCCCACTACTGGGCATACACCCAAAGAAAAAACAAATGAGTATATAATTTGCACCCTCTGCTCATTGCAGCAGGTCAAAACAGCCAAGATGTAGAATCAAGCTACATGCCCATCAAGAGGGCAGTGGATAAAGAAAATGTGTGATATATATACCATGGAGTACTATTCAGCAAGTAAAAGGAGGGAAATGTCATTTTCAAAACATGCATCAACCTGGAGGATAGTATATTAAGAGAAATAAGGTCCAGGCATGGTAACTCAAACCTGTAATCCCAACACTTTGGGAGGCTGACACAGATAGATCACTTGAGGTCACGAGTTCATGACCAGCCTGGCCATCATGGTGAAACCCCATCCGTACCCAAAAATACAAAAATTAGCCAGGTGTGGTGCAATCCCAGCTACTCGGGAGGTTGATGAAGGAGAAACTTTTGAGGTTGCAGTGAGCGGAGATGGCACCACTGTACTCCAGCCTGGGCAATAGAGCACGATTGTCTCACACACACAAAAAAAGAGAGAGAGAAATAAGCCAGGCACAGATAGACAAACACAGTCTGACCTCACTTACATGGGAAATCTAAAAAAGTTGAACTCATAGAAGCAGAGAGTAGAATGGTGGATACCAGGGGCTGGGAAGGGGCTGAGATGGGAAGTCATTGGTCAAAAGAGACAAAGTGAGAGAGACAGGAGGAACAAGTTCAGTCAGTGGCTTGCACAGCTCGGTGACTATAACTAATGATGTATTCTCAAGAATCTCTGGAAGAGTAGATCTTGCTGGGTGCAGTGGCTCTTGCCTGTAATCCTAGCACTTTGTGAGGCTGAGGCGGGCAGATCACTTGAGCCCAGAAGTTGAGACCAGCCTGGGCAACACATTGAGACCCCATCTCTTAAAAACAAATTTTTTCAAAGGGTAGATTAGATCTTAAGTTTTCTCACCACAAATAAATGGTAATTATGTGAGGTAATGCATATGTTAATGAACTCAATGGACCCATTGTTCAATGGGTACATATTTCAAAACTTCATGTTGTACATGATAAATAAAACCATTTTTATTTGTTAATTTTACAAAAATAAAATAAAATAAAGTCAGTGTTTTCTTAAGTCTTTTTCAGTTTATCTCCCTATCAGGAAGATTTAACTAGACTTTAAGACCTAGCTTGAGAGTTTGTGAGCTTTTCCCCAATTCCTTTGATGAGGAAACTTGTTCTTTCCCCTTGGAGGGTACCTATGATGGTCACTACACCACTCCCAGCATATTCTAGATATGGGTCATCTGTGATTCCCTGCAGTCCCAGCAAGAGACCCAGCTCTTTTCTAAATGGCTATGGCATTAAAACAGGACCCGTCCAATCTTATGTAGAGCCGTGGCACAGATGAGTCCACAACGTGCAACCTGGCTGGACAGGCTCCTTGGAGACCTGAAGGTATCGGTTGCTGTCTGCAAATAATGTAAAGGACAGAGGCTTGACTACTGTTATACGGTAAACAATGTCCCTCAAAAAGATATGTGCACATCCTATCCCCCAGTGCCTGTGAATATCACTTTATTTGGAAATAGGGTCTTTGCAGATGTAACTAAATTAAGGTTCTTGAGATGACATCATCCTGGAGAAGGGTGGGCCCTAAATCCAGTGACAGGTGTCCTCATAAGAGACAGAGGAGGAGACACAAACATAGAGGAGAAGGCCATGTGAAAATGGAGGTGGAGACTGCAGTGGTGTGGCCACAAGCCCAGGGATGCCTGGAGCCCCCAGGAGCTGGGAGAGGCAGGAAGGATCCCCCCCTAGAGCCTCTAGCAGGAAGTGGAAACAATTATTACACACTGGGCAGTGGCCCCCAAAATATATGCCGATGTCCTGACTCCCAATACCCGGCAATGGAACCCTACATGCAAATAGGGTCTTTGTAAATGTAATTAAGGGAAGGCTCTTAAGATGAGATAATCCTGCATTAGGGTGGCCCTAAACCCAATGACAGGTGTACTTCTGAAAGAGAGAACAGAAGACACAGACCCAGAGGAGAAGACTACATGGAGGCGGAGGCAGAGACTAGAGCGATGTGTCCACAAGCCCAGGGATGCTTGGAGCCCCTAGGAGCTGGGAGAGGCAGAAAAGATCCTCCCCTAGAGCCTCTGGAGGCCTGAGACATCTGATCTCAGAGTCCTGGCTTCCACGACTGGGACTGGGAGAGCATCAATTCCTGTTGTTTAAGCCCCTTGTTTGTGGTCAGTTGTTATGGCAGTCACTGGAGACTCCCAAACCACACAGAGGATGCAACATGAACCCAAGAGAGCCAAGTGGTTCAACCCTCACACCCTGGTGTACTGTGTCTCTCCAAAATGGAATTTACAGGGTCAAGATGAATATGGAAGACCCTCCATGTATAAGTCCCTCCAATGTTGTCCAGAGCTAGAAACAGCCTACAAAACGTCCATGAATTCTATCAAATCCAGGAATGCCAAAACATGCATATAAAGTATGATACTATTTATGGAACAGTCTGTTTGTCAATTATGTATTTGCCTCCATATAAAAAGTTTGTAGAAATCATACCTGATGTATAACTTCTAAAATCATTGCTTACATACATAAAAATATATACACCCATGTCCATGGCAGAACTACTGACAAAAGCCAAAGGTGGAAACAGCCCAGGCGTCCATCCATGGATGAATGGATAAATAAAATGAGGTCCACCTACACAAATAGAATACTATACAGCCATGAAAAGGAAGGAAGCTCTGACACAGGCTACAGCATGGATGAAACTTGAAAACATCATGCTCAGTGAAACAGGCCAGACACAAAACATTATATTTTGTACAATTCCATTTTTAGCAGAGCCCAGAATATAGAACTGTACAGAGAAGTCAGTAGATTAGTGGTTGCTTAGGGTAGGGGTCCCCAACCCCAGGGCCATGGACCAGTAGCAGTCCATGGCCTGTTAGGAACCAAAATGGGCCGCACAGCAGGAGGTGAGCAGCAGGTAAATGAGTGAAGCATCATCTGTATTTACAGCCACACCCCATCATTTGCATTACCACCTGAGTTGCACTTCCTGTCAGATCAGCCATATTAGATTCACATAGGTGCACACACCCTACTGTCAACTGCACATGTAAGGGATCTAGGCTGCATGCTCCGTGGAAAAACTGTCTTCCACGAAACTAGTCCCTGGTGCCAAAAAGGTTGGGGACCACTGGCTTAGGGCAAGAGAGGAGGAAAGATTAGAACAGTGATAGCTGAAGGGTGCAGGGTTTCTTTTTTTGAGCTGATGAAGACGTTCTAAGATTAACCACGGGGGTGGCTGTACAAATTGTGTGTATACTAAAAGCCACCAAATTGCACATTTTAGATGGGTAAATGGCATGGCGTGTGAATTCACTCTCCGTAAAACTGTTTAAAAAATAAAATAAATAAGTAAACAAAATAATGAGTAATAACTTATACATTGTTATTGCTCTATTAACCTTGCTTGAGGGGAGGGGAGATCTCCCAACATTTTGGGAGATCGACGGGCATGGATCACTTGACGTCAGGAGTTTGAGACCAGCATGGCCAACACGGTGAAACCCCACCTCTATTTAAAAAAACAAAAAACAAAAAAATTTAGCTGGGCATGCTGATGCTTGCCTGTGGTCCCAGCTACTTGGCAGGCTGAGACACAAGAACTGCTTGGACCCAGGAGGTGAAGGTTGCAAGGAGCTGAGACGGCACCACTACACTCCAGCCTGGGCAATAGAGTGAGACTTTGTCTCAAAACAAAACAAAAGAAAAACAGCAAGCTGCTTCAATTAGGATGGGTAGTTGGAGATGATGTTGAAGACTTCCAGGAGATTAGGTGAGTTCTAAGATGCATATTTATGGAATTAGAAATGATCATGTGTGTCTGTGTGTACACATATAATACACAGAGTATATTATGTATAATAATGTACATAATATGATATAATAATGTAATATATTGAAGTCCCCCAAAACAATCCAATACCTATGACTGCGGTGTTAGCATCTAGGCTCTCCCGGCATAAACTATGCCCCAGGGTAAGTAGCATGAACTTGGACTGGGCCACTCCTGGGTTCTGTGACAGACTGTGGAGTCTCTGCAAGCCAGGTGATGTCCCAGGGTCAGACTCCACCATCTAGACTGTGAATCTCACCAGTCCCATCTGATTGGAAATTTAACCAGAGTTTCCTGCTGCCGTGCTTTCTGAATTACGATGAGATGCTTGTCACACTTCACTGCTTCTCTGTCTCAAAGTAAAACTCAGAGACCATCTGTCTCCCTCCCGCTATGGCTGGGATTTTGTAACCATTGTAAGGCTGAAAAGCTTTGAGCAGGGTGGGGAATATAAACATCACTGAAAAGTTAGAAACCTTTACAGTACTTACCGAGTTTCTCCTTCATTATTTTGACATGCTGCCCCTTGCCAAAAAATATCAAGGTCATCAAACACTATACCCCCAAAACAGTCCCAAATAAATATGGGGCTTTTTTTCCCCCATAAAATTTACACCACTGTCTGCCCCGTTAGTGCACACACTAAACTTAAAGCTGACTGGAGTGGGATTATAAGACAGATTTCTTTATGCTTTTATATTTTAAATAAACTTGTTTCCTTATAATTCCAATCCAATCAGCTTTTAAGTATGTGTGCTAATGGGGCAGGCAGTGATGTGTAAATTATAGGGGAAGAAAAGCCCCATGTTTATTTCAGGATGTTTTGGGGATCACCTTAATAAACTTCATTTTGTTGTTGCTGTTGTTGTTGTTGTTTGTTTTGTTTTGTTTTTGGTGTCTGGCATGTAAGAAGATGACCTTGTTTTTTGTTTTTTGTTTTTCTTTTGGTGTTTGGCATCTAAGAAAATGAAGATTTATTTAAAATACAGGGCACAGTGGCTTGTAATCCCAGCTATGCAGGAGGCTAAAGTGGCAAGATCAGTTGAGACCAAGAGTTTGAGACTAGTGTGGGTAACATAGTAAGACCCCCCATCTCTACAAAAAATCAAAACATTAGTGAGGCATGGTGGTGTGTGCCTGTAGCACCAGCTACTCAGGAGGCTGAGGTGGGAGCATCATTTGAGCCCAGGACATTGGGGCAGAAGTGAGCTATGATTGTGCCACTGCACTCCAGCCTGGGTGACAGAGCAAGACACCCGTCTCTTTAAAAGAAAAAGTAAAATACCAAAGCAAATTCTTGTAAAGAAGTTTAGAAAGCAAACACTGTGGATGAGAAGGGGCCCCCCAAAAAGGCAAAGCCCTATAAAGGAACAATAGAAGTGTCCACAGCTGTAGATGGGTCCCTTGACCTCAGGATAGCAATATATCTGCTGGCACTCTTTTGATTCACCACAGCCAAAATTCTAAACTTTATTTATGATCCTGGCAACAGCTGGCTCCTCTCAGATCCAGATACTTTCAGGCATGAAAAAAACACTGGCAGATAAAACTTCTGCTGAATTGGCAACAAGTCCTAAAGCTTTGTTTTGGTGTTTTTCTTTCTTTTAAATGACATTTATTTCTATAAGGAATGTCAATTCTGACGTGCCATATGCCCAGGCAATATGTTTACCCAGTCAAATGTTAAAAGCTGCAGGAATCAGCATGACTTTAAAAGCTGAGAATCAAAATTCTAGCATCACAGACAACCAGGGACAGCAATTTGCATAAGAAATGTGTCACTAAGGCCAGGTGCAGTGGCTCACACTTGGGGAGGAAAAGGCAGGAGGATCACTTGAGCCAAGGAGTTCAAGATCAGCCTGGGTAATGCAACAAGACTCCCCCATACCCATCTCTACCAAAAAAAGGAAAGATATGAGTCATTGAGGCCTTGCTTCTCAGCCAATTTGATAAGATTTAACAAATAATGGAAAGAAGTGAAGTTTTACTCAACTACCACTGTTTCTGCTCTTGGTGGACCCGCACTGGGTATGTAAAGAGACAGGGGCATCGTGGGGAACACTGGAAGGGGCTGGGAGCTGCATAAAGACAGGCACGTTAGATTAGACAATACCAAGATGGTCACTGATGGTTCCCTACTCTCTAGGAGAGAAAGAAGGAAAAGTGGCAAGAAACTGGACTTTGATTACGCTTCTGGTTTGTTCTACTTCTGTAATTCCCTTTTTTGTTGTTGTTTCCACAGAACATTGGAAACCTCTCTGTGTGTTTGTGTGTGTGTGTGTGTGTGTATATATATACATACATGTATATACACACACACACACACACACACATTTTTTTTAATTTTAATTTTTTTTTTTGAGACAGGGTTTCACTGTTTTATCCAGTCTGGAGTGTAGTGGTGCAATCACAGGTCACTGCAGCCTCGACTTCCTGGGCTCAAGCAGTCCTCCCACCTCAGCCTCTCTAGTAGCTGGACCACAGGCACCTGCTACCATGTCCGGCTAATTTTTTAATTTTTTGTAGACATGGGGTGTTGCTACATTGTCCAGGCTGACCTCAAACTATTGGCCCCAACAAATCCTCCTACCTCAGGCTCCTGAAGTGCTGGGATTACAGGCATAAGCACCTCACCTGGCCAAACTCGATCATAAAAGTGCTTTGCCATCCACTTGATATAATGTCACTCAACTCAGATGGGATTTGGAGCCTGAGAGAGAGGTTCTATATAATCCTTTCTATTTCCTTCCAGAGCAGTTGGCTTCTGAGGTGCTGTTTCCCCTGACACCTCCCTGTCTTACCATTCACTGGACAGGGTGTCCCTTCTAGGTGACTCATTGTTAAGCAGAGCCTCATTTTCTTGCTAAAGTCTTTTAAAGCCTGCCTCTATTGTGTCAAACACAACACATGCTCAAGCCAATAAAACACGACCTTATCTTCTGTTCAGACAAAGGACCTCTGGTTAGGATGGGGTGCATTCGCCACCAAGAAACTCAACTCAACGTAGCCAGTAGCCCCACAAGGGCATATTCAAAACAACCTGGTCCATCACCCTGAAATAAGTCTTCTCTGAACTGAACTACCACCAGCTCATAAGAAAATAGGCCATGGAAAAGAAAAGTTTAATTCTCAACTAGATGCATTTAGCTCTAGTTTGTGCCCAGGGGGCTGGTGCGCCCACCAACTCATCTGAAAAATACAGTGAAACAAACAGAAATCAGTGCTTATTACAGTAAAAATGGCTACCAGTTGACCAGATTGGGTAAGGTAGCCAGAAAACCAAAAGCATTCTTATATTTAACAAAATGTCTTTTCTCCCTACTGCCACAACCTTAATAAAATGTGCATCCAAAGTTGCCAATATCTAGCAACTATATAAATGTTCTTAAAGCAACATGCTCAGAACTGAAAATGCTGATGTTAAAAAGGACTTAGAGGCTGAGCATAATTTAAGCAGGAGAGAAAGGATAAAACTCTGGTAAACCCATCAACAGCTCTGCAAGCCACAGAATTAGGAGGATCCTTCTTGTCAAATTGCAAAACTGCTCTCTTATAAAATATGATGACAAACTCATTAATTGGCTCATTTTAAATATAACATACCACCAAAAGAACACAATACAGCCAAGACTCATTAAAATGTGAAGCTATCATTAAAGTAGAATACTGAAAATCTTTTTCTTTTCTTGTGGAAAAGACAACTGTCCAAAATAGTTTATGCGCAGCACATTTAATAACACAATATGGTATCCTGCTGAGTGCGTGCTTTCATGGTGATTTTAGACACTTTAAAAATAAACACACCTCATGATGAGGCAAACGGTTTACTTACTTTACATGGAAATCCAAATGTCTGGGGAAATATAGTTTGCCTGCAAGAATTTTCTGATAAATGCCAAACGGGTTGTCATCAAAAAATGGAGGAAACCTGTTAGAAAAACAAACATGTATTTTTAGTGGGGAGTAAGCATGGAAAAAAATCCCTGCTTTGTAACGATAGCTATTTCTGCTTCACACAGGCAGAAGATAATTTATTTCACATGTTCTTCCCCACACATTGAAGTTGTCACGATCTGAAAGCACGTAATAGTCAGATGGTTCTAAGAGGCAAGGCACTGGGTGCCACAGTCCGATGCAGGGGAAGCTCCCTTGGAGAGAATATAAAGACCATTTGAGAGACATCTGCTGAGCAGAAGGTAACTCCTTTGGGCATCTTATTCAGAGGGGCCACCAGCCCATTCCTTAACTGAGCACTAAACAATGGATAGAAATGCTCTCTCAAGGTTACCAGGGTGAATCCATCACCATGACCAAGCATGGAACTCAAACGTTTCAACAGCAAAAAGATAAGCACTCCAATTAAAAAATGGACAGGTGGTCTTCACAGGCATTTCTCAAAAGAATACATGGAAAAGGCCAACATGTATATGAAAAAAATGCTCAACGTCACTAATCATCAGGGAAATGCAAATCAAAAACTCAATGAGGTGTCAATCATCTCAACCCAGTTAAGATGGCTATTATCAAAAAGACACTGTAATCCCAGCACTTTGGGAGGCTGAAAGGGGTGGATCACCTGAGGTCAGGATTTGAGATCAGCCTGGCCAACAGTGAAACCCCGTCTCTACTAAAAATACAAAAATTAGCCAAGTGTGGTGGTCAGCGCCTGTAGTCCCAGCTACTTGGAAGGTTGAGGCAAGAGAATCACTTGAATCCCTGGAGATGGACATTGTAGTGAGCCAAGATTGTGCCACTGCACTCCAGCCTGGGTGACAAGAGTGAAACTCTGTCTAAAAAAAAACAAAAACAAAAACAAAAAACAAAAAAAAAAAAACGTATACACACAAAAATAACAATGCTGGTGACGATGTGAAGAAAAGGGAACTCTTTTTTTTTTTTTTTTTTTTTTGAGACAGGGTCTTGCTCTATCAACCAGGTGGGAGTGCAGCGGTGCAATCTCAGCTTGCTGCAACCTCCACCTCCCAGGCTCAAGCGATCCATCTGCCTCAGCCTTCCAAGTAGCTGGGACCACAGTAGGTGGCACCCACCACCATACCAGGTAATTTCTGTATTTTTTTTGTAGAGGTGGGATTTCACCATGTTGCCTAGGCTGGTCTCAAAGTCCTGGGCTCAAGTGATCCACCCAGCTTGGTCTCCCAAATAGCTAGGATTACCAACATGAGCCACTGTGCCTGGCAGAAAAGGGAACTCTTATGCAATGTTGATGGGAATGTATACTAGTAGAGCCACCATAAAGAAGAGTATGGAGGTTCCTCGAAAAACTAGAAATAGAACTCCCATCTATTATGGAGTATAATAGATGGCTGGCGTATGACCCAGCCATCACATTACTAGGTATTTGTTCAAAAGAAAGGAAGTCATGATACTGGAGAGACATCGGCATGCCCATGTTTACCACAGCACTATTCACAACAGCCAACATAGGGAATCAACGTAGGTGCCCATCAACAGATGAGCAGACAGGTAAAGAAAAGGTGGTATCTACACACAGAATACTATTCGGCCATGAAAAGGAATACAATCCTCTGATTGGCAGCAACATGCATGAAACTGGAGGATGTTATGTTAGGTGAAATAAGCCAGGAAAAGAACATTAAACAGCACTTCTGTTTACTCATACGTGGAAGCTTAAAAAAAGCTCATCTCCTAAAAGGATAAAGAAGAACAGAGGATACTAGAGGCTGGGAAGGGAAGACATGAGAGACAGGGAGTGCTTTGTTAAAGGATATAAAATTACAACCAGATAGGATGAATATGTTCCAGTGTTCTATAGCCCTGTAGGGTGACTATAATTAGCAATAACATGTCGTATAGTTTCAAACAGACAGAAAGAGGATACTGAATGTTCCTAACACAAATAAATGGTAAATGATTGAGATGATGGATATGCTAATTACTCTGATCTGATTACTCCATTCTTCGTATCAAAGCATCACTGTGTACCCCATGAATATGTACAATTATTATGTATCAATTTAAAAAATAAAATAAGCTTGGGAAATAGGGCACAACCCAGTCTTAAAAAAAAAAAAAATTAGCTGGGTGTGGTGGTATACATGTGTGGTCCCAGCCACTTGGAAGGCTTAGGTGGGAGGATCACCTGAGCACAGGAGGTCAAGGCTGCAGTGAGCTGTGATCACACCACCACACTCCAGCCTGGGTGATAAGAGTGAGACCTTGTCTACAATACAATACAAAACAAAATAAAATAAAGTATTTTAAACAAGTCAAATAATACAATGCAGTGCAATGCAGTGCAGTGCAGTGCAGTACAGTACAGTAGAGTACAGTACAGTACAATACAATACAGGCCAGGCACTGTCGCTCATGCCTATAATCCCAGCACTCTGAGAGACCAAGGCAAGCAGGTCACTTGAGGTAAGGAGTTCAAGACCATCTTGGCCAACACAGTGAAAGCTGTCTCTACTAAAAATACAAAAATCAGCTGGGCATGGTTGTGGGTGCTTGTAATCTCAGCTACTTGGGAGGCTGAGGCAGGAAAATCACTTGTACCTGGGAGGCAGAGGTTTCAGCGAGCTGAGATTGTACCACTGCACTCCAGCCTGGGTGACAGAGTGAGACGGAGTAAATAAATAAATAAATAGAAATGAAATCAAATATAAAGTAATTGTTAAAGTAAAGTTTATAGTGGTGAATACGCCACTATGGCCAAGAACAGGACACTTGCAGAGGTTGCAGTGAGATGAAATTGCACCACTGCACTCCAGCCTGGGTGACAGAGTGAGACGGAGTAAATAAATAAATAAATAGAAATGAAATCAAATATAAAGTAATTGTTAAAGTAAAGTTTATAGTGGTGAATACGCCACTATGGCCAAGAACAGGACACCTTTCTCGAGGCTTCCTTCAGTCTACAGCACAAGCAATAGCCGATATGTCCTGCCTTGGAGAGCCCAGTACTGACCCTGCTTGCACAGCACTATAAGGCACCCACAATAAACTGCAACTGAACGTCAGTGAAGTCCTTTTTTTTTGAGACAAGGTCTTGCTCTGTTGCCCCCAGGCTGGAGTACTGCAGCGTGATCCTGGCTCACTGCACTGAACCTTGACCTACAGGGCTCAAGCTATGCTCCTACCTCAGCCTCCTGAGCAGCTGGGTTTACAGGTTCACACCACCATGCCAGGCTGTTTTTTGTTTGTTTGTTTGTTTTTAATTTTTGGTAAAGATGAGATCTCACTATGTTGCCCAGGCTGGTCTCAAACTCTTGGGCTTGTGCAGTCTTCCCACTTCAACCTTCCCAAATACTAGGACTACAAGATGTGAGCCACCACACCCATCAGTGAATTTCTTTATATTCCTCATTCACAGAACAGTAGGTGGCACACAATGTGTACAGGCCGAATGAAAGAGCCTCCAGTTATACTTTATCAAAAATTTCTTTTTTTTGCGACAGGGTTTGACTCTGTCACCCAGGCTGGAGTGCGGTGGTGCAATCATAGCTCACTGTAGCCTTGACCTCCCCCAGGAGGCCATCCTCCCACCTCAAACTCCCATGTAGCAGAGACCACAGGTGTGTGCCACCATGCCTGGCTAATTTTTTACTTTCTGTTGGGATGTGGTCTCACTATATGACCACTTTTAATGTGCAGGAGCAGAGTCTATACTTGTAACTGAGACTGGGTGGTCTGCAAAGCTGACCAAATCTCATTACCCAAAGAAAACCATTTACTGATCCCCAGAGACCAGAAGAAAGATGGAAATACAAAAGACAGCCTGGAAGATAGTGGTACCTGTGTAAAAACAAGATTGTCATACTACGCTCTGTCGACTGTAGTAAAACTACTGTAGTCCTGCTGAAGAAACCAGCAGACTTAGTAATACCTTGAAATTTTAAAAATATGTTAAATAAACTAAAAAAAATACTTAAAACTGCAAAGACCAAGCTAAATCCAAGAAAATCTAGAAGTCAACTGTATTAGTCCATTTTCAGTCTCCTACGACGAACTACCTGAGACTGTGTAATTTATAAAGAAAAAAGATTTAACTGACTCACAGTTTCGCATGGCTGGGGAGGCCTCAGGAAACTTACAATCATGGCTGAAGGCAAAGGAGAAGCAAGGCCATATTTACATGGCGGCAGATGAGCAACAGCAAGCAAAGGAGGAAGTACTACACTTTAAAACCATCAGATCTCCTGAGAACTCTATCATGAAACAATACTAGGGCAATGTTGCTAAAATGTCGGAAACCACTCCCATGATCCAACCACCTCTCACCAGGTCCCGCCTCCAACACTGGGGATTACTTTTAAACATGAGATTTGGGTAGGGACACGAAGCCAAACCATATCATCAACCAGTAAGTGTATACTAGATCCCTACATGTCCGAAGCACAAGTTATACTTCTGAGATTTTCTGATATCGCCCAGGACAGAGACTCATACTGATTCAAAGTTATGCTTTCTATTTAGCTTCTTTTGACTTAAATACTCTAATCCAGGTATTCAAGCAATAGAAATACCTTATAAAATGGAGCTTTCAAATGATACCCTCATTGATGATCAGAAATGCCAGAGAGCAAAATTAATTCTCTTGTAGCTTCCAAATCACTTCCTGACCTTAATGAAATTCAATGGAGTGGGTGGAATGAGAGGTCTCCAAAAAGATATATCTGTGATCCTGCCCCAACAACCTATGAATGGGACCTTATTGGGAAATAGGGTCTTTGCAGATAGAATTAACTTGAGGAGCTTCAGACGAAATCATCCTGGAATAGGGTAGGTCCAAATCCAATGACAAGTATTGTCATAAGGGACTGAAGAGGAGGCACACACACAGAGGAGAAGGCCACATGGGGACAGAGGCAGAGACTGTAGTGATGCGGCCACAAGTCCAGGGATGCCTGGAGCCCCAGGAGCTGGCAGAGGCAGAAAGGATCCTTCCTTGGAGCACAGTCCTGAGATACTTTGATCTCAAATTTCTGGTCTCCAGGACTAAGAGAGGATAAAGTTCTCTTGTTTAAACCTTCCAGTCTGTGATAGTTTCTAACTGCAGCGTCAGGACATTCATACGTCGAACTACACATGTGAACTGTCCAATACACTGCAGTGAAGAAAAATTCAAAGAAAAACAAAGAGGAGAAATATGAAGTACAAAAATGGAAATCAATGGGAGAGGTGACAGAGAAGTGGGGGAGGGTTACATGAGGAAATGAAAGTTACCAGAGAAAGGTAAATGATTAGGTATGTGTGACGTGGCCCTAACATAGCATTTCTTCCGTCTTAAATAACATTTCAGTTGCTCGTCTTGCACTTTAGCATGAAGGTGAGTTTCCCAATAGGGTATCTCTTTGGGCCGCTGGTCCTGGAGTTACGAGCCACCACAACGTACTGAAAAACCACCTAGGCCAGGCTGGGAAGCAGAGCTCTGAGTACAGACACTCATGCGATCTGCGCCAACCCTGCTGCCTCAGACGTTAACAACCTCCCGAGCCCATCCTCCCTCACCTGCCCGCAGCGTTCTAACAGTAGTTAGGGGAGTCGCATTCCTGTTTCTCTCTGGGTTTGGGGGGCGACCCTGTGTCAATACATTCAGCTGTGTGAATAATGCACAAATACAGGAATGGAGCATTAAACTCCAGGAGCAAATGTCTCATACATACCTAAAAACATCTATGGAGAATATTAAACGAAGTGCTCTTGGACAGTAGACATTACATAAGATTATGGGAAAGGTATTAATAAGCGGAAAAAAATAAATAATAAGTGAGCACTAACTGATGATCTTGCCTGAAAGAAAGAGCAGAGACAGTGTGTGTGTGTGTCTGAGAAACAGCACTCCCCCGGACGCCTGGGCAGTGCCCTCTGAAACCCTCAAATTTCTGTCTCTAAACATACAGACTGCTTCCAATTCTTACCAAGCGGAGAATAAATTCTCATTATACGGCATTTGGCATTATTAAGCAAGTTAAACTGATCTGTGGTGACAGCTACACTTGCAAGGACTATCTGCTAATCAGCATGAATGCAAGCTCAAGATTTTTGCCTGAAAAATTCATGCCCAGGCTAGGCACAGTGGCTCACACCTGTCATCCCAGCATTTGGGGAGGCCAACGCGGGAGGACTGCTTGAGCCCAGGAGTTCAAGACCAGCCTGGACAATAGAGAAGACCTTGTCTCTACAAAAAATTTAAAAACTAGCTGGATGTAGTGGTGTGCACCTGTGGTCCCAGCTACTCAGGAGGCTGAAGCAGGAGAATCCCTTGAGCCCAGGAGGTCAAGGCTTCAGTGAGCTATGATTGTGCCACTGTACTCCAGACTGGGCGACAGAGTGAGACCCTGTCTCAAAAGAAAAAAACACTGGGCACAGTGGTTCGTGCCTGTAATCCCAGCACTTTGAGAGCCCAAGGCAGGAGAATTGCTTGAGCCCAGGAGTTCGAGACCAGCCTGACAACACAATGAGACCTCATCTCTACAAAAAATTTAAAATTTAGCTGGATGTGCTGCTGTGTGCCTGTGTTCCCACCTACAGCCTTCTGTGGTCCCAAGAAACTGAGGCAGGAGGATCACTTGAGCCCAGGAGGTAGAGGCTTCAGTGAGCTATGATTGCACCACTGAACTCAAGTATGGACACAGAACAAGACCCTGTCTCAAAAGAAAAAATTGCTGGGTGCAGTGGCTCATGTCTGTAATCCCAGCACTTTGGGAGGCTGAGGTGGGTGGATTCCTTGAGCCCAGGAATTCGAAACTAGCCTGAGTAACATAGCAAGACCCTATCTCTACAAAAAAATTTTTAAAAAATCAGTCAGGCATGGTGGTGTGTGCCTGTCATCCCAGCTACTCAGGAGGCAGAAGCAGGAGGATCACTTGAGCCAGGAGGTGGTGGCTGCAGCAAGCTGTGACTGCACCACTGCACTTCTCCCTGGGCGACAGAGCAAGACTGTCTGAAAAAAAAAAAAAAGAAAAAAAAAAATTCTTGCCAATTGTACCATACTACCTCTATCATTTGCCCATAAAATTTTAATGCAATCATCCACCTATCTACATCTTCCCATAAAATAGATGGTCCTGGCAGAGGTGGTGTTGAGAGGAGGTCTCCTACTCAGAGACCTCAGCTGGAAAAACACCCTCCTAAACTATCAGCTGACACACTACCTGCCCCAGTTCTGAAGACCAGGGCTGGCATTGGAAGACACGTGCTTTGGAAATGCCTGCAAGAAAAGGAAGGCAGAGATTTTTAGAGAAAAGAAAAAAACCGTCACTAGAATTTCATCCCACCTTGACTTCTTCCTCAAAGATTCCTGTCCCGATACCTTCAGACTAAAAACTAAAATCTAGGCTGGGCACAGTGGCTCATGGCTGTAATCTCCGCACTTTGGAAGATTGGCCAAGGCAGGTGGATCACTTGAGGTCAGGAGTTCGAGACATCTGGCCAACATGGTGAAACCCAGTCTCTACTAAAAATACAAAAATTAGCTAAGCATGCTGACATATGCCAGTAATCCTACCCACTTGGGAGGCTGAAGCAGGAGAATCGCTTGAACCCGGGAGATGGGGGTTGCAGTGAGCCAAGATCACAGCACTGCACTCCAGCCTGGGCAACAGAGTGAGACTCTCTCCAAAAAATAATAATAATAATAAATAAATATAAAATCTGTGCTCCTCAGATAAACCAGTGTGGCTGAGGTGGCAGATGAGAAAGGGAAACTCGAGGGCCAGATAAAGTGGAAGGAGCAAGCACTGGGGCGTGTGAGGGTTGGGGCAGAGTGGAGGGTGAAAATATAGCCCCGGGCATGTTGACTTGGGCATCACAGCAGTGGCCCTCAAAGTGGAGTCCCAGGGTGGCTTCCTGACCTCAGTTTAGGGATGGCTGAGGTCGTTTTTCTGACTCCAGTTTTGAATAGTGATGAACTTTTCTCCTATGCCTCAACTAAACACCACGCAGCACAGCAGACAGGCTGCAGACAGAGGGAGGAGAGGCCAGCAGCCCTTGTGAAAGCTAGACACTAAAGAGATTCACAAAACACAGAAAATACAACCAACCTCCTCACGAATGTTTTCTCTCTTTTTAGAGACAGGGTCTCTCTGTCGCCCAGGCTGGAGTGCAGTGACGAGACCACAGCTCACTGCAGCCTCGACCTCCCAGCCTCAGTGATCCTCCCGCCTCAGCCTCCCAAAGTACTGGGGTCATAGGCATGCATCACCATGCCCAGCTAATTGTTTATTTATTTCATTTTATTGTTTGTAGATATGAGGTCTGGCTATGTTGCCCAGACTGGCCTCCAACTGCTGGCTCAAGTGATCCTCCTGCCTCAGCCGCCTAAAGTGCTGGGATTAGAGGCGTGAGCTTCCATGCCCAACCTGAATGGTCTTAGTTCTACAAAGTGTGGTTACACGTATTTATTTTTTCATTTAAAAAAGCTATTTATATTCACCTCTGCGACTATCATTTAACTTCTCATATATATTATTTATGTATTCTATTTATTTATATTTCAGTCCCACTTTAATTTCAAATGCAGTCAGCGTAGACAACTATAACACACAGAAATGAAAGTTCTGCGGGTTGTTAATAACTTTGAGCTGTGTGCTGAAGGGGTCCCAAGGCCAACATGTTTGAGAACCCACTGCACAATGCCTAATGCTCCCCGTGGAAGAGGCTCCATTGCAGACAGAGTCCACCTTCTCTAAAATCTTCTGCACCCTTTGTGCTATGTTGTATTGTCTTAGTTTGTTCCTATGAAGAAAATTCATCACTATTCAGATCTGTCGTTGGAAAAATGATCTCACTCATCTGCTGAAACACACTTCAGGAACCCCATAGTCCTCTGGGATGCCACTTGAGAATCACTGCTGTCATAACTAAGACAAGACACCCTGGGGGCTTTCTCTTACCCTGCACTCTGCTGTATGTCTTGTGTGTCCCTGTGTTTTGTTCTTGATGCTTTTGCTGATTTTATTTTTCCTTTTTCTGACACAGGGTCTTGCTCTGTCTCCCAAGCTGACGTGCACTGCTGGAATCTCAGGTCACTGCAGCCTCGACTTCCTGGGCTGAAACAATCCTCCCACCTCAGCCTACTGCAGAGCTGGGACTACAGGCACATACTACCACACCAAGCTAGTTTTATTTTTATTTTTTGTAGCAATGGGGCCTCAGTATGTGGCCCAGACTGGTCTTGAACTCTTGGCCTCAAGCAATCCTTGTGTCTCAGCTTCCTCAAGTGCTGGGATGACAGGCATTTGAGCCACCATGTCCAGCCTTTACCTAACTTTTGAGTTAAACACTCTGGGAGAACACAAACATGGAAATGGATGAGAAAAGAGAACATGATGGGAGAAATCAGAGCTGAGCTCGGGCCTTGGAAAGTGCACGAGTGATTTTGTTCCAGAACGTGCCACGCAATTTTCATCTGACCTAAACATGTCTCATTATGTGAAAATAAAATCTGCATTATGATATGATCTCCTTCCTAATCACATGAAAGATTTTACCACATAGATGGTTTTCTCTGTGCTTAGTGGAAGATTGAGATAATCAGTTAAAGCAATAAAACAGAGAAGGCACAGCCTCACTTGATCCTGCTAAGAGTGGGAATCCAGCAAATCGAGCTGCGATAGGAAAGGTGCAGACACGGGCTGCGAAGGGAGCAGGAGGACTCTGACTGCAGGCCAGCTCCACTTATGTGTGCAGCAGCGCCCTCCCTCCAGCCACCAAAAGTTTCCGGGTTCAAGGAGGTGAGGAGAGCAGTTTGGGAGCATTGCTCTCAGAGGCAGTCAACACATACAAAATCAAGTTGGTTTCAGAGCTGCTAAGCAGTATAAAGAAAACAGATGGGCTGATCGGACAGGGCATGGCCCAGGAGAACAGGAGGAGCCCCAGAGGGCTCTGGGAGCAAGTAACAGGTGAGCTCGCAACATGTGCAGTGGAAGAGAAAGGGCCAGCCCCAGGGACACCCATAGGCAGGGGGACAGGTCAGGCTTCCTGGCATGTTTAAAAAGCAGTGGGAAGACAAGGAGGGGTGAGGCTGTTGTCTAAGGCGGGTGGACAACCCACAGACAGACTGTCTCAGAACCTCACGATAACGAGCCTCCAATTCTACTTCAGTCATCCAGGAAGCTACATGTGGGCTCTCAAGAGAAGAGGGACACACATAGACAAGACACCTGCAGCTGCTTCAACGAAAAGGTACTGCAGGCAGGAGATGCAGGAGACTGTGAGAAAGCTGTATCCTGCATCTCCGTCAAGGCAAGAGCTCAGGCCAGCGAGAGTGGAGGGAGAGCCCAGAAATGCCTGGGGAGAGTTGGGGTTGGCGAGGCTTGCCACTCTTACAAAACCCACCTGTGCAAAGAGACACAAGGTTGCTGAGAAATAGGGGAAAAAATTCACCCAGAAATAGATTCTAATTAGGAAAACGGAAAATAAAAAAAGGCTTACTCTGAATCAACAGCTCCCTGTCTCATAAAATGCACAGGACAGCAGGCTGGGCTTTAGATTGGGAGATGTTTATTTATTTAATTATTCTTTTTTATTGAGACACACGTGTCATTCTGTTGCCCAGGCTGGAGTGCACTGGCGCGAGCTCAGCTCACTGCAACATCCCACTCCCAGGTTCAAGTGATTCTCCTGCTGCAGCTTCCCAAATAGCTGGGATTACAGGCTTCTACCACCACGCCTGGCTAGTATTTTTTGATTTTTAGTACACATGGGGTTTCACCATGTTGGCCAGGCTGGTCTCAAACCCCTGAACTCAGGTGATCCGCCAGCCTCGGCCTCCCAAAGTGCTGGGACTATATGTGTGAGCCACCACACCTGGAATATTAATTTTCAATTAGCCTAATGATATATTATAATTAGGTTATTTTCCATTCTATTGTATTCTAATATATTTAAATATTCTAATATACTATAGCCCATTAACAATTCTGATAACTTTATATAATAATTCCAATATAGTTCTGACTGTAATATTCTTTTCTTTTTAAATTTATTTTTATGTATTTTAACTTCAGCGTACCCTGAGACTAACATTTTGTTTTAATTATATTCTAATAATTTTGTTATATTGTAACAATATTATGTTCTAATAGTATATTGCATTCTAATAACAGGCTATTCTATCCAATCACCAATAAAATTTGAGGCACATGCACCTCACTCTTCAGACCCCAGCATACAATGAATGATCCTTAGGCAATGCTGCCCTCGTGTGGTCGGTGTTATCATAGAGGGAAAATGTGGTGCTTTTCCCTGGGTGGATGCCAATCAATATGCGTTTTTTGTTTTGTTTTGTTTTGTTTTTGATACGGGAATTTCGCTCGTTGCCCAGGCTACAGTGCAATGGCGAGGTGGGATCTCAGCTCACTGCAGCCTCCACCTCCCAGGTTCAAGCAATTCTCCTGCCTCTGCCTCCTGAGTAGCTGGGATTAAAAACATGTGCCACCATGCCCAGCTAATTTTGTATTTTTAGTAGGAACAGGGTTTCTCCACGTTGGTCAGGCTGGTCTCGAACTCCCAACCTCAGGGCCTCCCAAAGTGCTGGAACTGCAGGCTTGAGCCACTGCGCCCAGCCTGCCTAAGTTATTTTTAACCTTTTGGGTTTGCCTAGGACGTCATGGGCTCAGGTGCACATGGAGAAGTTTGATTCTATGTGATTTGCAGGCATGTCTCAGCAAAGAGTAAAGGAAAATTCAAAAGACCAGCGGGTAGGTAGGTAGATAGATGTTTGATAGCCAGACAGACAGGTAGAGATAGATGGATAGGTAGGTAGGTAGGTGGATAGATGATTGATAGATGAATAGGTAGATAGATATATAGAAAAGCAGACAGATGAATAGGTAGAGAGATGATTCACAGATGGATAGGTAAGTAGGTAGACAGTTACATAGAAAGATCAATGATTAACAGTTGGATAAACAGAAAGACACATGAATAGGAAGTAGATAGACTGATACATGAATGACGGATGACAGGTAAATATATAGATGATAGGTAGGTAGACAGATAAAAATATCATAGAGATAAAAAGATGGACAGAGAGATGGATATACAAATATCTAAATGAGAGCTTGGACAGATGATAGATAAGGATAAATGGAAAAACAGATGTGTATATACATACATAAGAGGTAGACCATAGAGATAGACAGGGGTGGGTGGGTGGGTAGATGGATGGATGGATGGATGGATAGATGGATGGATGGATGGGTGGACAGACAAATGGATGGATAGATGGTTGGGTGGATAGAGATGGAAAAGGAGTGGGTGGGTGGAAGGATGGATAGATGGATGGATGGATGAATGGGTGGGTGTGTGGATGGATGGATAAGTATACAGACTTAGATAAAAAGATATATGGGTGGATGGATGGATGATAAACAATACACGGATAGCCAGACAATGAAATACAGGTTTTCAAAAGTTCCACTCTCCTCCCTTTGCTTCTCATCGTGGAATTCTTTGATAATGCTTGTTCAACATCATTCAGATCACTAAGCTAGTGTGGGAATTAACGGATTCACTTTTTTCATAAAACACGGCAGAGATAAGCACATGGGGGCAATGACCCCTGTCTGCTCCCCAAACAAAGTCAGCGACTGCCTGGATTTCCTGAGGTGGATGTTAGAATGTCACATGCTCCACACCCTCAGGAACAAGAGCTGGGTGCTCCCCACCACCAGGATCTGGCTTAGACACACCTTCCCAGCAGGAGAATGCCTCTCTTCCTTCCCTCCTTTGTTTCCAACTGAAAGGGAAGTTTTCCCAGTAAAAATCTCTGGTCTTTAACCCCTGCAGGGAATCAGAGAGATGTGAGAGAGATCTGGCTTTTGCAACAACAGAGGGCAGTCAGAGGATATGCTGGTGTCTGTCTTTGAGACTCGGGGGCAAGCAGAAGAAAGAAGGAAACAGGAAAATAGAGAACCTAGGAGGCAGAGTGTCGGCTGTGGCAAAGCGCGGCAGAGGATCCCCCAACCAGTGTTCTGGGCCCTCGCTGGCTGGGCTTCCTCTCGTCTTCATCCTAGAGAAGAGTCTTTCGTGCAGAGCCACACGGTGCAACAGTTCCTCTGACACGTAGCTCACTCCTTCCTACAGGTTCCTATCTGGAAAAGTGCCACGCTACTGAGTCAACTTAGCACTAACAACGGAACGAGGATGACGCCCACGTCCTGGGTTTCCAAGTGTTGCGTGCTTCCTTTGCGTTTCTGGTCTAGTCATAGTGGAGCTGTCTCAGGCATATGCTAGACTTGAACACTCAATCATGCTGACGTCCCAACAAATGACCGACCTCTCTGTTATGTGGTCGCAGGGGGGATGGCACCTCTCCTGACTTCCAAATCTCACCCAACACAGGTATCACAGGCGTTGGAACGAGAGTAACTCCATCCTGAACAGGGGCTGGGTAAAATGAGGCTGAGACCTACTGGGCTGCACTCCCAGACGGTTAGGGCATTCTAAGCCACAGGATGAGACAGGAGGCTGGCACAATATACAGGTCACAAAGACCCTGCTGATAAAACAGGCTGCAGTAAAGCCAGCCAAATGTCATCAAAACCAAGATGGCGACAACAGTGACCTCTGATCATCCTCACGGCTCATTATACATTAATTATAATGCATTAGGTACTAAAAGACACTCCCACCAGGGCCATGACAGTTTACAAATGCCATGACAAGGTCAGGATGTTACCCTGTATGCTCTAAAAAGGGGAGGAACCCTCAGCTCCAGGAATTGCCCACCACTTTCCCGGAAAACTCACGAAAAATCCACCCCTTGTTTAGCATATAGTCAAGAAATAACCACCAAAATAGCCAAACAGCAGCCCTTGGGGCTGCTCTGCCTAATGAGTAACCATACTTTTATTCTTTTACTTTTTACTTTCTTTTTTTTTTGAGATGGAATCTCACTCTGTCACCAGGCTGGAGTGCAGTGGTGCCATCTTGGCTCACTGCAACCTCCGCCTCCCAGGTTCAAGCGATTCTCCTGCCCTAGCTTGCTAAGTAGCTGGCACTACAGGAGCACCCAACCAGGCCCAGCTAAGTGTTTTTAGTAGAGACAGGTTTCACCACATTGGCCAGGATGATCTCAATCTCTTGACTTTGTGATCCGCCCTCTTCGGCCTCCCAAAGTGCTGGGATTACAGGATTACGTTCTTAATAAACTTGCTTTCACTTGATCTATGGACTTTCCCTGAATTCTTTCTTGCAAGAGATCCTACAACCCTCTGTTGGGGTCTGGATCAGGACTCCTTCCTGGTAACATAAGTCAGGGGTTTTAGGAAAGAATACATTCTTGCCTTCCTTGCCAGCTGTTCATCCAGGAACCACTCAATTGTATTTGGCTGATTTACACTGACCCAACCTCTGCCCTCCTGAGCCCTGCAGATTGCTTCAGGAAGCGTCAGTGCAGAAGGTTATTTTTTGTATTTAATTTTTAAATTCTTTCTAAGACTAATCAAGCACAGAAGTGATAAGGGGAGAAAAAGCAGAGTAAGGAGTTCAACTGGTAGCTAACTGTGAATATCAACTGAGATAACTCACTACCTTCAGAGCAGCCCAGAATGTTAATTGTATATTTAAAGAAGATATGGATATTTCAATATAAAAATCTCAATGGGCATGCATGGGTGGTTCCTTCACAAGTTTGGGTTTTTTGCCTCTTATTCACACAAGCTCAATTGCTAATTCACATTGCCAACCTCAGCAGGGCAGCAGATGTGTGTGCAGCCACACTGTGTGTTTGCGACACTCACGTACTGTTTTCAAGGTTACAGAAATGCCGAGTGGACGAATGGGTGGGGGAAGGGGGTGCTGGCCTGTAAGATGAAGATTCTCTACAGAGACTCTACTTACCCCGAAAGCATCTCGAATATCAGGATGCCGAGGGCCCACCAGTCCACGGCCCTTCCGTGGCCCTTGCTCTGAATGACTTCGGGGGCTAGGTACTCGGGTGTTCCACAGAGGGTCCAAGTCCTATATGGGCGACAGAGACAGGCCCCCACAACACTCAGTGGTGCTTGGCTAATGCAGTCACCTTAGAAGCTCTGATTGTTACAATAACTTCGTTGAGTAAAACCACGCTCCCTTTACCGTCTGTGCACATATTTTACTGTGTAAAGACAGTAACATTGTTTTCACTGATTCCTTTCCATAGAAACATTTCTTATCGGGCTTGGAAACTAAGAATTGGTTTTACCATCCTTGCTACTGTTGCTGGTACTGTTACCACTGTTACTCAGAAGCAAAAAGACTCAGACTTTTTTGAGTTATTTTTACCTGTCTTAGTATAAATCATAATGAATAAAATTAATTAAAGGAAAAACAACGAGATCATGTCCTCTGCAGCAGCATGGATGGAGGTGGAGAGGCCATTCCCCTAAGTGGACTCACATCACGCACCAAATACCACATGTTCTCACTTATATGTGGGAGCTAAACACTGGCTATACGCTGACATGGAGAGGGGGAAAAACAGATACCTGGGCCTGCCTGAAGATGGAGGGTGGGAGGAGGATGAGGATGGGAAATCTACGTGTCAGGTATGATGTGTATTACCTGGGTGGCAAAATAATTCGTAAACCAAGTGGCATGCAGTTTACCCATATAACAAACCTGCACATGTACCTCTGAACCTAAAACGAAAGTTCTTAAAGTAAATATATGAATAAGTAAATAAAATTAAATTTTAAAAAATCCTTTATCCTTCAAACAAACAAACAAAAAAGTGTCACTGAAAAGAATAATTCAAGAACTCAGTTAGGCCAGCTCAGTAGCTCATGCCTGTAGTCCCAGCACTTTGGCAGGCCAAGGCAGGTGGATCACCAGGCGTTCAACACCAGCCTGGCCAATATAGCGAAACCTCATCTCTACTAAACATACAAAATTAGCTGGGTGTGGTGATGCATGTCTGTAATCCCACCTACTTGGGAGGCTGAGGCAGGAGAATCAGTTGAACCTGGGAGGCAGACGTTGCAGTAAGCCAAGATCACACCACTGCACTCCAGCCTGAGCGACACAGTGAGACTCTCCCCACCCCCAAAAAAAGTGCAAGAGCAGAGTCCTTACTTGTAATTGAGACTGGATGGTCAGCAGAGCTTATGTATGTGTTCTTTCACTCTCTACCCTCTGCAAAAAAAAAAACATTTCTTGCCCCCGGAAACCAGTGTAAAGACGGAAATACACTTCCTCCCCTGCATGCCATTTTAAAAGTGCCTGCTTTGTGCTCCGAAAACAAAGGGGTGGCCTCAAGCAGGAAGCCAGTACTTCTTACCCTAAGAAAGCTCTGGAATAAAAACTCACTTTCTTTACACTAGACCTTGCTCTTGCTAATTGCACTCTGCAAATGGCAAGGGGCTGAACCTGTGTTTTGGTTACAGAAGCAACTGCTAAACAAAGTCAGGGCAATGTAACAATGACTGTAGCAGAAGCTGGAAGACTCATGGGCTGGAAAGGAGCTGAGTATCAGTAACCTCAAAGAGGGGGCTGTGTCTAGGCCATACTCCATTGGCACTCTACTGCTGGGTAGAATGTCGCTTCGGGCTTTCAGCAATTCAGACCCATAGCACACCTGCAGGCCACATCCACCCTTCCTGACACATGCTTCCTAGCCTGGTGTGTGGGGCCCGTCTGTAGACAGGCAGAAAGAAGCAACACCCTTGGAGGGGAAAAAAATATACATGCTTTGCAAAGGCCCTTCTTTTTTATAATATATTTATACATATGTAATTTTTTTTTTTACATTTTAAAAAATATATACTTACATATTTTTTTGAATGTAAAGAGAACAAAAAGCAAGTTCCATAGAGCCTGGTAATGTACATGTTTATCCACTCTCGAGTTCTTTGCACAATGTTTCAAGCATATGCAAAGCCTATTTTATTCCCAGCACATCTTACCTGAGTCTGCCCTGTTTGCGGTGGTGTGGGCACGTATCTTGGCTTCAGCTCCTCACCTTCCTGCTTGCAGGAACCCACCCAAATTGTTGTTACTGTTATCTTTCCTTCGCTTCTCCACCACATCTCCATACCCACCTCTTTTCCGACAAGAGACTTTTCCACATTAATCTGTAAGCCCTTGGGATAACAACAAACTGGCTGCCATCCAAATTTCAAATTCTGTCGGCCATCCATGAAATAAAAGTACCACAAGGCCAAGCATGGTGATTCACACCTGTAATCTCAATACTTTGGGAGGCTAAGGCAAGAGGATTGCTTGAGGCTAGGAGCCTCAGACTAGCTTGGACAACATAGCAAGACCTCTTCTTTACCAAAAAAAAGACCAAGAACGGTGTCATGCCTGTCATCCCAGCACTTGGGGGGGCAGAGGCAGGTAGATCACCTGAGGTCAGGAGTTTGAGACCAGCCTGGCCAACATGGTGAAACGCTGTCTCTACTAAAAATACAAAAATTAGCAAGGCATGGTGGTGAGCGCCTGTAATCTCAACTACTTGGGAGGGTGAGGCAGGAGAATCACTTGAACCCAGGAGGTGGGGGTTGCAGGGAGCCAAAATTGCACCACTGCACTCCAGCCTGGGTGACAAGAGCGAAATGCCATTTCAAAAAAAAAAGCCAGGCATGCTAACAGGTGTTTGTAGTGTCAGCTAGTTGAGATGGGAGGATCACTTGAGCCCAGGAGTTCAAGGCTACAGGGAGCATGATAGTACTACTGCACTACAGCCTGGATAAGAGAGCAAGACCCTGTCTCAAGGGAAAAAAAAGGAAAAGAAAAAAAGTACTGCAGGCTCTGGGAGATACAAGTCAGGAAAGAAAGAAACAAGACAAGGAGAGAAATTAAGTTACCTTCCCATGGAGGAATGTGGGAAGGGGCTTACTTTATCTGCATGCTAGATCTAAGCATGGAACAAGGATCCCCTTGTGGTCCTATTAAGTGCTTCTCATTCATTAGACTTAAGTCTACAAAAGGAAAGTACAATGCACATTATTTTAGAAACATCCTCTCCCCTGCCCCTCCCAGCGGAATCAACTCCAAGTACACCCTAGTTGATTCAATGCATAACATTTCTGTTACTCTGCAAGACGACTGACTTATTGGCCTACTAATTTTGTATTTTCACCTTGCTAGCCCATCCAAAATGGCCTGAAAGTAGCTAAAAGCATAGAACTTAGCTGATATGAACCCAAAGTAGAAGTGGCCGCAAGTCACCCTATAGGCATTTAGTTGCAACTTCCACTTACCTTTAAAAAGATGAGGCTCTTTTTGGCTCCATGTTAGGGTAAGGACACACACCTAAGGTTGTATAAGTATCCAGGTTCTAACTTGCCTCAGGAGGACTCCTGCCCTGTTAGAATCAATCCTTCCTGCAAAAAGCCCCAATGCCTAGCTGAAAGTACAGAGAGACATGCGCTGCTATGGAGAGATGCTGACTGCGTGAATGAATATGAGATGAGACAGCCTGAGTGCTATGTGGAGACCACTGGTCGGGGCAGTGAATTATCCACTTCCCTGCTCCTATCTCCTTTTGCTCACCTGGCTTTTGGGTAGAAGGAAGGTGACACCTGCTGTTCTCAGTTTTCTCACTGTTCTTAGTTTCACTATGGCCGGCGGGAGGGGAAGGAGGAGGCCATGTTAACGAAGGAGAAACAGAGCTAAGGATAGGATTATCTATGAAGTATAGATATCCAATGACTCCTGTGTTCTTAATGCCCATGCCTTCCGTCACACCTGCACTGGCTGAACTGTGCACTCCCCAAAGTCCTAAACCCCAGTATTTGTGAGTGGGACCTTATGTGCAAACAGGATCTTCGTAGCTGCAATCAAGTTAAGATGAGATCATCCTGGCTTAGGATGGGGAATAATTGCTTAACAGATACAAGTTCTCTTTTGGGATCATGAAAATGTTCTGGAACTAGACAGAGGTGATGGTTGTACAACATGGTAAATGCAATAAATGCCATGAGATTGTGCAACTTAAGATGGTTCAAATGGGCTGGGTACAATGGCTCATGCCTATAATCTCAATGCTTTGGAAGGCCAAGGTAGGATAACTTGAGCCTCAGAGTTCCAGACCAGCCTAGGCAACATAGCAAGACCCTGTCTGTACAAAAATATTTAAAAATTAGCCAGGCATAGTGGCTCACACCTCTAGTCCCAGGTACTCAGGAGGCTGAGGCAACAGGATTGTTTCAGCCCAGGAGTTGGAGGCTGCAGTGAGCCATGATTGCACCACTGCATTCCAGCCTGGCTGACAGAGCAAGACCCTGTTTCAAAAAATATAAAAATGTAAATAAATAAAGATGGTTACTATGGTACATTTTAAGGGTATTTTACCACAATAAAAAGAGAAAAAGAGAGAGAAATGGATGACATCTCCCAGTTCAGTTTCAGTCCAGTCCCTCTTACGTCCTAGCAGGTGGCGTCACCAGCCTCACTTTCTGTCTCTCCTCATGGCTTTACGACATGGTAAGCATGTCACTCAGCTAACAGGGGCACAGTGGGGCTCATGAAGAATATGGACAGCTGATGACAGCTTTTACTCTTGATTACAGAAACGAATGGATTTTTTTCCTTTTTATCAGAAAAGTATGAGAGTGTTTTCTCTACATTTGGTAATGCAGGAAATAGATGTTAGCTCAGTACTCATGATGAAAATACTACACGCCTTTTCTTATAGGATCTTGGGTTACAATCAAGAAGCAGGGTGTGGGGGTTTCTCAGAAAAAGGAAAGTTTTTCATCGTTGTTTTTCTACAGGGACACAATCACAGTTCCTAGAACTGTCTGATGGGAACAAACAGTTGAGAATTTCAGGACTGTCAAGGGAGAAGGTACATGTCCGCAAGCATGGGACAGCTTCCGATGGCCAGCCCAGGCCCTGGGAGGGGTTTCCTAGGCGACTATGGTTCCGAAACACCACTGACCAGCAGGGAGAAGGGTGCCTGTCACCAACCTCGGCACAGTAATACCCACCTCCTAGTATGAATTATAGCAAAATTAAACAGGGCTGAAGGGAAAGTAACAACACTGACTGCAAACAGACTCGACATCTCAGGCCCTCCTTGGCTTCCATTAAATACTCAAAAGTAAGAAGCTAAGGGAAAACGTCCAAAGTAAGTAGAAAGACTTTTCTGATGTTATGAAATATATATAAAATAATTATGTATTTATAAATGTATACATTTAAATTTGAACATATAATCTAAACAATAAATGTGTAACACATACTAATATATAAATTTAAATTTAAAAAATTATAAATATACATTTATAAAATTATATATAGAAAACTATGGATACTGTATAATTATAGCTACATATAACTTTCTAAATATATATTTATATCACAATTTATGAGCATATAAAAGTATTTAGTAGTTTAATTACATATGTAACATTTAATTAAATATAAAGTATCAGTTTATTATATAATTATATTAAATATATATTTTTAAAATATAATTATGTTTAAAAATTACATTGTATTTGTTTCAAATATAATCGGAATATATTATATTAATACATTATGTTATCTTAATTAACACATTACATTAATATATTTATATATTAAATTTACATATGAATATATTTAAATATTTAACATATTAAAGAGATAAATATATTTAAATATATAAATTTAATACAGGATATATTATTTATGTCTAATTAAATATTACAATTATGTATACAGTTATTTGGTAAAATACATCTATCATAAAATTTTCCATTTTAATCATTTTTAAGTGTATGGTTCAGTGGCGGGAAGCCTATCAACCTTGTTGTGCAACCCTCTCTACCATCCATTGGTGGAACTTCATCATTCCAAACAGAAACTCCC
This sequence comes from Homo sapiens, assembly GCF_000001405.40. Classification (NCBI taxonomy): domain Eukaryota; kingdom Metazoa; phylum Chordata; class Mammalia; order Primates; family Hominidae; genus Homo; species Homo sapiens. The sequence goes on along the minus strand of NC_000024.10, from coordinate 7,335,297 downwards.
TCCTCATTAAACAGTATCTCCCCCTTCCCTGCACCTCCCCAGCCCCTGGCACCCACCATCTACCTTCTGTCCCTATGACTTAGAAGAATCTAGGGCCCCTTTTTTGTCTAGCTTATTTCATCCCACATCATGTTTTGAAGGTTTACCAATGTGGAGTAGAATGTGTCAGAACTATATTCCTTTTCATGGTCAAATAATACTCCACTGCAAAAAGTTCCTGGTCAATTTAAAGTTCCTGGCTCAGGAGTGGGCAAATATTCTCTCTAAGGAGCCAGATGGCAAATACTTTAGGCTTTGTAGATCACATGGTCTCTGTTAGAAATATCCCCCAAGATGTGCCTGTGTTCCAATAAAACTTTATTAACAGACATACAGCAGGGTGGATTTAACCTATGGAAGGCTAATTTTTTTGTTTCTGATGTTTTGCAGAGATGAGGTCTTGCTATGTTGCCCAGGCTAGATTTTTTTCCTAAAAAAATTAGTTTGGTCAGATGTGATAATGCATTGAATTTCTTTTTTAAAGGGAGATATCTATTAGAGATAGGATGGAGTGCATCTGCTTTAAAATAACTCAACAAACAAATGGGCAAAGAGAAAGAAACCAACAAAGTGGCAAAGCTTTGATAACAATCGAAACTGGGTGATGGGACCACAAGGTTTCAATATGAACTACTCTCTATTCCTGTGTGTGTTTGAAAGGATTAAGTAGAAATTTTGAAAGATTAGGTTCAATATTACCCCTAGATGCTAGAAATAAAAACCCAGAGGACAGTAATCAATGTAACATCTGGACTTAAAATGCTACAACAGAAGAACTAGGAAAGAGCTGTTGCACCCAATGCAGTGGCTCACGGATACCATCCTGGCACTTTGGGAAGCCAAGGTGGGAGGATCACTTGAGGCCAGGAGTTCAAGACTATCCTGGTCAATACAGTGAAACCCTGTCTCAAAAGAAACACAAAAACACACACAAAAAAAACAAAAAATTGTTGTAGAGAAATAAAAAACACCAAAAACAAACAAACAAAAAAGAACTGTTGGAGAGAAAGAAATCATCTGTTATAGTTTAAAGACAGGTGTATACAAGTTGAGCATCTTTAATCCAAATCTGAAATCTGAAATGCTCCAAAAGTCAATACTTTTCCAGCACTGACATGATGCTCACAGCTCAAAGGAAATGCTCACTGGAGCACTGGATTTCAAATTTTCGAATTAGGGATGCTCACAGGTAAAGGTAATTCAAATATTCCAAAATCTGAAAAAACCCAAAACCCAAAACAATTCTGGTCTCAAGTATTTCAAATAAGGGATGCTTGTGTTATGCATTTGACTTAGAAAATCATATTAAATGCATCAGTATTTTATTTTGACCATTTCATAAAACCAGAAATAATTCTAGTTTGCCATCAAGTCTTTTAGGGGAGCTATCCAGATAATATATAATAAAGTGTGTGTACAAAATATTTAAAATACAAACATAAGAAATACTGCTGTTAGAAAACAAGAGCCTGACGAAAGCAAGCCACAAAAGAAAAAGAAAACCATCTCAACATATTGACAACCTAGGAAAGCCAAATACCAAGTCACCATGAGCAGTGGTTTAAAATAAGTATTATACGAGTCATTCAGTTAACAGGATAAAGAAAGAAAAGAGAGGAAGAGGGAGAGTAGAGGAAAAGAGAAGAGAGAAAAGAAATAAAAAAAAAAAGGAACAGGGGGAAGGGGAGTAGAGGAGATGGGCAGGGAGGGGAGGGGAGGGGTGGAAGGGAGGGGAGGGGTGGAAGAGAGGGGAGGGGAGGGGCACTGCGCCTCCCACCTGTCATCGCAAAACTTTGGGAGGCCAAGGCGGGAGGACTGCTTCAGCTTAGGAGTTAGAGACCAGCCCTGGCAACATAGTGAAACCCCATCTCCATAAAAAATTAAAAAATTAGCCAGGCACGGTGGTACAGGCTTGTAGTCCCAGCTACTTGGGGGGCTGACACAGGAGAACTGCTTGAACCTGGGAGTTCCAGGCTGCGGTGAGCCATGGTCTCACCACTGCACTCTAGCCTGGGTGACAGAGCAAGACCCTGTCTCAATAAAGAAACAAAAAAGAAAGACAGAGATTCATGTAGTGAGTAGAAAACTTAATCACAACATGCTTAAATGTGTTTTTACCCCATGCTATAAGAGAAAAATGAAAACGTTACCTTTCTGGGAAACGTTCAAAAATGTTATTCAAGACCTGGTGCGTTGGCTCACACCTGTAATCCCAACACTTTGGAAGGTCGAGGTGGGCAGATTACATGAGATCCGGAGTTCAAGACCAGCGTGGGCAACGTGATGAAACCAGGTCTTTACTAAAAATACAAAAATTAGCCAGCTGTGGTGGTACATGCCTATAATCTCAGCTACTTGGGAGGCTGAGAAGGGAGGACTGCTGAAGCCCAGGACGCTGAGGGTGCAGTGAGCTGAGATCCCACCACTGTACTTCAGCCTTGGTGACAGAATAAGGCCCTGTCTCAAAAAAAAAAAAAAATAAAATAATAATAATAATAATAATAAAACATAAAAAATAAAGGCCAGGCGCATTGGCTCACACTTGTAATCCCACCACTTTGGGAGGCTGAGGGGGCAGATCATGAGGTGAGGAGTTTGAGATCAGCCTCACCAACATAGTGAAACCCCAAATCTACTAAAAACACAAAAATTAGCTGGCTGTGGTGGCGCGTGTCTGTAATCCCAGCTGCTCAGGAGGCTGAGGCAGGAGAATCACTTGAACCCCGGAGGCAGAGGTTGCAGTGAGCCAAGATTGCACCACTGCACTCCAGTCTGGGCAACAGAGTAAAACTCCATCTCAAAAATAAAAAAAGTCATTCATGATGAAGCCTCCCTGTTTACTTCCATCTATTCTGTAGTGGTCCACAGTACACTGGTAAATTTCTTTTAAGTTTTATTCAAAAAGTACATGTACTGTTTGAATCCTGAACCAGGGGCAGGGCCATCTATCTGCCCATGAACACAACTTCCTTGGGGCCAGGCCAGAAGAGAAATGTTTTGTTAGAAAGAAGGTCAAAAAAAAAAAAAAAAGGAGAAAAAGCCCACACACAAAAAAGTTACAGAAGCTACACTACCCATACAGAGAAAGATGCAGTTCTTTGTAAAAGCAACCTATCAGTGGCTCATGCCTGTAATCCCAGCACTTTGGGAGGCAGAGATGGGTGGGTCACCTGAGGTCAGGAGTTCAAGACCAGCCTGGCCAACATGGTGAAACCCCGTCTCTACCAAAAATACAAAAATTATTCAAGCATGGTGGTGGGTACCTGTAATCCCAGCTACTTGGGAGTCTGGGGCGGAAGAATTGCTTGAATCCAGGAGGCAGAGCTTGCAGCGAGCTGAGATTGCACTACTGTACTCCAGCCTGGGTGACAGAGCAAGACTCTGTCTCAAAAACAAAAACAAAAAAAGAGAAAGCAATATATCAAGATGGTAATGAAGCATTTTCTAAGATTTTCGCATGTTCATTAAGTAAAATAATTGGTGCACGTTATATAGTAAACCATTTCATCCATTTAATCTTAAATAGACATCATGAATTAACTGGACAGTAACACGGTTTGTCAAATTTATAAACAAGTGAATATATGCAAGATTTTATCTCTGGTTTGTTGAATTAGACTTCCAAATAAAATAACAAAAGAAGAATTTACGGCCAGGCATGGTGGCTCACGCGTATAATCCCAGCACTTTGGAAGGCCAAGGAGGGTGGGTTACTGGAGGTCAGGATTACAAAACCAGCCTGGTCAACATGGTGAAAACCCATCTCTACTAAAAATACAAAATAAGCTGGGCATGGTGGTGTGGGCCTGTATTCCCAGCTACTAAGGAGGCTGAGGCAGGAGAACTGCTTGAACCCGGGGAAGCAGAGGTTGCAGTGAGCCAAGATGGCACCATTGCATTCCAGCCTCAGGTAACAGAGAAAAACTCTGTCTCAAAAAAAAAAAAAAAAAAAAAAAAGGACTACACATTGGATACAGTGTATACTGTTTGGATGGCAAGTACAACAAAATCTCAGAAATCACCACTAAAGAACTTTTCCATGCAACAAAGAAAACAAAAAAAAATTGTTCCCCAAAAGGTATTGAATTAAAATAAAATCAGAAAAAAAAAAAAAAAAAGGTGGGACTTTCATGACGGGAATGGGACTGCTGGCTTTATAAGAAGAGGAAGAGAGACCTGAACTGACACCTTTCCTCTTTCTGCCCATGTCCTGGCTTCGGCCACATTACAGCATAGCAACAAGACCCTCACCAGCTGCAGCCCTTTGACCTTGGACTTCTCAGCCTCCAAAACTGTAAGAAACACACTTATTTTCTTTATAAATAAATTTTTTAAAAAAGAAGACTCTGAGCAGTCAGGCCTGACTGGATTTCCCCACTCAGTCTATTCCCATCAGCTCATACACTTTTTTCCAATCACATTTCTACATGGCTGTCCCTGCTTCACAGAACCTAAGCATAAAAATAGACAGGTTTTTTTTTTGATTTTGGTATCTTTGGGTGTTCATTCTGGTTTTACATGATGCATCATGTAAAACTATGATCAAATAAATTTGTCAGGCTTTTCTCGAAAGGGAGGGGAGGGAGGACCCATTCTCTCTCTCTCTTTAGATGGGGTGTCTCACTATGTCGTCCAGGCTGATTTTGAACTCCTTAGGCTCAAGCGATCCTCCCACCTCAGCATCCCATAGTGCTGGGATTACAGGTGTGAGCCACCATGCCCGACCAGATCCATTATTATTTCTGATGAGAATCGGCACCCTGATATAAATGAACTGTGTGTGTAAAATAAACATGGGATTTCAAAAACTGAGCAGGAAAAATTCATGTAAAATATCTCAATTTTTGTATGAATCGTATGTTGAAATGAAAATATTGTGGATGTACTGAATTACTGAAATAAACTACATTATGAAAATTTTCTCCACCTGTTTGTTTTATATTTTAACACATGACTACACTAGAAAATTTAAAATAACAGATGGGATTTGCGTTGGACTTCTACTGGACAGTGTTGCCCTAGATAAAGAAAAATTTTAGGAGCATACATTACTAAAACTGTCTGGAGGCAGAAAACACCCCTCTTTGTCTTTGTAAATGGAGTGGTTGTGACTGCATGTTATTATCAGTGCTGTGGCGGTGTTAGAAAGAACACAGCCCAATCTCTCCCCAGGTCTGTGTGGGCATCTCTAACACGTCATCCTACCAGGCAATATGGTGGGCACACAGGACAGAGAAAAGAGAATTTGTGTTTCAATAGGGGTACTGACAAAAAAGAAACAGAAACAAATGAACCAACACAAAATAACTCAAAAACAAAACACATACACAGACCAGAATTTTAATCGATGAGATGAAGGAGAGAAAATGCCAGGATAGAGAAGGGAAAGATCCACTCATTCACCTACAGACATATCCCTCCCCCTATTATCTTCTTTGGACTAAAAGTCTAGGCTGGGCCCAGTGACTCAAGCCTGTAATCTCAGCACTTACAGAAGCTGAGGAGTCAGGGGGGATTCCTTGAGCCCAAAAGTTCAAGACCAGACTGGGAAACAGCATAGTGAGAACCTGTTTCCAGTTTTTAGAAAATTAAAAAATAGGCAATGGCTCACGGTTGTAATGTCAGCATTTTGGGAGGCTGAGGTGGGCAGATCACGAGGTCAGGAGATTGAGACCATCCTGGCTAACACGATGAAACCTCACTTCTACTTAAAAAAAAAAAAAAAAAAATACAAAAAATTAGCCAGGCATGGTGGCGGGCACCTGTAGTCCCAGCTACTCAGGAGGCTGAGGCAGGAGAATGGTGTGAACCTGGCAGGCAGAGCTTGCAGTGAGCTGAGATCATGCGACTGCACTCCAGCCTGGGCAAGACAGCGAGACTCCTTCTGCAAAAAAAAAAAAGAAAAAAGAAAAAATAGGCCAAAATAGGCCAGGCACAGTGGTGGCTCAAGTCTGTAATCACAGCACTTTGGAAGGAAAGCCAGCGGGTCACCTCAGATGAGTTCGAGACCAGCCTGGCCAACATGGTGAAACCCCGTCTCTACTAAAAATACAAAAATTAGCCAGGCGTGGTGGCTCACGCCTGTAGTCCCGGCTACTCGGGTGGCTGAGGCAGGAGAATGATGTGAACCCAGGAGGCAGAGGTTGCAGTGAGCTGAGATCACAGAACTGCACTCCAGCCTGGCGACAGAGCAAGATTGTGTCTCAAAAAAGAGGAAAATTTAAAAAACAATAATAATAAAAACATCTAGACTTGCCCTCAAAACACACCTTTAAGGCCAAGTGAAGCCCTTTGTGTAAACAGTATTGTTCTTGGCTTAACTGGGTGGGATTTAAAATATTAACAGTTCTTTTCTCCTACATATTAAACAGTGCATGTTCATTATATAGACAATACACTCTCTAGAGAGCCCAGCACCAAAACAGACACACAAGGCACCACAGTGGCTTTGCAAGGACAATACCTCCCATATGCTGAACACTATACAATTAAACAATTGTCCCAGTTTGGCATAGCATTCTGGACCATTGAGGCGAATTAAGCCAAAAGGCCCTTTACCTCATAAACTATGTAAGATTAGATTTTATAAAATAATTCTTGGCCAGGTGCAGCAGCTCATGTCTGTAATCCCAGGCCGAGGAGGGCAGATCACGAGGTCAGGAATTTGAGAACAGCCTCACCAACATGGTGAAACCCCGTCTCTACTAAAAATACATAAAAATTAGCCGGGCATGGTGGCACGCACCTATCATCCCAGCAACTCAGGAGGCTGAGAGGCAGAAGAATCGCTTGAACCTGGGAGGCAGAGGTTGCAGTGAGCTGAAATCGCACCACTGCACTCCAGCCTGGGCGACAGAGTGAGACTCCATCTAAATAAATAAACAAATAATAAAATGATACTGATTTAACAACTGTCTGGTGCTAAAAATGTTAAATTCAAAAATAGAATTGGCCAGGCACAGTGGCACATGCTTCTAATTCCAGTGCTTTGGGAAGCTGAGGTGGGACGATATCTTGGGGCCAAGAGTTCAAGACCAGCCTGAGCAATAAAGTGAGATCACATCTCTAAAATTAAAAATAAAAAAATTAGCCTGGTATGGTGGCACATGCCTGTAGTCCCAGCTACTTCAGAGGCTGAGGAGGGAGGATCACTTGAGCCGAGGAGTTTGAGGCTGTAGTGAGACAAGATTGTGCAACGGCACTTCAGCTTGGGTGACAGGATGAGACCCTGTCTTGGAAAAAAAAAAAAAAAAGAAACTAAGTATATAGTATTTCACTGCAGTATAGTATAATAGCACAGTTCAGAGTTGAGATCAATTTTCCAACCACAGCGTCTTTGGAAGGATGTAAATGTTCAGAATTACAAACAACTTGTTCAGATATAAAGAGGAGGTACCCTGAAAAATTGTGTTGGGTAACTGCAAAACAGACCTAATACTGAGGATGCCTGCAGCATGTTTACACGCCTGTAATCCTAGCACTTTGGGTGACCAAGGTGGGCAGATAACCTGAGGTCAGGACTTCAAGAGCAGCTTGGCCAACATGGAGAAACCACATCGCTACTAAAAATACAAAAATTAGCCCGGCGCGGTTGCGGGCGCCTGTAATCCCAGATACTCAGGAGACTGAGGCAGGAGAATCACCTAAACGCCCCAGGGGGAAGTTGCAGTGAGCTCACTGCACTGAACTTCAGCCTAGGCAACACAACGAGACTCAGTTTCAAAATAAAAAACTGATTCCAAGAAAACAAAAATAAGGTATAGTCACACACACACACACACACACACACACACACACAGACACACACACAAACACACGGCTACAATGTGGCAATTTCTGACTGGTAAGCTTACAATATACACAAAGTCCATTTTTTTCCCCTCGTGGTTGTCATAGAAAAGTATAAAAAGCTTTTTATTTCATAATATAGCAGGAAAAATAATGTAAAATTATATATAATAAAAATAACATTTCTCTTTTTTTTTTTTTTTTGCTTTTATCAACCTCTTTAATTAATGAGGATGGTGTCAAAATCTTGACAGGAACACATCTTGCTTTTTTTTTTTTTTTTTGAGACGGAGCCTCACTCTGTCACCCAGGCTGGAGAGCAGTGGTGCAATCACAGCTCACCACAGCCTCAACCTGCGAGGCTCAAATTATCCTGCCACCTCAGCCTCCCAAATAGCTAGGACTATAGTTGTATCTGGCTCATTTTTTGTAGAGAGGGAGTCTTGCTATGTTACCCAAGCTGGTCTTGAACTCCTGGGATCAAGCGATCCTCCTGCCTTGGCCTCCCAAAATGCTGGAATCATCACGCCCAACCTGTCTTGCTTTTGGTCACATCTCATTTCTCACTACATCTGTCTTCGGTCTTTCATGGTAGTTTACATACCTTACTCAAATTCACTCTTCATGTCATTATTCTGACACAGTAAAATGAAGTCACTGTCACCAAATTTGGCAGTAACAGGTTTTTCCTGCCAATTTCAACACTTCACCAAAACTCCACACCTCATCCCTCAAGGTATCATTTTGAGGCAGTAAAACAGTAATTAATGGAAACTTCGGAGTAGGAGAGTATAGATAGTTGTCGTCATTTTTGTCAGGGGAAATGTAAGAATAATTTTAACACTGAGGGTTCCCAGACTGTCTGTTTAAAAAAAAAAAAAAAAACCACACAGATACAATTGCCTCCTGAATCTGTAATCAGGAAATTACCTCTGTAACTGGCTCCTCCCACCCTCCCCACTTCTGAGTCTCCAGTGTCTGTTACACTCCTCTGTATGCCCTGCACACCCATAGCTTACCTCCCACCTATAAGTGACAACACATCCTATTTGGTTTTCCATTTCTGAGTTACTTCACTTAACGATAATACCCTCCACTTCCATTGAAGTTGCCAGCAATCGCAGCCCACCTAAAATGAGCTGTGGGTCAACCTGGCTCTCTCATCCCTGATTGCAAGTGTCTCCCACACATGAGAGTTAAACTCTGGTTCCCAATCTTTCCCTGCCTGACCTGCCACAACTACCACCACCTTTCTCATTGCCAAGCAGTGTAGATTCCATCGGAGTTCACGTTCCTCTTACCTGTCTACCAGCTTCTTGGCAAACCCAAAGTCCGTGAGCTTGATGTGACCATCCCTATCCAGCAGGATGTTCTCCGGCTTCAAATCCCTGTAGACGATCTCCTTGGAGTGCAGGTACTCAATGGCACAGATGATCTCCGCAGAGTAGAAGAGCCCCGTGGTGCTGGAGAAGTGCCCCCGGTTGCGCAGGTAGCTGAAGAGCTCGCCACCCGGCACATACTCCATGAGCATGTAGAGGAAGCGCTCCTCATGCCACGTCCAGAACCTGCAGGGACAGCATACGCTCAGGGCCCCGCCAGGGCAGGGCAGGGGGTACGCCGTCAGCTAGGTGTCAGCACACGCTCAGGGCCCTCCCAGGGCAGGGCAGGGGGTACACCGTCAGCTAGGTGTCAGCACATGCTCACAGCCCCGCCACAGGAGGGGAGGGGATATGCCATGACCTAGGTGTCAGTACACACTCAGGGCCCTGCCAGGGCAGGGCAGGGGTTATGCTGTCAGCTAGGTGTCAGCACAGACACAGGGCCCCGCCAAGGCAGGGCAGGGGTACACCATCAGCTAGGCATCAGCACACGCTCAGGGCCCCGCCACAGGAGGGAAAGGGATATGCCGTATGCTAGATGTTGGGGTAGAGACTCAGCTAGATGACAAAATGTGTGGACAGACACACAGTAATAGCTAGGTACAGATATTGGGACATGGAGCACATAGGTATGAGCACATGGGTAAAGACAGATATTAATATATGGGTATAGATAGGTGTTAGAATGCATGTACATATAAATGTTACAATCTGCTGAGAGACAGAGGTTAGTATACGGGTGCAGATGGGGGCTAATATATGGGTTTACACAGTGTTATAATATGGTATAGAATGTGGATATAGATATATGTTAGTATACAGATATATATGGATGTTAACATGTAGTTATAGATAGGTGTTAGGATATAGGTGTAGACAGATTAATATATGGGTGCAGACAGATACTACAACACGGATATAGATAAATGTTACGATACAAGTGCAGAAGGGGTTAATATGTAGGTACAAAGAGATGTTAGGATATGGGTATAGATGGATGCTACTACATTACTATATGGGTGTAGATGGATGTTAGGATATGGGTTTAGACAGATGTTAATATATGGCTGTAGGTGTTAGGACATGGCTGTAGACAGACGTTATATATGGATGTAGACAAATATTAGAATACAGATATAGATAAATGTTAGAATATAGGTGTAGACAGATGTTAATATATAGGTAGAGATAGATGTTAAGATATAGATGTAGACAGGCATTACAAAAAATATGGATAGATATAAATGTTAGAATATGGGTGAAGAGAGATGTTAACACATAGGTAGAGAACAATGTTATAATATGGATGCTAGGATATAGGTGTAGACATACGTTAATATACACATAAAGACCGATGTTAGAATATGAATGTAGATAGATATTAACATAGAAGTATAAAGAGATGTTAGGATATGGGTGTAGATGGATGTAGACTGGTGTTGCTCTGTGAGTGTAGACACATATTAGGATATGGATGTAGACAGATGCTAATATATGGATGTGAGGGCAATCTGGCTGCAACATCTGCCTGCCATTGATCACCAGGGTTGATTCAGCTGATCTGACTGGCTAGGCAGTTGTCCCCTTCCTCCTCACCGCTCCATATGCGTCCCTCCCAAAGCTGCGTGTTCGGTCAAAGAGGATGACCAACCCCAATAGAGGAGGACTGGTCTTCAGTCAAGGGTATACGAATAGCTGCATTCCCCTGCTAGAACCTCCAGACAAGTTCTCAAGGTCCATAGATGCTAATATATGTGATAGACAGATGCTAAGGTGTGCATACAGACAGATGTTAGGATACGTGTGTGTGTAGATGTGACTCTGGGTATAGACAGGTGCTGAGGTCTACATATAGACAGGTATAATTCATCAGTATAGGTAAGATGCTAAGACGTGTGTAGATGTTAAGAGGTGTATAATCAGATATTGGGATAAGCATGTAGATGGATATTAAAGTACAAGTTCCATAGATGTTACATAGATGTTGTCTTAGTCCATTCTGGCTGCTATCACAAAAATACCATATACTAGAGGGTCTTACAAACAAGAAAAATGTACTATTCTCAGTTCCAGAGGCTGGAAGTCTCTGGACTTCCCACTAATGAACTGCATGGTAAGGGCCCATTCCTGAGGGAAGGGCCCTTCTCACACTGTCCTCCCACAGACCAAGGAGAAACAGGCTCCCTCAGGCCCCTTCACCAAGGGCACTGGTCCTGTTCAACGGCTTCACCCTCACAATTTAATTGCTTCCCCCAATGCTCCATCTTTTAATTCCATAGCTTTGGGGGTTACTGTCTCAACATATGAATTTGAGGGATGCATTTAGACAACAGCAGATGTTAAGATATGTGTATCCTGGGAAATGGGTAAAGGTCTCATTGTCATGGAATAAATGGAGAGTAAATATCAACATCTTGTAATACACCAGCTAACAGTGCGCTATGGACTGAACTGCATCCTCCCAATATCCATATGTAGAAGACCAGACTCTCAAGACCTCAGAATATGACTGTATTTGGAGACAGGGCATGTAAAGAGGTGATTAAGATAAAATGTGGTGGTAGAATGCGCCCCAGCCCAACAGGACTGGAGTCCTTCTAAGAGGAGAGGATGAGGACACAGACACACACAGAAGGACAACCATGTAAGGACACAGGGAGAAGATGGCATCTACAAGCCAAGGTGCCTCAAGAGGCACCAGCCCTGCTAACATATTCTTCTCAAAATTCTAGCTTTAAGAATGGTAAAAAAATAAATCAATGTTGTTTAATCCACCCAATCTATGCTACTTTGTTATGGCAGCCCTAACCTACTAACCAACAACACATAGATCTTCAGAGATCACACCCAATTCAGTAACCTGGAACTATCATTAAAAGCCTGGGAATCAACAATAAACTTGCAGACTGCATCCCAAACCTACTGGGAAAAAGCCCTTTTAAAAAGCCCCAAATGAGGTATTCCTAATTACTTGCTTGTGGTAGCTTGCCCAAGGTGCCTTCTCCTTACAAAGGTGTTGATCAGTGGAAGAAAACACAGCAATGAGAGATCAAGGAAGAGGGAGGGGTAGAGATGAAAGTAGGGAACAAAAGATACTGAGGTACGTCTTGTGCATTCAACATCTCAGCACAAATATAAATACAGTTTGGAGAGATATGCATGGATAATGAAAGGTTTGCTCCTAAAGAAGAGGTGGGGGAAATGATGCAAGATGTGGAACTAAGGGTTTTGGGATTTTGTTTGTTTGGGGTGTTTGGGAACAGGTTCTTACTCTATCCACTAGGCTGAAGTGCAATGGTACAATCATGGCTCATGCAGCCTCAACCTCCTGGGCTCAAGCAATTCTCCTACCTCAGCCTCCCAACTAGGACTACAGGTGCATGTCACCACGCCTGGCTTATTTTATTATTATTATTATTATTATTATCATCATTATTATTATTATTTGTACAGACAGGATCTCACTGTGTTGCCCACACTGGTCTTGAACTCCAGGGCTGAAGTGATCCTCCCACCTCGTCCTCCGAAAATGCTGGGATTACAGACGTGAGACACTGTGCCTAACCTGGGCTTTGTTTTTGGAGAGGACCTAGAAGACACCAGCATGCCCATGTTTCCATTAGCACATGAGAGGGCCACCAGCAGACGGCACCCAGAAGAATCGGAAGCATAAAAGACAATCTTAACCATGACCAGGACACATACTGTTATGTTTCATCTGATCATGACACTATCATGGATGCTCCCTTGCAAGGTCATTCCAATGAGTTGCAGCCAGTCGGTGTACAAAGAAAACAAAACAATGCGCAGGAAACCTTTCCTGAGGACAGGGAAGGATGCTCAAGGTCAACCAGATGGGCTTGTCTGCCAGCACAGGCCATTCCACCAAAACAGTGTAGAATGAAGGCAAAGACCCAGGAGACAGCTTACAATGACACAGAGATTAATGCTAGGAAAAGTCATAGGCTGGGCACAGTGGCTCAATGCCTGTCATCCCAGCACTTCGGGAAGCCAAGGCAGGAGGATCACTTGAGGCCAGGTGTTCGAAAGCAGCATAAGCAGCACAGCAAGACCCCATCTCTACAATAAAAGAATCAGCCAGGCATGGTGGCGTCCCAGCAATTCAGGAGGCTGAGGTGGGAGGATCACTTGAGCCCAGGAATTGGAGGCTTGCAATGAGCTATGATCACAACATCACTGCACTTCAACCTGGGTGACAGAGCCAGATCCTATCCCTAAAAGAAAAAAATAAATAAATAAAACAACATGCTACTGTCAATTTTAAATAAACATTTATTTGACTAAACACAATGTTTATATGTATTAGCAAAATATAGGCCTCTTATATAAAAAAGTCTTACCTGATGCACTTTAAAATTTGCAGATTCTGCAAGGATGCTGGAGTTCGGGGACTAATGACCCACAAATACAGGTTGTAGGAATGCCTTCCGCTCTCCACCTTGCTGCTAGATTCCTGCCCCTCAGCAGCTGAGTGGCTGAAGGGAGCTCAGGAAGCTCAGGATTAGAAATTTCTTTTGTTTTTTTTTCCTTCAGTTACTGAAGGCTGTGCACCTGTGTCCCACCTCTCCACTCACTACAGCTCAGCAAGTTCAAAATCTGTGGTCTTGAGGCATAAAGGGATCCAGGGAGAGTATATGAGGAGGGAGAAGTATCTGTTGGAGTGGTTTTGTTGCTTTGTTTTGTTTGTTTGTTTTGAGACACAGTCTCGCTCTGTCACCCAGGCTTGGAGTGCAATGGCATGATCTTGGCTCACTGCAACCTCCGCCTCCTGGGTTCAAGTGATTGTCCTGCCTCAGCCTCCTGAGTAGCTGCGATTACAGGCACATGCCACTAAGACTGGCTAAATTTTGGTATGTAGTGATTGTTTTCTAGAGCAATCTGTTGGAGTTATAAAGACCTACCACATACCCACACTCCTTTCATCTTATAGCTGACATCTCAAGTCATTTTCTCCTAGCTAAATGCCCTATTGTTCTGTTTTGCACCATTATTGGTTGGGCAAGAGTGTTCCTCTCAGCAATACTTCGTGATTAAGCACATGGTATCTCAAACGCATGAGAGTCAAACTGTACTTCTGTGGATGACCTTAGAAGACAACCACAGTTTCACTGTTCTGGTGGGGAAATATTTTCCAAGATCCAAATACTATCGTACTGGTGAACTTTTACAATAAACTTCTGTGTCAGCTCGTGACTTTCTAAATTTCTTCAGGCCACAAAAATGGTCAAGGCAATAACAAGACCGCTGTGTACAACTATTAATGTGGCTGAAGAGAATGGCTGAAATATGCAAGAAAAAGATGCATTCCCTCCCTCATTCCCTCACCCCCCCATTAGTTTGCAACACATTCTTTGGATATATCCTGTATCCTCCCCATTCATCTCTCTCTCTCTCTCTCTCCCTCTCTCTCTCTCCCTCCTATTAGTTTGCAACATATTCTTTGGATATATACTGTATCCTCCCCCATCTATCCCACTCTGGGATAATAATCTGTACAGATCCTCTTAAGAATAATGCATCACCTTGTCACAATGTAGCAGCAGGTCACCTTTCAGGAGCATCAGAGATAATTAACCGTGGTGGGAGATTAGAAGGATTTGGGTAGGTTAGAAGCAAGGAATGAAAGAACTTTGGGGATTATGCAGGCATGTAGAATATGCAAGCCCTGACAATACAAACATCTCAGGTTCGGTCACTTGGCTTGCAGGGGAAGTTGCAATTTCAACCATGGGTAGGATGATCTGTAGAGGAAGAGAGCTAGGGCTTTGTATCAAATGAGAAGAGGAGGGAAGGGACGAGGAGAGGAGGGGAAGGAAGAAGAGGTGGGGAGAGGAGGAGAGAAAGCAGGGGAGAAAAAGTTACTGCACGAGTGGGGAAAACTACTGAGATGTGTAAGGTTGTATGAAAATACATCTGTTCCACAAGTGTCTCAGTAAAATCAACATCAACAAACCACAAGGCTTAAAAAAGTCACCTAATCAGTATATATGAAATGGAGACATCATTTTTACCTATACACTAATGCGGGATCACCCCTCAGCATCTTTAAGAAGCAATAGTTTACACAGAGAGAGGTACCAAGTAAAAACATATTCCTATAAGAAAAAAAAAAATCTAGAAAACTGGGATTCCCTTGCCCTTCCCCAAATCAATAAGATTAAGTAAATAGTATAAGAAAAAAAAAGTTCTCTGAGACATCCTTCCTTCAAATCTTTTATCAGACTTTGCAGGCGAGTGTGGTGGCTCACACCTGTAATCCCAGCACTTTGGGAGACTGAGGCAAGAGGATCACTTGAAACCAAGAGTTTGAAACTAGCCTGGGCAACATAGGGACACTCTGTCTCTGCAAAAAAATAAAAAGATTAGCCGGGTGTGGTTGTGCATGCCTGTAGTCTCAGGTACTTAAGAGGCTGAGGCGGAAGGACTGCCTGAGCCCAGGAGTTGAAGGCTGCAGTGAGCTATGACTGAACCTCTGCACTGCAGCCTCAGTGACAGAGCCAGACCTTATCTGGAAAAAAAAAAAAAAAGACTTTGCTTACATGGACAGAATTTGTGCAGGGCTAGGTCTTACCAAAGGTAAGGAACAAAATATTCAAAGAGATATTGACTTTACTATCTCCAAAAAACATTTACAAAACATAAGTCACCATGTGCAGGGGCTGTGGGATAGGACAGAGTTTAGTGACCACAGGTGATTTCAAATCTGAGTTTGGAAAATTAGAAACCGGTGCATCAGTTCAACGATTCCAGTTAAATGCGGGACTCTTTCCCTGACATCAAGTCTATAAAAGTTCAAAAGCAATAGACGATAAGAGGGTTTATCACGATAGATATGAGAAGCATGTTCAAAACCTAACCCTTACTGTACGTACTAGCCTCAGCAATCAATGAATTCATCAACACATTAATCAGTAACTCACCAGCCACATTCTTTATTGGTTTCCAGATGTTTTGGACAAGGGCCCCTTATGTGCCAAGCAATGTCCTCGGTACACAATATCAGGAAGGGCAGATCTTGTGACTATCATGAGCTTTGCAGGTTTGAGGGGGAACAGACATTACACTGTAAACTTGGAAGGATGCCTGGAGGGGGTCTTGCAAGACCAGGTAGAAGGTGGGGACAGGGAGGCAGGGGGCATCTCTGTCCCCACAGCTGAAGGCCAAAGGAAGACTGGGGAGGGACATAAAAGAAGGCTAGAGGCCAAAGTGCTCCAGCACTTTGTGGGGCCAAGGTGGCAGACCACTTGAGCCCAGGAGCTCAAAACCAGCCTAGGCACAAAGCAAGACCATGTCTCTATAAAAAAAAATTAAAAATTAGGTGGGCCTGAGGTGTACACCTGTACTCCTAGCTACTTGAGAGACTGAGGTAGGAAAATCACTTGTACTCAAGAGTTCAAGATCAGTCTGGACAACACAGCAAGACCCTCAAAATTTAAAAATTAGCCAGGCTTGGTGGTACAGGCCTACAGTCCCAGCTACCTGGGAGGCTGCGGTGGGAGGATAACTTGGGCCCAGGAGAATGAGGCTGCAGTGAACTATGATGGCACCACCGCACTCCATCCTGGGCAACAGAGAAAGGCCCTGTCTTTGCAAAAAAAAAAAAATTAGAGATGGGGTCTCAGTATGATGCCCAGGTTGGTCTCAAACTCCTGGTCTCAAGCAGTTCTCCCACCTCAGCCTCCACAAGTGCTGAGATTACAGGCTTGAGTCACTGCACCCAGCCTATTTTCATGTCAGAAAGGTTTGGGCTGATACAGCAGGAAGGGGTGAGTTCTGCAGAGATCGGAGATCAATGGAGAGAAGGGGAGGGAATTTAGATAAGCTACGGCGGCTTCTGTGAAGACATCATTGATGTAGATGGGCTCTGGAGATGTGTTTGAGAATTGGAAAGGGTCAAGGCATGGTGGTGTGCACCTGTAATCCTAGCTACTTAGGAGGCCGAGGCAGGGGAAACGCTTGAAACCATGAGTTTGAGACCAGCCTGAGCAACATAGTGAGATCCTGTCCCTACAAAAAAAATTTTTTAATTAGCTGGACATAGTGGTGTGCATTTGTGGTCCCAGTTTCTTGGGAGGCTGAGGTGGGAGGATCCCTTGAGCCTAGGAGGTCAAGGATGCAGTGAGACATGACTGTACCACTGCACTTCAGCCTGGATGAGATGGCAAGACCACATCTTTTCAAAAAAAAAAAAATTAAAAGGGCAGGATTCAGGATGAGAGTGAATACAGAGCCAAAGAAAAGGAAATAAAAAATGGTTCCTGGCTGAGCTCCAAGAGCAGAAGGGGCACTTATAAACGGGGAACTGCAAATGAGGAAATGACTAGGGCTGAGGGGCAAGGAGGAAGAGCAGGAACTCATTTTTGGTGGGAGGCACCTGAGCAGAAGGCTCAGAGAGTGGTCAAGTGGGCGCACACATGTAGCTTGGCAGGCTGAAGGGGTGGGCTGGCAGCAGCGCTTGGGAATCTTGAGACCAGCAAGACAGCAAATGCAAATACAGAGAAAGAGGAATGAGAGGGCAGAGGGGCTCCTGTTTTTCCCACTGTGGGGTCCAAGGAAACGTCACCAGGAAGTGCATGCCCACAGGCACACAGCCTTGCTCCTAGGGTCACATGCACCCTCCCATCCTCTCCAACACTGCCTTGCACAGCTGAGCTCCTCTCGAGGAGAAGTGAGGTCACCTCCCCTGCTGCATGCACTGGAAGACCTCCTCCGCACCAGCAGCGCATCCACGGCCACTTTCCTCCACTTCCACACCAACATCTGTTGTTTTCTTACTTTTCTGTTTTTTTCCTAGATAGGGTCTCACTCTGTTGTTGCACAGGCTGGAGTGCAGTGGTGCGATCATAGGTCACTGCAGCCTTCAACTCCTGAGCTCAAGCAATTCTTCCACCTCAGCCTCCTGAAGAACTGTGATTACAGGCATGCAACACCATCCCTCACTATTTCTTTGAGCTTTTTGTAGAGACTGGGTCTCACTATGTTGCCCAGGCTGGTCTAAAACTCCTGGGATCAAGTGATCCTCCTGCCTGGGTCTCTCAAAGTGCTGGGATTATAGGCATGGGCCACCATGTGTGGAATTTTTTGAGTTTTTGTAACAGCCATTCCAATAGATGACTGCATAAAGAAAATTTAGTATATAAAAGCCACAGAAAATACAGTATGTCAACATTGCTATAAAAAAAATCATGTATTTTGTAACGACAGGGATGGAACTGGAAACCACTATCCTAAGTAAAATAACTGAGACACAGAAAGTCAAATACCGCATAGTCTCGCTCAAAAGTGGGAGCTCAACAGTGGGTCCACATGGACATAGAAATGGAAATAACAGATACGGGGACTCCCAAAAGGGGAAGGCTGGGAAGGGGTTGAGGGCTGAGAAATTACCTATCGGGTACAATGTTCACTATTTGGGTAAGGGGTACCCTAGAAGCCCAAAGCTCACCATGACATGATACATCCATGTACCAAAACTCCACGTGTGTCCCTGAATGTCTAAAAATTAACAACAACACAATAATAATACAACTTCTCCTCCTCAAAATACCCCAGAGGGATCTCCAAGAAAACAAGAGACAAAAATGATGCATACTCTAGTGGCATGAGGCCAAACTGCATGGGGCATGCGTGCGCATTGTGTGTGTGCATGCATGCATACATGTGTGCGTGCATGTGTGCATGTGCACATGTGTATGTGTGCATGTGCACGTGTGTGTGCTTGTGTGCATATGTGCTTGTGTGTGCACATGCTTGTGTGTGTGAGGGGGCTTTTTAACACAAAGAACAGTACAGAAGGATCCATACCAGGCTGTGAAATACAGTTACCTGGGAATGAGGGAGGGTAAGTGGAAGACAGGAAAACTTGAGGTAAGCCTCAGAAAAAATATTTAACTAAAAACACTGCATAGGCTCCCTGCAACAGTGGGAAAAGCATTTAATTACAATACTAAAAATGTATCAAGGGGCCAGGGGTGGTGGCTCACGCCTGTAATCCTAGCACTTTAGAAGGCCCAGGTGGGTAGATCACCTGAGGTCAGGAATTCCAGATCAGCCTGGTCAACAAGGTGAAAACCTATATTTACTAAAAATACAAAATGAGCCGGGCATGGTGTTGCATGCTTGTAATCCCAGCTACTAGTAGGATGAGGTGGGAGAATCGCTTGAATCCGGCAGGCAGAGGTTGCAGAGACCCAAGATCACCACTGCACTCCAGCCTGGGTAACAGAGTGAGACCCCATCTCAAAATAATAATAATAATAAATTAAAAAAATGTATTCAAGCAGCTGAAAGCAGGCACTGGAACAGATATTTGCCGAACCTTGTTCATAGCACCATTATTCACTACAGCCAAGAGGTGGAAGGCACCCCAGTGTCCAAGGATGAATGAATGGGTAAACACAACATGCTGTATCCTCTATACGATGGAACGCTACTCGGGCTTAGAAAGGAGGGAAATTCCTTTCTACAGGATGGGGGAATCTGAAGGACATTACAGTAACTGAAAGAAGCCAGTCACAAAAGGACAAATGCCGTATGATTCTGCCTATATAAGGCTCCTAGAATCACCAAATTCATAGAGCAGAGAGTATGCGGGAGGTTACCTGGGCAGGTCTGGAGGGAGGGGCAATAGGGCATGTTTCATGAGGACAGAGTTTCAGTTGGGGAAGATGAAAAGGAGTTCTGGAAACGGATGGGGATGGGGTTGGGGTGGCGGTTGCATAGAAACATGAATGTGCTCCATGTCACTAAACTGTGCATCTTATATATTTTTTTTCTGTTGCCCAGGATAGAGTGCAGTGGCACAAACTCAGCTCATGGCAACCTCTGCCTTGTGGGTTGAAATGGTCCTCCTGCTTCAGCCTCCTGAGTCATGAACCGTACATTTTAAAAATGGTTAAAATGAGGCCAGGCATGGAGGCTCATGCCTGTAATCTCAACCAAGGCAGGAGGACTGCCTGAGGTCAGAAGTTTGAGAACAGCCTGGGCAACAAAGCAAAATCACAACTTTACCAAAAATTAAAAGGTAAACTGGGCATGGTGGCATGAGCCTGTAGTCCTAGCTCTACTTGGGAGCCTGAGGTAGCAGGACTGCTTGAGCCCGGTAGTTGGAGACCAGCCTGTGCAACACAGCAAAACCCCACCTCTACCAAAATTTTAAAAATTAGGCAGGTGTCGAAGTACACACCTGTAAGTCCCAGCTACTTGGGAGGCTGAGGCAGGAGGATCACCTGAGCCCAGGAGGTTGAGGCTGCAGTAAGCTACGATCACACCAGTGCACAGCGGCCTGGGCAACACAGCAAGACCACATTTCTTTAAAAAAAAAGGAAGTTAAAATAGCAAAATTTTATGTGATATATGTTAACAAAATAAACAAATCCTAAAGAACGTATTCCAGCATAGAGAGCAATCTATGAATCTATGAATGGGGGGAAAAGTCAACATGAAGAAAGGATCAATGTCGTCAACAACAACTGAGACAAGGGAGGTTCCCAAGTCCCCTCCGCCTCCTCTCCAGTGACCTCAGCTGAGCAGCTCTGTCCTCATCTTTAGCTGAAAGCAGCATTTTTCCATCTGCGAAGCTGATCTGCTGTCTTTTATTTGCAGGGTCTGTGGGGATGGCTTCTCCTCTAAAGGATTTTTTTGCTTTTGTTTTTGTTTTTATGAACAGGCAAATCAGCCTCACTAATTTGGAGACACCTTACCGTAGAAGTTGGTCCTCCTCTCTCCAGAGCCTGCCATTAAGCTGGGCTTTTGTGGTGAGAAGAAGAAAATGAGCCATCCTCATCCCATCTCCTCCAACATCTATGCCACGTGAGGCTCCAGAACGGCTCTACTTTCCGACCTGGCTGCACTGCAACTAGCCCTTAACCAAGGTGACCTAGCAGCCCTCGGTGGCTCCATCCACCTGTGGCTTCCTCCCTCCAAGGACCCTGCCTCAGGCTCTCTTCTGAGACAGTTGCTGCAGATGTTTTGCCCTCAAAGTTTCCCAAATTGGAATGCACTCTCTCTCCTTGGATCTCCTCACTGTCCAGCAGCCCAAATGCACAGCCAAGCCAGAGCCAGTCCTTCCTCATACCCCAGTCCCCACGGCAGTCTCCTACACATCTGAGCTCACTGCATTCCTGTGTCCACCTCCTGGCTGAACTCAGATTTGAGTTTCTCCTCCATGTCCCTCCTGCCCTGTAGTGACCCATGGCTTGCTTCCGTGTCACTCCCTGTCTAGAATGATTTTCCACCACCCACCCCTTTCAGCCAATAAACCCCTACTCCTCCTGCAAAATTCTCCTTAGGTGTCCACTGCGTCTTCACCCCCTACCTCTTGCCCTCCAGAGGTGTTAAGGCCCCTTTTCCACGTTATCGCTGGGACTCTTCTCACCCTATGCAGTTCTCCTTAGACCAAGGCACTGGAAGGCTTGGCATCAAATGGAAAACTCCATTCAGAAGACACTACAATTGCATTCTCTTGCAAGAATTTAAACCTCCCTTTTCATACATAGAAAAAGGGAATGAAAGTAAAAAATAATAAAAAAGAAAATTATAGATAATAAAATAAGCCTCCCTTTTTGAAGCATCTGCTTTGCCCTTAAATACTAAAAATGCAATGTATCCGTCTCGGACAATCACCTATCTCAATATCTAGCAATCATCAATCACCTATAGCTATCATCTACCTCAATATCTGTCACCTATCAAATATCTGTCTCAGTTATCAATATCTATCCATCCATCAACTATCTATCACAGTGGTTCAGAACTGGGGATAACTTTTTGTCCGCACAGAGGAAACCTGGTAGAATCTAGAGACATCTTTGGTTGTCACAGATGGGATGGATGCTCCTGGCATCTGAAGCCCAGGGATGGTGCTCAACACCCTACAGTACATAGAGCTTCCACCACAGAGAGTCCTCCATGATCCCGCCCCATGTGTCAGCACTGCTGTGGTTGAGAAATTCTCTTTTAGCATGAGAGCTCTGTCTATATGCAATCGGTCATCAATCTATCAATCACCTACCCATCTCAATATCTATCATCTATAGCTATCTATATTAGTATCTATTGTCTATCACCTATCTTAATAGCTATCATCTATCAGCTACCCATCATCTATTCACCTATCCGTCACCTATCATTTAGTCCTATATTAATATATATTATCTACCACCTATCCATCTCAACATATACCTACTATAGTATCCATCTATCATCTCTCTGTTGGTCATGTATAATAGAGGTTCACTAGTGGAGATAACTTTGCCCTCCCTCCTGGAAGGAACATTGGTGACATCTGGAAACATTTCCGGTTTTCAGAACTGGGGTTGCTGCTCCTGGCCCCTGCTGGGGGGAGCCCAAGGATGCTGTTCAACACCCTACAGTGTGCAGGATGGCCCCACCATAGAGACTCATCCAGCTGTAAATGTGAGGTACCTCCACTGAAAATCCTTGCTTTACACCTTCATCAATAAAAAGTCCAACACCTGGAACTGCCAGCAAAAGGTGGAGGCAGGTGGGCACCTTTAGCAAATCCCATCCATTCTGTACTGCCTTGGTGCAAGTCAAGTCAGCATTGCAACGGGGCCACCTAGAACGACAGCACAGCGGGAAGCACCATCTGAAGGGACCAGCAGCCTGGCCTCAGCCATGCTAAGGCACATTCTCTCCCCAGGATGACGATGATTCTAAACTGAATACAGATTCTCCCTCATGGCAGGTAGCAAAATGTATCTGTAGGCCAGGTGCAGTGGCTCACGCCTGTAATCCCAGCACTTTGAGGGGCCAAGGCACGTGGATCACAAGATCAGGAGATCAAGACCATCCGGACTAACACGGTGAAACCCCGTCTCTACTAAAAATACAAAAAACTAGCCAAGCGTGGTGGCGAGTGCCTGTACTCCCAGCTACTTGGGAGGCTAAGGCAGGAGAATGGCGTGAACCCAGGAGGCGGAGCTTGCAGTGAGCCGAGGTCGCACCTCTGCACTCCAGCCTGGGCGACAGAGCGAGACTCCATCTTAAAAGAAAAAAAAAAAGTAACTGTAACGGGCAAAAATGAGCAATTCAAGAAACTACTACGTGAGGGCCGGGTGGGGTGGTTCATGTCTGTAATCCCAGCACTGTGGGAGGCACAGACAGATGAATCACTTGAGTCAGGAGTTCGAAACCAGCCTGGCCAACATGGTGAAACCTGGTCTCTACTAAAAATACAAAATTAGCTGTGCACTGTGGTGAGCACCAATAATCCCAGCTACTCTGGAGGCTGAGGCAAGAGAATTACTTGAACCCTGGAGACAGCGGTTGCAACAAGCCAAGATTGCATCACCGCACTCCAGCCTGGGCGACAGAGTGAGACTCTGTCTCAAAAAAAAAAAAAAAAAAAAAAAAACTACCACGTAGCAAACAGTGACCAGTGACTGTGGTATCTCATCCTTGTTCAGAGAAAGCCTGCAACAACTAGTGAGTGGCAAAGCCAAGTCATTGGGTTCTAGGGCCTGTCCATCCATCCATTCATCCATTCATCTGTCTGCATCATCTACCTATCAATTTACCATCTATCTATACAAACTATCCAACTATCAGTCATGTATGTATTTATGAACACCTATCTATCCATCTGTCTATATCATCTATCTATTAATCTATCATCTGTCCTTATCATCTATTCATCTATCAACCTACCATATATCTATTTATGAATATTTAGCTATCCATCCATTCATCCATCTGTTTATATCATTTATCCATTTATCAATCTATCATCTATCTATATCATCTATCCATTTATCAACCATGTATCTATGAATAATAATTATCTATCATCCATCCATCCATCCATCCACCTTTCATCTCTCTGTTGCACTGGTTTGTAACTACACACAATTTTACCCCCACACCCTCCAGTCTCCCACGTGATATCAGACAACATCTAGAGAACTTTTTGGTTGTCTCGATCTTTCTGGTTGTCACCACTGGGGAAGAGTCCTGCTGCCATCTGGTGGGTAGAGCCCAGGCACATTGCTCAACACCCTACAGTGCACACAGGATGCCCCACCACAGAGAATCACCCACGCCCAGATGTCAGCAGTGCTCAGGTTGAGAAACCCTGTTCTGGATCCAAATGTCAGAAATTCCTGTATGCATCATGGTCATGGTCTCTGGGAGGAGCACAAAACTTTCCCTCTGGGAAAGTGACTTTGCTGGATTTCTTCTGCACCTTGAACACTTAGTTATTTGGCTCTTGTAAGAGTCTGAGATGGCCTTGAGAAATGGAATTATCACTGAACAGAATGTGGTCTTTCATGTACACTACATAAATTCCCTGGTGTCTTTTCAAACTTACAACCTGTAGCTGTTCAAATACCACATGCTGATAATGCCATTTGCAAACCTACCATGTTGTTCAAATGGCACTTTGAACTCCAAACAGTCACTGTTCAACTTGATTCCTGTCATGAGTAGCACTCCATGCGGCTTCCAGAAACGCAAGAAAAACAAGCTCAATGTTTTCCCATAACGTGAGAGCTCTGTCTATTTGCAATCTATCAATCACAAATCCATCTCAATATGTATCTCAATATCTATCATCTATAGCTATCTGTCTGTATTAATATCTATTATCTATCACCTATCTTAATATCTATCTTAATGTTAGCTACCCATCATCTATTCACCTATCAATCACCCATCACTTAGACCTGTCTATCTTAATATCTATTATTTATCACCTATCCATCTCAACATATACCTACGTATCATCTCTCTGTCGATTATCTGTCTATCGCAGTGGTTCACTAGTGGAGATAACTTTGCCCTTCCTCCCCCCAAGGAATACTTGGTGATGTCTGGAGACATTTCTAGTTTTCATAACTGGGGTTGCTGCCCCTGGCATAGGCTGAGCAGAGCCCAGGGACACTCCCCAACACCCTACAGTGTGCAGGGCGTCCCCACCACAGAAACTCATCCAGCCGTAACTGTAAGACACTTCCTTTGAAAGTCCTTGTTTTGTACTTTCATCAAGAAATCCAAGACCTAAAACTGCCAGTAGGGAAGCAGATGTTGAGCCAGGCAACCTACATTTAGAAGAGAAGCTGCACAACTGGGAGGATGAAATTAATTCCTCACAGAGGATCTAGGATTCTCCTCTAAGACATACTCCTCAGCATGCAACATTGGACACCCTCCAGCATCTTATCCATGGGGATACACTGGACACCCTTCAGCGTTTTATCCACGGAGCTAGCCAGATCAAGCATTCTCTCCTGTGTTATATATAGGGAACATCAAGTGCCTGGATGCCCTGGATCAACTTTAATCCACTTCTTAAAGCCACATGGTCTCTCAAGCATTCATGCACAGAAAACACAAAATGCTATAGTGGGTTATCGTAACACTGCAGGGTACTGAAAAATCAATTCTCAGCAAGTCACTACAAGGTCTCATGGGCTAAGTTACTCACCCTCTCCAACTGCATATTGGCTTTTGGATTCTTTTTTTGAGAAAAGGTCTCACTCTGTTGCCCAGGCTGCAGTACAGTGGCACAATCACAGCTCACTGCAACCTCCACCTCCCAGGCTCAAGCGATCCTCACACTTCAGCCTCCCAAGTAGCTGAGACTATAGGCACCCACCACCACACCCAGCTAATTTTTGTACTTTTTGTAGAGACAGGGTCTTGCCATGTTGCCCAGGGTGGTCTCAAACTCCTGGGCACAAGGAATCCTCCTACCTTGGCTTCCTAAAATGCTGACATTATAGGTATGAGTCAATGTGTCCAAGTGGCAAACTTGTTTTCTGTAAATTTTGGAAAAAGTCACCTGTAAATTGCTATCACTGTTAAAAGTCACCTGTAAATTGTTATCACCCTTAAGTCTTTAAAGGCTCATTGTTGACAATCATTTCTCTAGATCCAAAACATTTCACAAGAGCTGCAGATTTCAGAGCCTGCCTTGTTTTCTGCACTATTTCAAAATTGAATAATTTTATTTATTTTTCTCTGGTTTTTTTTTTTTTGAGATGAAGTCTTGCTCTGTCACCCAGGCTGGAATGCAGTGGTGCAATCTCGGCTCACTGCAATGTCTGCCTCCCAAACTTAAGAGATTCTAGCGCCCGAGTCTCCCAAGTAGTTGAGATTACCAACCTGCACCACCACGCCCAGTGAATTTTTCTATTTTTAGCAGAGACAGGGTTTCGCCATGTTGGCCAGGCTAAAATTTCTTTTCATATTTTTGTTAAGAGATGACATTCCACTATGTTGCCCAGGCTGGTCCAGAATTCCTGGTCTCAAGCGATCCTCCCGTCTTGGCCTCCAAAAACGCAGGTATTACAGGTGTGAGCCACTGAGCTCATCCCCAAATCATATAATTCTGAAATGAGCTCCTGCCATGTTTTCCCAAAACACTGAATAAAATCCTCCCAAGAATAATATCGAAAGTGGCCTTAAATTCCGTGTAGACTTTAAATGATGAGGAAAAATTCATGCTTTTTGGCAACACCACCACGCAGACCTGACATACAGCTCACATTCGACTGTAACCAGCACTCGGAGGAGCCGGTGAGCTGTACAGGCAAAGGACAACCCATGAAGCATCCAAACTTTCCACTCAGAAAGCTATCATGGTGCACAGAAATTTCACTCCTTAAGAAACAAAAATAGGCCAGGCACAGTGGCTCGCATCTGTAATCTCAGCATGCTGGAAAGCCAAGGTGGGAAGATCATTTGAGCCCAGGAGTTTGAAACTGGCCTGGCAGCAAAGTGAGACCTCATTTTTATAAAAGACTTTAAAATGAGGCAGGTATGGTGGTACATACCTGTAATCTCAGTACACTGGAAGGCCAAGGCAAGTGGATGGCTTGAGGCCTAAAGTTAAAGCCCAGCCTCGGCAGTATAGCAAGACTCTGTTTATAGAAAAAACCAAAAACATTACCTTCACCAAAGAAGTTGTGAAAAATATATACTTTTTTTTTTAATTAAAAATAACTAAAAACATTAGCAGGGTGTAGTGGTGCATGCCAGTAGTCCCAGCTACTCTGGAGGCTGAGACACGAGGACAGCTTGAGCCTGGGAGATTGGAGCTGCAGTGAGCATTGATTGCTCCAATGAACTCCAGCCTGAGCCACACAGCAAGACCCTGTCTCTAAATTAAGAAATATATATATACTTTTTTATATAAAAAGATAAAAATAAACCAACTTAAATAACTTTGGATAGAATATCTAAAGTCTCTAGGGCTTTATATGAGATTTAAGAAATATAAAAGACCTTACTGATACTAAAATAGAGATACAGACCAATAGAACAGAACAGAGCCCTCAGAAATAATGCCGCATATCTACAACGATCTGATCTTTGACAAACCTGACAAAAACAAGAAGTGGGGAAACGATTCCCTATTTAGTAAATGGTGCTGGCAAAACTGGCTAGCCATATGTAGAAAGCTGAAATTGGATCCCTTCCTTACACCTTATACAAAAATTAATTCAAGATGGATTAAAGACTTAAATGTTAGACCTAAAACCATAAAACCCTAGAAGAAAACCTAGGCAATACCATTCAGGACATAGGCATGGGCAAGGACTTCATGTCTAAAACACCAAAAGCAATGGCAACAAAAGACAAAATTGACAAATGGGATCTAATTAAACTAAAAAGCTTCTGCACAGCAAAAGAAACTATCATCAGAGTGAACAGGCAACCTACAAAATGGGAGAAAATTTTTGCAACCTACCCATCTGACAAAGGGCTAATATCCAGAATCTATAATGAACTCAAACAAATTTACAAGAAAAAAACAAACAGCCCCATCAAAAAGTGGGCAAAGGATATGAACAGACACTTCTCAAAAGAAGACATTTATGCAGCCAAAAGACACATGAAAAAATGCTCATCATCACTGGCCATCAGAGAAATGCAAATCAAAACCACAATGAGATATCATCTCACGCCAGTTAGAGTGGTGATCACTGAAAAGTCAGGAAACAACAGGTGCTGGAGAGGATGTGGAGAAATAGGAACACTTTTACACTGTTGGTGGGACTATAAACTAGTTCAACCATTATGGAGGTCAGTGTGGCGATTCCTCAGGGATCTTGAACTAGAAATACCATTTGACCCAGCCATCCCATTACTGGGTATATACCCAAAGGATTATAAATCATGCTGCTATAAAGACACATGCACACGTATGTTTACTGCGGCACTATTCACAATAGCAAAGACTTGGAACCAACCCAAATGTCCAACAATGCTAGACTGGATAAAGAAAATGTGGCACATATACACCATGGAATACCATGCAGCCATAAAAAATGATGAGTTCATGTCCTTTGTAGGGACATGGATGAAGCTGGAAACCATCATTCTCAGCAAACTATCTCAAGGACAAAAAAACCAAACACCGCATGTTCTCACTCACAGGTGGGAATTGACCAATGAGAACACACGGACACAGGAAGGGGAACATCACACTCTGGGGACTGTTGTGGGCTGGGGGGAGGGGGGAGGGATAGCATTAGGAGATATACCTAATGCTAGATGACAAGTTAATGGGTGCAGCACAGCAACATGGCACATGTATACATATTTAACTAACCTGCACATTGTGCACATGTACCCTAAAACTTAAAAGTATAATTAAAAAAAAGAAGAAAAAAGAACAAAAAAAGAAATATAGAAGACTTTGTTCCTTAATTGAAAGTAGGCAGGCTTGGCACAGTGGCTTACGCCTGTAATCCTAGCACACTGCGAGGCCGAGGTGGGTGGATAATTTGAAGTCACAAGTTCAAGATCTGCCTGGCCAACACAGCAAAACCCCGTCTCTACAAAAAATACAAAAATTAGCTAGGCATGGTGACATGCACCTGGAGTCCCAGCTACTCTACTTGGGATGCTGAGGTAGGAGAATCATTTGAACTCAGGAGGCAGCAGTTGCAGTGAACCGAAATAGCGCCACTGCAGTCCAGCCAGGGTGACAGAGCGAGACTCCAACGAAAAAGAAGAAAGCAGGAACATCAAAATCAGAATCCATGTCCCTGCAGGAATCCACCTTATCTGCTAAGGAAAACAGCTGTTGAACTATCCTGGCTTGAAGAAAGGAGAATTATCTAACTAAAGCTCTGTTTTGCAAGCTCCTCTTTATTTTTTAACTTGTGGGAGCTCAAGAATTCTATCCTAAGGAATTCTCTCACTTGCACACTCCACCCACTCCCATGTCTATGCGATTCTTCTGCGGGATTTTAGATTTTAAAATACCCGTAAGCCCATCCTCTACGCTGCTCTCCTGCACATGCCACCATGCCCAGCTAATTTTTGTATTTTTAGTACAGACAGGGTTTTGCCATGTTGGCCAGGCTGGTCTCTAACTCCTGACCTCACGTGATCCACCTGCCTTGGCCTCCCAAAGTGCTGGGATTACGGGTATGAGCCACTGCGCCCATCCTCTGCATATGATTTTGTTCAGAACTCAGGCCATGTTGGGTCTAGAAAAGGCAGGTGCACTTGTTCCAATACATACGAGGTGCTTCAAGAACATGATGGGAGGCATCCTGTGTCCTGGGGACTACAGGTGAATGAGGGAAAACAAGTGTGTGTTTCTCAGGTGGGGGAAGTGAAGGACAATGATAAAGGCAAAGAAGGAGGCCTGTCAAGGAGGAGTGGCCTAGGAGAAGACCCGTAGTGAGCGTGTAAACAGCACCTTCTACCTTCTACTACAGGGAGGTGCTGGCAGGAAGCCAGTCTGTGAGGATATTGATAGGAAGATGCTGCATCCTGGGGCTTTATATGGGATACTTCAGGAGCTTCCTGAGGATGACTGGAGAGAGACTGGTCATTGCAGAGGTACTTGGGGAGGATCAATGAGGCTATAAGGTGAAGGATGTCTTCAAGGGGAGCAAGGGTGGGAGGGAAAGACCAGATAGGAGGAAGTACAGTGCAGAAAATCACGGTAGAGAGATGGGACCTAGATAAAGCAGAAGATGGGAGGTGGACAAGAGAGGCGTAGTAGCAAGATGGTGGCGAGAGGACATGGGAATTGGATAAAAGGCACCCATAGAGGGAAAAGAGAGACACGAAGGACATCCTCATCTAAGGCACCTGGGTGGAAATGGAATTACCCTGCTGGAATGGCCTGAATTTCTTGTGTCCTCCCAAATCCCTATGTTGGATCCTCACCCACAGGTGATGGTGTTAGGTGGTGTGTCCTTTGGGAGGTCATGAGGGTGGAGTCTCATGAATGGGACGAGTGCCCTTATAAAAGGGACCCCAGAGAGATCCCTCACCCCTTCCACCATGTGAGGACACAGTGAAAAGGTGCCATCTATGAACCAGGAAGCGGGTCCTCGCCAGATACTGAATCCACCGTGTCTTGATCTTGGACTTTCCAGCCTCCAGAACCATGAGGCAAATGTCTGTCATTTGTAAATTACCGAGTCTAAGATCCTTTGTTATAGCAGCCTGAATGGACTAACACACTTACCCTAGGACATAAGACTGCTGTGTACCATCAGCTGGAAGTGTGTGGGCTGCATCTAAACGGGGTATCTCTCATCCACAGTCAACCAGAAACCCAACGAAACCTGAAGCCCAGCCCCGTCCACGTGACTGTGGTCCCTTAAAAACCAACTTAACCAGTTCTGCCGAGAGCTATAGATGCAGAACCCAAGGAGGTGAGGAGACAAAGATTCCTGCATCCTTTTCCGGGCAGAGATACTTCGCTCACCCAGGAGAGGAGCAAGGGGCCTTGGGCACGGACTTCTGAACACAGAGCATTTCTTTTTGGACCTGGTCAGCCATGGAGGTCAGGAGCCCTGGAGGTATTCCAGCTCTAAGATCAGAGGCTGATAAGACCTGACAGGTGGAGACTGCTGTGGCCTAAGGCTTTGCACGCAGGCCATGGTCTCGGCCCACCCAGCTTCTTATAAGAAGAGACACACAGGGGTCTAGGGAGAGTGCGTCGGGAGAGGCCTCAGGAGGGGACTCACAGCCTGATGAGGAACGGGTGGCTGACTTCCTTCAGGACAGACTTCTCATTGTGCACGTGCTGCTCCTGCTTCCGGCGGATGACGTCGGGAATGCTCATCACCTTGAGGGCGAAGAAATGCTTGGCTGTCTTCTCCTTCACCAGGTGCACCCGCCCGAACGTCCCAGTGCCTGGAGAGAGAAGAAATCGACAGAGGTCATTAAGTCTCCTGACAAAGGGAAAAACCACCGCAGCCATGCAATCAGTGGGGGGCTGCACCAGGACAGCAAACACAGACCCCAAGTGAAACTTTCAGAGACTTTGTGTCATGGTGCACGTGGGCTGATGGCATTTAGTGAGAGGCGATCACCTGGAATTTTCCACTGAATACAGAAATTGCAGAGAGAGAAAGAGCGAGAGAGAAGGAGACAGAGAGAGCCATCTGCTTCTTCAATTTGGGGACAAACTGGCCATAATTTCTGCAGATCAGTCTTTGCAGAGAGCACACCCACATATGCCCCACAGGCCCAGATATAGAAGCATTAGAGTAACAGTAAATGTATTTATGTAACATGTCTTTTTCTCTTCAGGCTCTCTGGTTTTATCAGTAATCCAGACAGGGTATAAAACAGGCAGACCTCCTCAACACTGCTCTCTTCTTAAGACACACTAACTTGCTCAAAGCATGGAGTCCATATTCTACAATCTGCCGTGGATTGCGATGAAGTGCTATAGGTACCCACAAACAGAAAGAAAGACAACTGCAACCACTACAAATACAAAAGAAAACCAACAGCTCTACTGTATTCTGCTGGGACATTTTCAATCCAAACACTTTCTTCTCTTCCTTCCCCTCCTCCTCCATCTCTGCCTTCTCTTTTTTCTCTTCCTCAATCTTCTCCTCCTTCTCTTTCACCTCCTCCTCCTCCTCTATTTCCTTTTATTTTCCACTTCCTCCTCCTCCATCTCCTCCTCTTCTCCCTCCTCTTCCTCCCACTGGGGTGCATCTAAATGAAGAAATCT
The DNA here is from genome assembly GCF_000001405.40 of Homo sapiens. Lineage (NCBI taxonomy): Eukaryota > Metazoa > Chordata > Mammalia > Primates > Hominidae > Homo > Homo sapiens. The sequence continues at coordinate 7,303,104 of NC_000024.10, read as the reverse complement.
AACAGTCAATGAGATATAAAAGAAAATCAAAATCTCTATAGTATCTTGGGAGCACTTTTTCAATGTAAACACGCTTTGCTTGTTTCTCCTTCTTTCTCCTCCTCTTCTTCTCTTCATCCTCCTCCTCTTCCTGTAACACATTGATCCTATAAGGTATGCATGTGTTCACATGCATATTGAAATATTCTTCACGTAGCATAAATGTTCTTCAGTTACTGGAATGAATGACTTTACTCTGTCGCCCAAGCTGGAGTACAGTGACACCATCACAGCTCACTGCAGCCTCTGCCTCCTGGGCTCAAGCAATCTTCCCGCCTCAGCCTACCTGGTTAATTTTTGTACTTTTTGTAGAGAAGAGGTTATACTACATTGCTCAGGCTAGGCTTGAACTCCTAGGCTCAAGCGATCCTCCTGCTTCAGCCTCCCAAAGTGCTGGGACTACAGGCATGAGCCACTGCAACTGATGCAGGATTTCTAGAGTATCCCTAAATTGTCTTTGATCTACCTTGATCCCAGAGTCAGCAGCCCCTTACTGACATGCAAGTCAATTCTCAGCAATATTTTTAGACAACCCATTCACAGCTGCAGACAGAGATGAGTAACTAAAACAAAACTGCCCTCCCGTATTATGTGATCACACCCACCCCAAACAGCAGAGGAGGCTTCTCAGAAACTGACTTTCAGAGAAAGGATGGTTTGGAAGTTTATCCTTCTGAGGAACCAACATCTGTTGACGAGCAAACTCACTAATCAATATTGATCCATTTACCTATCCATTCATTGGCTGATACTCCTGTGCCTGCTTTATGCTAGATTGCAAAACCCAAGAGAACTAGGATCTTCCAGACACCTGCACTCCCATGTTTATGGCAGCACTAATCACAACAGCCAAGACGTGGAAACAACCTCAGTGTCCGTCCAAGGGCAAATGGATAAAGAAAACATGGTACATATATACGATGGAATACCATTCAGCCCTAAAAAAAGAAGGAAACTCTGGCATTTGCAGCAACATGGATGGAACTGGAGGCCATTATGTTCAGTGAAATAAGATAGGCACAGAAAAACAAATATTAAATATTGCATGATCTCACTTATACAAGGAATCTGACATGGCTTGGCTGTGTCCCCACCCAAGTCTAATCTTAAAGTGTGGCTCCCATAATCCCCACGTGTTGTGGGAGAGACCAGGTGGGAGGTAACTGAATCATGGGGGTGGGTTTTCCCATGTTGTCCTCCTGATAGTGAATAAGTCTCACGAGATCAGATGTTTTAATAAATGGGAGTTTCCCTGCTCACGCTCTCTTCTTGCCTGCTGCCATGTAAGACGTGACTTTGCTCCTCCTTTTACCTTCTGCCATGACTGTCAGAACCTCTGCAGCCATGTGGAACTGTGAGTCCATTAAACCTCTTTCCTTTATAAATTAACCAGTCTCAGGTATGTCTTTATTAGCAGCATGAGAATGGACTAACGCAGAATCTAAAATAGTCAAACTCATAGAAGTAGAGAGTAGAGAGACAGTTATCAGAAGATAGGCCTTGATAGGGAAGGGGAAATATATTGATTAAAGGATGAGCAACATACATAAACCACGGAGATTGACCATACACCCAGTTCCTACAGTTAACAATACTGAATTGACATGTGAAATTTCATATATAAAAATCTCACATATACAATAGTGAAATTGTATACATGAAAATTTGCTTAGAGGGTGGATCACGTTATGTTGTTTCGTCTATTTTTTTGAGACAGGGTCTCTCTCTGTTGCCCAGGCTGGAGTGCAGTGGTGCAATCATAGCTCACTGCAGCCTTGACCTACCAGGCTCAAGCAATCCTCCCACGTCAGCCCAAGCATTTGGGACTATGGGCTGTGCACCACCAAGGACAGATAATTTTTAAAATTGTGACTGGGAATTTTTTATTGGTTTGAGAAGAAAAAAAAGAACACAACCATACAATGGATTTCCTTCCAAGAGTCTGGAATGCCATTGATTGCACATTGTAACATGAAAAGAATTTTTTAAAGTATTTGCTGTAAACTAAAATCCCCGTGTTGTAAAATATATAAGCTAATGAATGATGAATTTACTAGCTTATAGGGCAACTGGGAAAGGCGGAGAAGCAACCTTTGCTTTTTAAGTAAAGTTTCCAATAACGAATATTTTATTATGGCAGAAATAGAAAGTAAACTCCAAAATAAAGAGAAAGTGTAAGAAGTAAACAATGTCAATAGCTGACAAGTGTTCAATTTTTTAAAAAAAGTAAACAAATAATGAAAATAGTAAATTTTTAAAGTATATTCTCTTGGTTAATTTGGAAATAAAATAGGTTTTATTACTAACAGTGTAACATCCTGTGGACAAAATTAGGTGTAATCAGGTCAAAGACAGGAAGTGGAAGAAGGGCTTTCAGGACTGTGAATTAATAAAATTTAGGTGTTTTTAACTACAGCCACTGATGTTTCAACCGGATAAAACACAATTAGGAATCAGGAACACTGGCATCCAACCCAAGCTTATCCTGCCATTGGACCTATGAAATGGGCAACAGAGCAGCCTTTTAGTCTCCTGTTGCTCTTCTTTCCAACAGAACTTGCATATTATTAGGAAACATTAAATTCTTGCCACACCCTAAAATTCTAATAATGCAATAAATATGGTCCTTGACTTTTCTTCCTCTGTCTGCTTCCTTCCTCCTTATTTATCTTTCTCTATCACCCACTCCAAGAAAACCATTTATTACTTGGCTGTGTTTACCGCATAACATTCTGTCTTCTTAGCACTTGTATTTGACCCTCAATGGAGATAATTCTCCATGCCTACTTTAAGAACAACAGCTATGACTCCACAGATTTTTTACACTTCTGTGACTAAAGCCTTCTCTGAGCTGTGTGAGTTATAAACACACAAAACTCAAAACACGTTATTTATGCACTGCAGCAGATCTTTGTGCTACCCTGGGGTAGATGTGGCCAGTCCCACCAATGCCACAATCAGATTGCAGAAGTATGTCGGTAAACAACCTTATTCAAAGCAGACAGAAGTGGCATGCTGTAATGTTTAAAGTTTATCAGCTTAAGTGCACAGAAGACAAAGGCAACATTTAATGGTGCTGGTAGATTTTCCTGAGGCTCTCCAGTACACATTTGCCAGATAACCATTATCCCACTTGAGTAGAAAATGCCTATTTGTAGCCTTCTCTGCAGCTAAGGGTGGCCATCTGACCCAGCTTTGCCCAATAAGACATAAAAAAAGAGTATTTTCAAGTGTTTCTAGGCAGGTCAGATATTTCCTTCCTGATAAAGAGAGATCTTGAAGGTAAGTGGTCCATTCCCCACCCTAGAGATCCCCTCCATCTCTCTCCAAGCTAAGTAGTAGTGTTACGCACGAGGGAAATCTGATGTGCAGTTTATGTCTTTTCTTTTAATTTTAGTGAGACCGCGTCTGTAGTAAAAATACAAAAATAATTAGCCAGGCGTGGTGGCAGGTACCTGTAATCCCAGCTACTCCAGAGTCTGAGGCATGAGAATCTCTTGAACCTGGCAGGCGGAGGTGGCAGAGCTGAGACTGCACCATTGCACTGCAGCCTGGGCAACAGAAGGAGATTTTGTCTCATAAATAAATAAATAAATAAATACATAAATAAAATCTCTCGGTTCAGAAATCTAAAGAAAAATTAAATTTTAAAATGTACAAAGTGGGGTATGAGAAAGCGCAAAAAACATGTTTCTCACTGTGAAAAGAGATGGGCTTTTCCTCTCTTCCTCAAGCCCAGCAAACCCTAAATCCCTCTTGCCTGTGACTTTGGAGGGAAGGAACGTGGCGGCCAGCAGAAACAGAGGGAAGACAGCAGGCCATTCATACTAAAGAAGTGTCCAGAAAGAGGAGAAACAAGGATTTAAGTTTCTTTGGTTATATTTTTAAATTTTGCTAGAACTCAAAACACTTTAGGAGATCTGTATGGAATAAACACAGGGACCGTGACATGGAATTTCACGCGGTCACAAAACGGAAAAGAAACCAACCAACCCTGAGTACTTTCCCTTGGGGTCCATGGGTATATGGGATGGGGTGAGGAAGGTGACGGGAGAAGGACCGTGTCTCACTGCAGCACATTCCCGGGAGTAGATTCACGGATGATCTCAGACACCAACAGCTGACACCATCTGAGCCCAGTTCTTCCTCTGTGCTGCAAGAGCAACACCGCACAGCTAGCTCGGCCTTTCACAGGTCACCTAAACACAGCCAATCTCCCCTCTCCCTACTTTGTGTGCGTTGAATGGGGTGCCCTGGAAAAGATACGTTGACATCCTAATCCTTGGTACCTGTGAATGGGACCTTAGTTGCAAACAGGGTCTTTGCAGATGTGATTAAGATATACACAAAGGCTGGGCACAGTGGCTCACCCCTGTAATCCCAGCACAGGCATTCGAGACCAGTCTGGGAAAGACAGCAAGACCCCGTCTCCACTTTTTAAAAAAATGAAATTTAAAAAAAAAAAATATATATATATATATATATATATATATATATATATATATGGTAAGGTCATCCTGGAGGCAGTCCAATATGAGTGGTGAAACTAATAAGGAGACACAGACACAGAGGAGAAGGCCACCTGGAGAAAGACACAGAGAGTAGAGTGATGCGGCCACAAGCCCAGGGACACTTGGAGCCCCCAGGAGCTGGGAGAGGCAGGAAGGAGCTTCCCCTGGAGCCTCCAGAAACAACTGGATACAACTGTAGTGGACTGAACTATGGTCTCCCAGAAAGATATGTCCATGTCCTGACCCACAGAACCTGTAAATGAGACCTCATTTGGGAAAAGGGTCTTTGCAGATGTAATTAAGTTAAAGATCTCAAGGTGAGGTCATCCAAAATTGGAGTGGACCCTAAACACAATGACGGGTGTTCCTGTAAGAGAAGAAGAGAAGACACAGGCACAGAGGAGAAGGCCACGTGGAGACGGAGGCAGAGACCGCAGTGATGCGGCCACAAGCTCAGGGACGCCTGGAGCCCCCAGGAGCTGGGAGAGGCAGGAAGGAGCCTCCCCTAGAGCCCGCAGAGGGAGCACAGCCCTGCTGCATCTGCACTTCAGAGTTGTGGTCTCCAGGACTGTGAAACAATTAACTTCTGTTATTTTAAGGCACCCAGTCTGTGGTATGTTACCAAAGCAAATATGCCCAAGGGGTACAAATTCAACCAAATAGTTCCAAATTTAGCCAAGTACATTCCCTAGCAATGCTGCGAGCTCACGGTCAAAGGTATAACTCCACCATCTCTGAGAACCTGAGAGAGGCTTCCAGGGTGGTCTGAACTGTGCAGACCTCAGCAAACAGCAACATCCCAGGAAAGAGTGGGGCTAAGGAGCTACTAATCCCTATTCCTACAAAGGCAGCCTAGACATGTCTGAGCCTTCCCAGGCCGATCACTAAGGAATGTCCACAACACACAGCTGCCCCAAACATGGGAGAAGACAGAAGTCTTCAAAGGAGCCGAGATGAAAAACCAAGTTCAAATTGTAAACTAGGCTGGGCAGGGTGGCTCACGCTTATAAGTCCAGCACTTTGGGAGGCCAAGATGGTGGGATCACTTGAGGCCGGGAGTTCAAGACTTGCCTGGGCAACATAGCGAGATCCCAGCTACAAAAATAAAAACAAAAAATTACCCAGGTGTGGTGGTGCACAGCCGTCGTCCCAACTACTTGGGAGGCTGAGATGGGAGGATTGCCTGAGCCTGGGAGGTCGAGGCTGCAGTGAGCTAAGATCACACCACTGCACTCCAGCCTGGGCAACAGAGCAAGACCCTGTCTCCAGAAAAAAAAAAAAAAAAAAAACCCACCAAAAACAACAACAACAAAAAACAAACAGGAGACTAATGGCTGATATTTTAGTCATCTGTATGTAAATCCCTTCATAATCTCTGCTGATGTAAGAAACACATTTTCATCCAAAAAAAATAAGGTAGTTAAGCAAGAATTTGTTAGGATTGGTCACAGGGAGAGACTACTTTCTGTGTCTCAATCTTTCCCCCTATCAAGTGTTGGTTATTTCTTTTAATCAGTACAAATATTCTGAGGTGCATAAAGATCTGACTTAAGCTGTCGTCTAATTCAGCTTCTGCAGTATTTGCTAGTCTACTGAAAAAAAAATCTAGTGGCTAATAGTAAATGTAAAAAAGAACCTACGAACTATGCTCTGACCTCAATTCATCCTGGAAAGCATTACAGGGCCCTAATTCTGGCAGACTTCTATCTAAATAAAGTATTTTGCTCAGACTACCATAATAACACCACACAGACGAGGGGACTTAAAGAGAACTTTCTTCTCCCACAGGCCTGGAGGATGGAAGTCAGACATCAAGGTGTGGGCAGGGCTGGTTCCCCCTGAGACCTCTCTCATGGCTTGGAGATGCCATCTTCCTGTGTCCTCACCAGGCCATCCTCTGTGTGTGTCTGTGTTCTCGTTTCTGTTTTTATTTATTTATTTTTATTTTTATTATGTGAGATGGAGTCCTCTCTTTGGCTCAGACTGGAGTATAGTGGCACAATCACAGCTCACTGCAACCGCCACTTCCTGGGTTCAAGCAATCCTCTGGCCTCAGACTCCCAAGTAGCTAGGATTACAAGCATGCACCACCACAGCCAGCTAATTTTTTTTTTTTTTTTTTTTTTTTGAGACAAGAGTTTCACTCTGTCACCCAGGCTGGAGTGCAGTGGCACCATCTTGGCTCACTGCAATTTCTGCCTCCCCAGCTGAAGCAATTTTCTCCCTTACCCTCCCAAGTAGCTGGGATTACAGGTGCCCACCACCGCATCTGGGTAATTTTTTTGTATTTTTAGTAGAGACGGGGTTTCACCGTCTTGGCCACGCTGGTCTTGAACTCCTGGCCTCCTGATCCACCCTCCTTGGCCTCCCAAAATGCTGGGATTACAGGCACGAGCCACCATGCCCGGCCTGTTTTTTGTTCTGTTTTTCATTTTCCCTAAACCTCTTGTGTCAGTCTCCTGAGTAGCTGGGACTACAGGTACAAGCCACCACACTCAGCTAATTTTATTTATTTTTTATAGCGACAGGGTCTTGCTGTGTTGCCCAGGGCAGTCTTCAACCCCTGGCCTCAAGCAATCCTCGTGCCTCAGCCTCTCAAAGTGCTGGGATGACAGGCATGAGCCACAATGCCTGTCCTAAAACAATTCTTACACACTTTTCATCTTGGGTCCTTCCTGGGAATAAACTCACCTGAACAGGGGACCTGTTCCTTCGCCCTTCCCTCCTTTCATCGGTTTCCTTCCTACTTTCCTCTCATTCCTTCTTTCCATCCTTCCTGTCTGCTTCTTTCCTTCCTTTTCTTTCCTTCCTACTTTTTCCCTTCCTTCCCTCTCCTTTCCTTCCTTTCTCCCTACTTTCTTCCTTCCTTCCTTCTCTCTTGCTCTCCTTCCTACTTTTTTCCTTCCGCAGCCATCTCACTATTAAGCCTCATTCTAGAGGTGTCATCCCATCAAGATTAAAAGCTGTGTGACTGTGACAAGCCCTCTAACCTCTCTAAAATTCATCTACCAAATAGGGATCACAATATTTACCCCCACTGGGTTTAAGTGAAATAACACACAGAAAGCATATCACACAGAATAATAAACGTAGTAAATGAATGCATCTGTAAGCGTGAAAACATTCAAACATCGGCTTCCCAAATGTCCCATGTGGCAGTGGTTACCCAGCCCTATCCATTTAGCAAGGACTTCTCCCAGTGTGGGTGATTGTGTTGTATGTACATCTGAATAACACTGACCCACCTCCCCAAGATAGGCTAAGAGGAACTTAAAAAAAAAAAGAAAAAGTAAGCAAAACCAGGCTCGGTGGCACATGTCTGTAATCCTAGCACTTTGGGAGGCCAAGGCAGGTGGATCACTGGAGCCCAGGCATTCAAGACCAGCCCAGGCAACATGGCGAAACCCTGTCTCTACAAAAAATTTAAAAATTAGCTGGGCATGGTGGTGCACATCTGTGGTCCCAGTTACGCAGGAGGCTGAGCAGGGAGGATCTCTTGAGCCCAGGAGGTAGAGGCTGCAATAAGTGCCATGACTGCACCACTGCACTCCAGCCTGGGAGACAGAGCAAGACCCCCTCTCAACAACAACAACAAAAAGTAAGCTTCATAGAAACAGAGCTGGTGTGTGTTTCTTCTTATTCTGCGTGGCACTGAATATAGACATTCATGAGGACCTGTGGGCTGAACAGCACAGCTCACCTTCCAGAATCAAGGATCTCACACCAGTAAGTGGGGGCTGAGAGCAAAATCTCCTGCCACAGAGCAATGGACAAGAAGAGGAGTTTGCACTCCCAACTCAGCTCCTTTATTCCAAAAGTCTGATATGTCCAAAACATAAGTCTTAAGATGTCCATTGAAGACACATAGGCAGGTCTGGGTCTCTACTTATGATCCAGAAAGAAAGTGAATGTTTTCTTCTTTTGGTTTTTGTTTTTTTTTTAAGATGGGGTCTCACTCTGTTGCCCAGGCTGGTCTTGAACTCCTGGCTTTAGGCAATCCTCCCACCTCAATGCCCCAAAGTGCTAAGATTGCAAGTGTGAGCCACTACACCTGGCACTGAATATACTTACTTTGTTTGTTTTAAATCTATTATTTGTTAATTATGGTAAGCTATGCACAACATAAAATTTACCATCTTAACAATTTTTAAGTGTACAGATTAGTGGTGTTAAATACATTCATAATGTCATCCATTCCCACCAACACCACCAACCATCTCCATTTGGACTTACTTTTATTTATTTATTTTTAATTAATTAATTAATTAATTTTTTTAGAGACAGGTCTTACTCTGTCCCACAGGCTAGAGCACAGTGATGCAATCTCAGCTTACTGCAGCATAAACTGCTGGGCTCAACCCATCAGCCCGCCTCAGCCTCCCAAGCAGCTGATGCTACAGGCATGCAACACCATGTTTGGCTAATTTTGTTTTTGAGATCTCTTTGTTGCCCAGGATGGTCTCAAATTCCTGGGCTCAAGTGATCCTCCCACCTCAGCCTCCCAAAGTGCTGAGATTACAGGCGTGAGCGATTGCGCCCAGACTTAACTTACTTTTAATTGGAAAAGTCATATACAGGTCCCTAGTAAGCATATTAACTCAGCCAGTAATAAGGTAACATAATGAGAAATTATGTGGTGGGTCAGCAAATGGCTGATGTCAAAGTAACTTGGATAACAAAAAAATCACCATTTTTTTAAAGATGTTTTGAGGATTATACACTTAAAAAGTAAGTTCCTTAATAAATTGTAAATGTCAGTCAACTATAAGAATTCCTAAGCCTCAGCCGGGCACAGTGGCTCACACCTGTAATCCCAGCACTTTGGGAGGCTGAGGCAGGGGAATCACGAGGTCAGGAGATCGAGATCATCCTGGCTAAAATGGCAAAACCCCGTCTCTACTAAAAATCCAAAAAAATAGCCAGATGTGGTGGCGGGTGCCTGTAGTCCCAGCTACTCAGGAGGCTGAGGCAGAAGAAAGGCATGAACCCGGGAGGCAGAGCTTGCAGTGAGCCAAGACTGCGCCACTGCGTACTCTCCAGCCTGGGCAACAGACCAAGACTCCGTCTCAAAAAAAAAAAAAACAAAAACAAAATTCTGCATTTCTTTCCTTAAACTGAGGTGCTTAAAGAACCTTGAACATGGGCATTCCAGGTGCTAACAAAACAGGATGCACCAATTCAATGGGAGAGAGAAGGTGAGGATGGATGAGCCCCAATTCTCCCTAAAATGCAAGAGAAAAAAACCCAAACATTCAATGTTGAGACATCATGGACAGAAATCTTTGCAAGAAGACAGCGTCGCAGTGGCCCTGCAGAGACATCAAGAAGGACAGCATTGTGTTCCTCACAGGCACTCCAAGAGAGGTGGCCATGTGGAAAATGCACTTCAAAAAATGTAAAACCGGCCAGGTGCACTGACTCACGCTTGCAATCCCAACACTTTGGGAGGCCAAGAGGGGTGGATCACCTGAGGTCGGGAGTTAGAAACAAGCCTGACCAACATGGAGAAACCCCATTTCTACTAAAAATACAAAATTAGTCGGGTATGGTGGTGCATGCCTGTAATCCCAGCTACTCAGGAGGCCAAGGCAGGAGAATCGCTTGAACCCGGGAGGCACAGGTTGCAGTGAGCCAAGATCACACTACTGCACTTCAGCCTGGGCAACAAAAGCAAAATTCCGTCTCAAAAAAAAAAAAAAAAGTTACAACCCAGCTGGGTGCCCTGGCTCACACCTGCAGTCTCAGCACTTTGGGAGGCCGAGGCGGGAGGATCATTTGAGGCCAGGAGTTTGAGACCAGCCCAGCCAACATGGTGTAACCCCGTCTCTATGAAAAATACAACAATTAGCTGCACATGGTGCCAGGCACCTGTAATCCCAGCTACTGAGGAGGCTGAGGTGGGAGAATTGCTTAAAGCTAGGAGATGGAGACTGCAATAGGCCAAGATTGCACCACTGCATTCCAGCCTGGGCAACACAGTGAGACTCTGCCTCCAAAAAAAAAAAAAAAGGTAACTCAAGAAGTGGGCACAGCCCCCATCCATCTTGTCTACAGCCTGGGAGGCCAGTACATGCCACATTAGCTTGGGAGGGAACATGCTCTTGTACCACACCTACAGATGGGTGGAGACTGGGAGCAGTGGCTCATGCCTGTAATCCCAGCACTTTAGAAGGCTAAGGCAGAAGAATCACTTGAGCCCAGGAGGTCAAGACTAGGTTGGGCAACATAGCCAGACATCATCTGCACAAAAAAAATTTTTAAATGAGCAGGGTGTGGTGGTATGCATCTGTAGTCCCAGCTACTCATGAGGCAGAGATGGGAGAACTGCTTGAGCCCGGGAGTTGGAGGCTGCAGTGAGTTATGATAGTACCACTGCACTCCAGCCTGGACAACAGGGAACCCCACCTGTTTAAAAAAAAAAAAAAGTGAGGCCCTTCTCCATAAGTGATACTTGCTTCCATATGTAGAAAGGGCTTTGGAGAAATATACAAGACACATTAATATGGTCACCTGGGTGGGAGGAGAGGGCAAATTCTGCACAGGTGAGGCACAAAAACAGAGATGCATTTCACTATATAACTTTCTCACCTTTTAAAATGTGACTATCAAAATATTTCATCTACATAGGTTTATGTTAAATGAAACCGATGCACTGCATTAAATAATTGTTTCAAAGTAATGTTGACAGCAGAATGTATGAATTTAAAACTGTCAAACTCAGTTCCTTTCCTTGACATTTTCCACCCTGCGAAAAATCAGTAAAAGAACATTAAATACTATAATGTATGAAATAAGGGCGTGAAACATATGGAGATGGAGGGTTAATGGCCTGTTTATAAGGTGCTTGGGCAGAGAATGGGCTCAACTGGGCTGCAAGAGGGAGGGTGGAGATGATCACAGCTTAGAACTTAGGCATATAAGCAGTGAGTGCTGATGACCTACGCAAGGTGTACAGGTGCACAGGATCTCTTAAGTTGTTCTGTTTGGGGAAAGAAGGAGACACAGTTCATGTTGAACGCAGTGGACGTACTGAGGTTGAGGGGTGGATTAGGTTGAATGGTGCCCCCCAAAAATATGTCCACATCCTAACCCCTGGTACCTGTGAATAGAGCCTTATTCGAAAATAGGGTCATTGTAGTTTCTATTAAGTAAACAATCTCCAGATGAGGCCATCCTGGATTTAGGGTGGGACCCAAATCCAACAACGAGTGTCCTTCTAAGAGACAAAAGAGAATGAATAAAAAATGGCCAGGCACAGTGGCTTATGCCTGTAATCCCAGCACTTTGCGAGGTCGAGCCATGTGGATCACCTGGAGGACAGGAGTTTGAGACCAGCCTGGGCAACATGGTGAAATCCTGTCTCTACTAAAAATGGAAAAAATAAGCCAGGGGTGGTGGCAGGTGCCTATAATCCCAGCTACTCAGGAGGATGAAGCAGGAGAATCACTTGAACCCAGGAGGTGGATGGTGCAGTGAGTCGAGATGACACCGCTGTACTCCAGCCTGGGCAAAAGATTGAAACGCCATCTCAAATAAATAAATAAAATAAAGACACAGAAGACGAGACAGAGACACAGAAGAGAAGGCCCCATTTGGAGACAGAGGCAGAGACTGGAGTGATGTGGCCAGGAGACCAGGGACACATTTAAGGACACGCTTCTGTCGCAGGTGGCAGCTAACCTGTTTTCTCTGCACTTATTTCTGTGGCTTTTTGGGTAAAGAGGCAACTAGGGATACTGATTACACAGAGGAGGAAGCTGGAGCTCAAACAGCACCAGCAGGGTAACAGAAATTTAAAAAACGCAGAGCTCAATCAGTTTAATAGTCAAAAGCTATGAACACATCAGACTGTGAAACACCAAAATCAGGTGGTGAAACGTGGCGCTGCCCTGAAGACCTTTGAAAGGCAGAACGGATGGGGTTTCCTAAGTTTTCCTCAGTTATGATTCTACTTCTTCTAGGACCCTCTGGCTTGTGACAGTCAAAGCACCAGCTCAGAATCTGTATCAGCATGCAATGCTTCAGGAAAATTCCAGAAACCTAAAATGAGTGGAGAAAAACAAAAGAAAAACCAGAGCAAACTGCAATGAAACTGAAAACAGGAAGTCAACACAGAAACATTAAAGAAACCCAAAGTAGTTTCTTTGCAAAGATTAGTGCAACTGATAAACCGGAATCTGTGCTCAAAATAAAATACTGAACTGTTTAACAATGAACTAAACAAAAGCCTTAACAGATAAAATCACATCCAACAACAATTTCTATTCAACTGTGTAGGGAATATTTTGAGACATTACTGACTTTTTCTATATATTATTTTCTTTTACTTTTTTCTTCTTTTTTCTTTTTCTCCTTCCTTTCTCTTTTCTTTTTTGCTTTTCTTTCTTTTCTTTCATGGTTTCACTCTGTCACCAAGGCTGGAGTGCAATGGCGCAATCATAGCTCACTTCAGCCTCAACCTCCCAGACTCAAGTGATCCTCCCACAGCAGCCTCCCAGGTTGCTGGGACTGCAGCCATGTGCCACCATGCCCGGCTAATTGTTATTTGTTTATTTTTTTTTTGTAAAGATAGGGTTTCACCATGTTGCCAAGGCTAGTCTCGAACCCCTGGTCTCAAGCCCTCCTCCCACCTCGACCTCCCAAAGTGCTGGAATTACAAGTGTCGAGAGACCACGCCCAGCCTGAAAATCAATGAAGTTGACAAGACAGAATTTGTTCTCAAAAGAAAACACTAAACTTTACGGATGAACTAAAAAAAGCTTTAATAAACAAAATCACGCATAACAACTATTCTATTCGTGTCCACGGAATGTTTTGCATCATTACAGATTTCTTTCTATATAAATATATTTTTTTTTCTGTTTTCTTTCTTTTTATATTTTATGTCCGTTTCTTTTTTTCTTTCGTTTCAGAATCGTGCTCTTTTGCTAAGGCTGGAGTGCAGTGGCGCCATCATAGCTCACTGTAGCCTCCAACTCCTAGGTTTAAGTGGTCCTCCTGCCTCAGCCTCCTGAATTGCTAGGACTATAGGTATGAGACCCACCATACACATGGCTAACTTTTTTCTATTTTTGTAAAGACAAGGTCTCACTATGTTGTATAGGCTACTCTAGAACCACTAGCCTCAAATGATTCTCCTTCTTTGACCTCCCAAAGCCCTGGGATTATAGGCATGAGCCACTATGTGTCACTTATTTTCTCTTCTATTTTTATTATTTTGTTGTTGTTGTTGTTGTTGTTGTTGTTGTTAAGAAGGAGTGTTGCTCTGTCCACCCAGACTGGAGTGCAGTGGCACAATCTCAGCTCACTGCAACCTCTGCCTCCCAGATTGAAGCAATTCTCTCACCTCAGCCTCCCAAGTAGCTGGGATTACAGGCACGCACCACCATGCCTGGCTGATTTTTGTATTTTCTTAGTAGAGACGGGTTTCACCATGTTGGCCAGGCTAGTCTCTAACTCCTGCCTCAGCCTCCCAAAGTGCTGGGATTACAGGCACAAGCCACCGTGCCTGGCCTATTTTTTTCTTAAGGTGTGATTGCGAACAGAATCAACAGCCCATGAAGAGGAAATTCTAGACAAGTTGCTTTCTCAACACCCTTTTGATTTCTGGAATCTCATCCAAGCTGGATTTTGCAATCTTTTAAGAATAATTCCCTATGACATTGTCCCAACTATAAGCTAGCTCTGTCAGTGGCATCTGAACCAGAGCAACTCCATCTTGAAGAGGTGTTGGTTAACATGAGGCTGAAGCCTGCTGGGCTGTGTGCCCAGATGGTTAAGGCATTCTAAGTCACGGGATGAGATAGGAGTTCAGCACAAGATGCCGGTCATAAAGAGCTTGCTGATAAAACAGGTTGCGGTAAAGAAGCTGGCCAAATCCCACCCAAACCAAGACGCCGACAAGAGTGACCTCTGGTTGTCCTCACAGCTATACTCCCACCAGCGCCATGACAGTTTACAAATGCCACGGCAACATCAGGAAGTTACCCTATTTGGTCTAAAAAGGGGAGGCATGAATAATTCACCTTTCATTTACCATATAATCAAGAAATAGCCATAAAAATGGGCAACCAGCAGCCCTCGAGGCCGCTCTGCCTATGGAGGAGCCATTCTTTTATTCCTCTACTTTCTCAGTAAACTTGCTTTCACTTTACTCTATGGATTTGCCCTGAATTTTTTCTTGCGCGAGATCCAAGAACCCTCTCTTGGTGTCTGAATCTGGACCCTTTCTGTTAACAGTTCTGTTCCCTCCACTCTGGTCCTCTTATTGCCAAGACTCCAACATAAGCATGCATACCCAAATAAATGCAGGCAGGCTTCACAGAGTTCCCCTCTGCCTGCCCATCCAAAGAGATCCCAGGTGCCCTAAGCATGACAAAGCACTTCTTTCTTCTGTGCCAAGGTTTCTCTGGCCACACCTGTGTGCAACCCCTTTGTTCTGCAAAATGACTCCCAAGGGAACGATTCACCAAGGTGAAAACATCCACCAAATTAGTTGTCAACAATTTTAAAAGAACCCTCCACAGGTTGCCCTCCAAATCTCTTTGATGGGGTACCTCCCCAGTATAACATCCAAAATAACTACCTCGGAGAATAATGTAATGCCCACACACAACGCATGCTAAGTAAATGGTAGCGTGGGTTGCAAGGATCTGTGTGGACTTGTGCAATTTAACAGGAACTGCGTGAGACAACTTCCTTTTTCTATGTCCTGGTGAAAAATTCCAGTGGATTTTTAAACAGGTACGAGGGCATGGAGGCCAGCAGGGAAGACATTGTATAGAAGGAAGGTCTATTTTTCTTTTTTTTTTTTTTAATTGAGGCAGGGTCTCACTCTGTCACACAAGCTAGAGTGCAGTAGCACAATCGCAGCTCACTGAAGCCTCTACCTCCCGAGCTCAAGCAATCCTCCCGTCTCAGCCCCCCGAATAGCTGGGACCACAGGCATGCGTCCCCATGCATGGCTGATTTTTTTCCCCCTTTGTAGCAGTGGGGTCTTCTTATGTTGCCCAGGCTGGTCTCAAACGTCTGGACTCAAGTGATCCTCTCACCCTGGCCTTCCAAAGTGCTGGGATTACACGTGTGAGCCACCGTGCCCAGCCGTATTTTTCAAACATATTAAAGAATGACCAGGGTCTAACCTTGACAGTTCTGGATTAAGCAGGATGGAAAGGCCCAAACTAGTCATATGGACAGTTTTATGTCCTCCTCTCTTCTCTTCTCTCCATCTTATGAGAGAATGAGCTGTGCATTGTGGTGTGTCCCTGTAGTCCCAGCTACCTGGGAGACTGAGGCAGGAGGATCACTTGAGCCCTGTAGTTTGAGGCTGCAGCTGAGCTATTGATTGCACCCCTACTGCACTCCAGCCTGGGCGACAGAGCAACACCTTGTCTCTAAAAAACAAAAAACAAATAAAATCATGATAATCCCTTGACCTGGCCACTCTATCATCTGACAGAAGACATGAAAGGCGGGAAGAACTGCCCAGAGGTGTCCCACAGGAAATTCCTCCGTAGGAAACTCACCATACTGGCAACAGCCTCCCACACTGACAACCTCTGTGTGGTCTCCTTAGACCACAGGAAGGTGGAAGCCATCAGTGCTGGAGGGAGAAGGAATTTCCATCCTCGCACCTGAGTATCCTCTGCAGATCATTTACATCTTCGCTAAAGGTGTTCAGACAGGGTAGGGTGAGTCTCCTGGATGCCTATTCTGCCATCATGGGAGAATTGCTGGGAGGCTTCAAATGCATCTAATGTGTTTTTGGGTGTTTTTGGTTGTTTTTTTTTTTTTTTTTTGAGATGGAGTCTCACTCTATCACCCCAGGTTGGAGTGCAGTGGCACAGACTCGGCTCACTGCAACCTCTATCTCCCGGGTTCAAGTGATTCTCCTGCCTCAGCCTCCTGAGTAGCTGGGATGACAGGCACCCACTACCGTGCCCAGCTAGTTTTTGTATTTTTGGGTACAAACGGGGTTTCGTCATGTTAGCCAGGCTGGTTTCAAACTCCTGACCTCAGGTGATCTGCCCACCTCGGCCTACCAAAGTGCTGGGATTACAGGTGTGAGCCCCCAGGCCTGGCCTCTAATGGCTATTTATCATGTTTTCTCCTACTCAGATCAAATGCAAATGCCAACTGGACTTTCACTTAAGATCCTAATAGGGAAGCAAAATGTCCATCATCCTGTGTTACCCAACACAGCACAGAATCGGAGATGCCAGGAAAACATGCCCACCCGAGAAATGCAACGTGAAAACACTCCAGAAAGGAGGGGCTTCTTAAAAGTATTGGTTGCACTGGTTTCATTCTTTTTGCACAAGGGAACCTTGGAAAAAAAGGGGTCTGCCAAGTTTACCCGCACACACGTGAGTATTACCAAATTCATCCACATGCCCAGGTTTCTGTGCAAACAATCTGCCCTCTAGCACCTGCGTTTCCGTCTTGCTCCTCCAGCAGGATACGAGATTTGCTTCTGGAATTCTAAAGTACATAGGTCAGGCAGAGCGTGGTGGCTCATGCCTGCAATCCCAGCACTTTGGGAGGCTAAACTGGGAGGATCACTTGAGGACAAGAGCTCAAGACCAGCCTGGGCAACATGACAAGACTCTATCTCTACAAAAAAAAATCAAAACAATAGCCTGGCGTGGTGATGCACACCTGCAGTCCCAGCTACTCAGGAGGCTGAGGTGAGAGGATCCCTTGAGCCTGGGACGTCAATGCTGCAGTGATACCACATCACTGCACTCCAGCCTGGGTGTCCAAGTGAGACCCTGTCCAAAAAAAAAGGAGTGAGATAATGCCGTATTTGTCTCTCTGTGCCTGGCTTATTTCTCAGAGCATAATGACCTCCAGTTGCATCCACATTGTTGCAAATGACAGGACTTTATTGTTTTTACAGGCTGAATAGTACACCATTGTGTACAGACCATATTTTCTTCACCCACTCATCCGCTGACAGACACAGGGGTTGTTGACCTATCTTGGTTATTGTGTGACTCAGGCTGCAGTGAACCTGAAAGTGCAGGTATCTCTTCATTGCATGTGAGTTTAAGCCACTGTATTTGTGGTCCTTCATTCCAGCAGCCATGCAAGACTAAGACAGTGTGAAGGAACATGAGAGAGATTGCAGAAGTCAACCAACAAGGGGGATCTTCTAAGAAGCCAGCTTTAACTGGGGTGACACTACAATATTGCTTTAGGAGAAGTTCCAATGTATCCCTAGATGCATTACAATTTTCACAGGGGCAATGATCTGAATTATGTGCCCCAAAAAATCATATATCAATGCCCTCATCCCCAGACTTTAGCATGTGACTGTTTGGAAATGCTGTCCTTGAGGAGTTAATTAAGGTAGAATGAAGTCATTAGGGTGGACCCTGACCCAATAGGACTGGTATCCTAGTAAGAAGAGGAAGCTGGGTGCAGTGGTTCATACCTGTAATCGCAGCACTTTGGGAGGCTGAGGCAGGAGGATTTCTTGAGGCCAGGATTTGAGACCAGCCTAGGCAACATTGGGAGACTCCATCTCTAGGAAAAATATATATACAAAAGCTGAGCATGGTGGTGCACACCTGTGGTCCCAGCTATTCAAGAGGCTGAGGTGGGAGCGTTGCTTTGGGCCCAGGAAGCCAAGGCTGCAGTGAGCTATGATAGCACCACTGAACTCTGGGCTGGGCCAGAGCAAAATCCTGTCTCTAAAAAAATAAAAATTAAAAAAGAGGAGATAAGGACACAAAGGCGAATGGAGGGATGGCCCTGTGAGGACACAGGGAGAAGATAGCATCTACAAGCCCAAGAGAGAGGCCTTAGGAGGAACCAGGCCTGCCCACACCTTGATCTCAGACTTCCAGCCTCCAGGACTGTGGGAAAATTAATTTCTATTAAATAAGTCACTCAGTCTGTGGTATTTTGTTATGACAGTCAGAGCAAACTAATACAGTTACACCCTACATTCATTCTCGAAGGGGCTCCTGTGGCTTCCATCTCCAAAACAGAACAAGAAGACCAAGAATCCCACCACTCATGATCTCAATGGTGAAACCCCGTCTCTACCAAAAAGACAAAAATTAGCCGGGTGTGGTGGCAGGCATCTGTAGTCCCTGCTGCTCAGGAGACTGAGGTAGGAGAATCACTTGAACTGGGGGGTGGAGGTTGGAGTGAGCTGAGATCACGCCACTACACTCCAGCCTGGGCGACAGAGCTAGACTCGATAACAAAAAAAAAAAGTCTGCCACCATGCTCTGCAAGACCTGGCCACCAGTAGCGTCAAACTCTGTCTCTTTCCTTGCACAGTCCTGGGATTACAGGCTCGAGCCACCAGCTTCCTCTTTATCTTCTTTCCCATCAAGGTGAAATTCACTATAACATAAAATGAATCATTTTAAAATTGACCATCTAGTGACATTTAGCATATTCACAGTGTTGTACAACTGTCATCTCAATCTAGTTCCAAAATATGTTTATCGCCCCCAAAGGAGACTGGATATTCTATTCAGCAGTCCTCCCCATTTCCCCTCCCAGCTGTCTCCCTGAGCCACTGGGTTGGCTTTCTCCATCTCTCGGGATCTGTGTGTTCTATGTTCCTCTTCATGTTAAAATTTCTTCCTCTTCTTCAGTTTCCATCTCCAAGGAGATGAGCAACACGTGGGAGGCAAGGTAAGGAGACCCAGGGCCAGTAGTTTCTTGTTCAAGAGGATGGGGGAAATGCAGATCCCTGGAAAAGAAGACTTCAAAAGAGGCCAGAAACAAGAGGAATAATGCTGAGAAAATATAGCATGAAAAAGTGGAAGAGAACAGAACAGAAAAGCAGAGATGTTCAGTCTGCATGAAAGAGGTAATGATGGATCATCTCATCACAGCTGCCTTTCCATGGACCCTGCTGCATGGGGTGAATAGAGCCCCATCTAAATCCATTTGGGCTGCCATCACAAAACACAGTAGACCAAGGCTTAGAAACAATAGACATTTACTGCTGTCAGTCCTGGAGGCTGGAAGTCCAAGATGAAGGTGTGGAAGATTCAGCATCTGGCAGAGACCAGCTTCCTAATTAACAGTGCTATCTTGCTGTGTCCTCATATAGTGGAAGGGGCGAGGGAGCTCCCTGGGGTCCCTTTTATAAAGACACTGATCCCATTCATGAGGACCCACCCTCATGACCTCATCACCTCCTAAAAGCCCTACCTGCTAATATCATCATCTTGGGGACTAGGGTGTCGACATAAGAATCTTGGGGTGGGGGACACAAATATGATGATGGTGGCCCCAAACCTGGTTTTGAGTCTGGACCCACCACAGTAAACGACCACAGGGAGGCAACCTACAGAAACGGCAGAGGGAACCCGTCACACAGAAGAAACAACGGTTCCACCTTCTTACCAGGAAGCTGGCTTAACAGGAAGCTTCTAACCACAGACTTTTCTAACAGGGAAAACTCGGTCACAATTCCAGACAAAGCAAAGCACTTTCAGCTTTTTGGAAGGACTGCCTTGGGGCTTTCTCTGTATTTCCCCCAAGGTTTTTTGTTTGTTTGTTTGTTTGTTTTAAACAACCACAATGCCACCAACATTACCACCTTTTTGAAAGATTCTCTCTCTCTTTTTTCTTTTCAACTTTACATACGCAATTTCATGCTGGAGAGAAGAGGAAACTGATGGATAGAAAAGGTTTATTTTTTGGAGACCTACAGTGTGCCAGGCACTGTGTAATCATCTCCCTTGATACTTCCTTTTATTTTTGACATAGGCTCTTACTCTGTTGCCCAGGCTGGAGCACGGTGGCACCATCATGACTCCTGCAGTCTCCACCTCCTGGGCTCAAGTAATCCTCCTGCCTCAGCCTCCCTAGCAGTTGGGACTACATACAAGCCCATGCCACCACACTCAGCTACTTTAAAAAATTTTTTTTGGCCAGACGTGGTGGCTCATGCCTATAATCCCAGCAGTTTGGGACGTTAAGGCAGGTGGATCACAAGGCCAGGAGTTCAAGACCAGCCTGGCCAAAATGGTGAAACCACATCTCTATAAAAACTACAAAAATTAGCCAGGCACAGTGGCAGGAGCCTGTAATCCCAGCTACTTGGGAGGCTGAGGCAGGAGAATCGCTTGAACCTAGGTGGCAGAGGTTGCAGTGAGCAGAGATTGCAGCACTGCACTCTAGCCTGGGTGACAAAGTGAGACTGTCTCAAAAAAAAAAAAATTTTTTTTTTGAGATGGGGTATTACTATATTGCCCAGACAGATACTGAGCTCCTGGGCTCAAGAGATCCTCCCACCTCAGCGTCCTAAAGTGCTGGGATTACAGGCATGAGCCTCCACACCTGGCTTCCCATGAATTTTTATTTTTTTGAGACAAGGTCTCTGTCACCCAGACTGCAGTGCAGTACCAAGATCTCAGCCCACTGCAGCCTCAACCTCCTGGGCTCACGATTGTCATGCCTTCACCCTCCTTTGATTTTCACAAACCATGTCTCTTCCTGGTGGGGAGTGTCTGCTGCTTTCGAGAGTTTAACATCTCCCTTCTTTGCAGCGTGCCTATGAACTGCAGATGACATTGCTTTTGTCGTCTGATCCAGTGTGCATGCCCTACATTCCCAGGGAGGAGGCAGCGTGCTGCAGGCGAAACCTACTGCCACATAGCATCCCTTCTCTCAGACCCTCTTTCCATTAAGAAGACTACAAGCACGGTGGACACACCTGTAATCCCAGCTACTTCCGTGGCTGAGGTGGGAGGATCACTTGAGCACAGGAGTTCGAGACCAGCTTGGGCAACATAGCCATACCCAACTCTATAAAAATAAATAAATAAATTAGTTGAGTGTGGCAGTGCACATCTGTAGTTCCAGCTACTTGGGAGGCTGAAGTGGGAGGATCACTTGACCCAGGGAAGTGGAGGCTGCAGTGAGCTATGGCTGTAATACTACACCCTAGCCTTCACTACAGAGTGAAACTCTTGTCTTTAAAAAAAAAAAAAAAAAAAGAGGCAGCCGGGCGCGGTGGCTCACGCCTGTAATCCCAGCACTTTGGTAGGCCAAGGCAGGTGGATCATGAGGTCAGGAGATCGACACCATCCCAGCTAACACGGTAAAACCCAGTCTCTACTAAAAATACAAAAAATTAGCCGGGCATGGTGGTGGGCGCCTGTAGTCCCAGCTACTCGGGAGGCTGAGGCAAGAGAACAGCGTGAACCCGGGAGGCGGAGCTTGCAGTGAGCCAAGATTGCACCAATGTACTCCAGCCTGGGCGACAGAGCAAGACTCCGTCTCAAAAAAAAAAAAAGAAAAAAGAAAATAATGTTAATATTGTCATGGTGGAACTTCTGCCCATAAACTAATGTACATATTGTACCCGTCCAGTACTTGGCATCAGTGAGTGTCATAAAGAACAACTGCCGATAATGCCATCATCCATTCATTTATTTATTCACACACAGAGTGACCAGCTTGTCCCTGTCTCTGCCTGGGACTTTCCCAGCTAGCATTGAAGGTTTCCCACCTCAGGAAATCCCAGGCATATGAGGAGGGTTGATTTCTCTATTCATGCAGTGGATGGTCTTGGGCACACACTAAGTGCCGGGTCTGTTCTTTGGATGTGGGAGATGAAAGCGACTCCAACACACAGAGGTCCCTGCACTCTTGGCATTTATGTGCCAGCAGCGGAGGCAGGCGGAATGCTTGAGCCCAGGGGTTCAAGACTAGCCTGGGCAACACAGCGAGACCCTGTCTCTTTTATTTAAAATAAGTCCTGCACATGTATCTTAATTTAACTTAAATTTAATTTAACATGTATTTTAATTTAACTTAAATTAAAAAAATAAAATGAAATAAACAATGAAGAGGAGAAACCGGCAGGACTTCTATCCTTGGAAATGTTCTCTGACGTGTAATATTTGATCTCATCTCTTGGCATTTGCATGATGCACTTAAAGGAAACTGTCATTCACACATGCATGAGCCTGTCTCACACGGAGCACCCACACAAGATAAATAAGATCAAAGGGCTGAGCTCCACTTTCTGTGTATTGTTAGGCTACAAACAACACTCCTAATTGCTATGTCAACACTGCCCACAAGGCTGCTGATTTATGCACACAGTAGAATCTCACCAGTTCAGATGCCATTCGTCCCGGCAGCATGCTGTGTGGGGATGCCGTGGACTCAATGTCTGTGTCCCCCTAAAATTCCTGTGTTGAAATCCTCACCTGCAAGGTAATGGTGTCAGGAGGTGAGGCCCTAGGGAGGTGATGAGGTCGTGAGGTTGGAGCCTCATGAATGGGATCACTGCCCTTATAAAGGGACCCCAGAGGGCTCCCTCACCCCTTCCACCATGTGAGGACACAGCGAGAAGGCACCATCTATGAACCAGGAAGCAGGTCCCCACCAGACACCAAATCTGCCATGCCTTCATCTTGGACCTCCAGCCTCCAGAATTGTGAACAATAATAAATGTCTGTGGTTTGCTACTCTGGAGGCTGAGGCAGGAGAATAGTGTGAACCCAGGAGGCGGAGTTTGCAGTGAGCCTAGATTGCACGACTACACTCCAGCCTGGGTGACAGAGCAAGACTCTGTCTCAAAAAAAAAAAAAAAAAGCCACCCAGTCGGTGGTATTTTGCTACAACAGCCTGAATGAACTATCTTAAGGCATTAATAAGACCCAGCAACGAGGAGAGCAAAGGAAAATTCTGGCCAATTTAGGAGAACCAATATGAGATATGGCAAGGTTTCTCTTCAAACAGCCTGCTCAACCTTTTATTCTTTAATTCCCAGTATCCACCCCTGCATCTCTTTCTTCTCCTTTTCTTCTTTCTGACTTTACTACATGCCCAGGCATGCCACAGCACCAGTGGCATTATCAGCACCAGCTCACCCTCCTTCCTTTATTTGGGAAAAGACTGGCTTTCTAGTTCGCCACAGACGACCCCTCCCTCCTCTCTCCTCTCTCCAATCATGTGTCCACCTTATCATTAAAGAACGTTGAAATGTTTAGCCAGTCGGGTCTATTTTAGATTGTGCAGTCTGACCCCAGCCAATGGGGAAAGGACACAGGGGCAGGAGTTGCCTTAGGAATAAAAACTTCTACTCTCCTTTGTTCAGGGTGCTCTTGGGGCAACCAGCCACACAGGAGGCACCCTTCTGTGCAGAAATACATTTTTTTTGCTGAGAAATCCTTTCTCTAAGGGCTCGATTTTCCTTGCAACTCCAAGCCTTATTTCTAAAAACCAAGGACAGAATTAAAAACTACCAGTACAAGCGCTTTAGATTTCAGAACCATGCATCATTAATTATGAAGATCTCCTAGCTCTTAAGAATATAAAATATTTTCAGATGGTATATCATGTGAAAGTTACAAAAAAAAATGTGTTGAGGAAGACAGAGGGGTCTGCGGTGAGGGAATTCATCCTGTACCATGGTTTGGAGGGTGGTAGCTGCCAAATCCACACACTGGGTAAAACTGCACAGAACTCTACACACACACTCGCAAACACAAATGAGCACCTTTTGAAAACTAGTAAAAGGCTGAACAAGCCAGGCACGATGGCTCATGCCTGTATACAATCCCAGCACTTTGGGAGGCCGAGGTGGGAGGATCACTTGAGGCACCAGGAGATCAAGACCTAAGCAACATAACAAGACTCTACCTCTACAAAACATACAAAAATTAGCTGGGTATGGTGGTGCATGCCTGTAGTTCCAGCTACTTGGGAGGCTGAGGTGGGAGGATCACTTGCACCCAGGAGTTCAAGGCTGGGGTGAGCCGAGCTCGCACCACTGTACTCCAGACTGGGCAACAGAGTGAGACCATGTCTCAAAAAAAAAAAAAAAAAACAAGCTGAATGAGGTATGTGTTCTCTTTAATAGGGATATACCAACATCAATGACTTGGTTCTGATATTGTCCCATGGATATGAAGACGTCACCAAAGAGAAGCTGGCTGAAGGGTCTGTGAGACTCCAGGTACTGTTTTTGAAATCTCCTGTGAGCCTGTATTTCAAAATACGTATATTTTAGTACGGGTCCAGGAACTTTGGAGTCTTCCTCATAGTAACCGTGTAGGACAGGTACTGTTATTACTTCCCTTTTTTTCAGATGAGTAAATGTAGAACTAGGTTAAGAAAAGGAAGATGAAATGTGGACCCAAATCCTGGCCACTGGTTTACCTGCTGAATTACCTCCTTCCTGACAGGCTAACATGGGGGATACCCATGAGAAACAAGCACTGGGTTATAGATGCCAAATGATTCAATAAGGACACTTTTGGAATAAAACCTAAGTTTTTTGGGGTCTTTTTTTTTTTTTTTTTGAGATGGAGTCTTGCTCTGTTGCCCAAGCTGGAATGCGGTGGTGTGATTTTGGCTCACTGTAACCTCAGACTCCCTGGTTGAAGGAATTTTCCTGTCTCAGCCTCCCATGTAGCTGGGATTAAAAGCTCACGACACCATACCCAACTAATTTTTGTATTTTTAGTAGAGACGGGATTTCACCTTGTTGTCCAGGATGGTCTCGATCTCCTGACCTCGTGATCTGCCCACCTCAGCCTCCCAAAGTGCTGAGACTACAGGCATGAACCACCGTGCCTGGCCAAACCTAAGTATTTTTTATCTGATATACAGAGAAAGCAATTCTCAAACAGTCATTTTAAGTGGGAAGATTGGTAAAATAAGGCTGGTGGATTGCTGCACAGAGAGACATCCTCTTCTGTCTACGTAGTGTTAAGTTTTTCACTTCCATAAATTATTTTATTTTATCTTATTTTATTTCATTTTATTTTTTACACAGGTCTCACTTTATTTTATTTTATTTTATTTTATTTATTTTATTTTTTAGACAGAGGGTCTCGCTCTATCACCCAGGCTGGAGTAGAGTAGCATGACTATGGTTGACTACAGCCTTGACCTCCTGGGCTCAAGTGATCCTCTTGCCTCAGCTTCCCAGGTAACTAACAGCACAGGTATGCGCCAACATGCCCAACTACCTATTATTACTATTTTTTTTTAAGAGATGAGGGTCGCGCTGTATTGCCTAGGCTAGTCTAGAACTCCTGGCGTCAAGCCATCCTCCCACTGCAACTTCCCAAATACCTGGGACTACAGGCACGCCCCACTGTACCTGGCCCAGATTTTCCTTTTTTAAAGCACAATTGTTCTCCCTCATAGGAACAAGCACGGCTTGGTTATATAAACAAGAAATTTAAAGAACCAGACTGAAACCCATTTTTTCTCTGAGGAGTCGTATGGCTGTTCTGATCCAAAGTTCCTAAAACTATTAAATCAGCCTTTAAACCAGACGTACTACAGAATCCCTTCATGCACAAAAAAGAAAAAAAAATCCATTATCAGATTTTTCACAATTGCAAACTGCACTCTTTCTTCCTAACTACCTGAACTTGAGGAAAACTGGTCTATCTAGAACACTGACAGTTTCCTTTTTTTTTTTTCCTCCATTGCCCAGGCTGCAGTGCAATGGTGTGATCTTGGCTCACTGCAACCTCTGCCTCCTGGGTGGAAGCAATTCCTCTGCCTCAGCCTCCTGAGAAGCTGGGATTACAAGCGCCTGCCACCACGCCTGGCTAATTTTTGTATTTTTTCAGTAGAGATGGGGTTTTGCCACGTTGACCAGGCTGGTCTCGAACTCCTGAGCGCAAGTGATCCGCCTGCCTCGGCATCCCAAAGTGCTGGGACTACCAGCATGAGCCACCACGTCCAGCCTGTGATTGGCTTTAAGTCATAGAAAAGAGGATTGCTCAACTGGAAATCTGCATACAGATCCCCTCCACCCACCCCCCAAAAAGTTCAGTACTTCTGGGGATGCTTGTTTGGGGCCTGAGAGAATTAGGAAGGAGGGGGAAAGAGCGCTTAAAGGCAAACTTATGTTCCAGCGGTGACAGTTTAGGATGAAGAGGGGTCACACCCACACAGACTGGGTTTCAACTCCAGACTGAGACTCAAGCTCGCCCCTCACTCTTCTCCATCACGCCTTGTAAAAGAGTCCAAAGCTGCTGTAAATTGTGGCTCAGAGAGACAATCGTGAAGACTCTAAAACCCTTGGGTTTTTTAGAATTTATTCTACTACTTTTAGGTGAATCACAGTCACATTGCTCTTTAACCAACAACAAAGAAAGGGGCTTGGATAAAATGCTGCAGATAATGTCACCAAAGCTGTGAAGTTGTCATGAGAGAGTGTTCCAGACACACACACACACACACACACACACACACCCTGGGTCCTGGTCTCCTGTTGCCCAATTAGTGTAGGATACCTAGCTCTCCTGTCACATCGTTGGAGCTCACAGGAAGTTATCCTTGAGAAAGCAGCATCATCCTCATTAAGAGAGCACTGACTGGACTGAAAAAAAAAGCTGACCTCCCTGCCCAGCCAGCTTGGTCCCTAGAGACAACGACAATCTATTTTTAAAAATGAGGTTACCCGCTTGGTACCCTAAGCTGACTTGATGTCAAACTGAGTGGCCCCCTGTCACACGAGAGCTCCTCACCTCTGCCGCCCTCCTGCCCGCATCCTGCTCTCTGCCCCGGCCTCCAGCCCCAGCTCCACGTTTCCCAACGGACCCATGTGGGTGCCCCAAAGAATGACAAACTCTGGTGCTGAGTGCCAAGGAACGGCTGGACCTCATCAATTTTCCACTGCCGAGCTGTATTTCCACCTACTGTGGCGGCTGAACCAGTCAGGGTTCCTGCCCCACCCTTCTTCCCCGCAAAACACACCCAGCTCTAAGATTAGACCAGGACAGCTTTCCATGGGGGACCAGAAGAAGAGGGAAAGCAGAGAGAAGGCAGGGAGACAGAGAGACCAAGACAGTAAGGGAACAGACAGAAAGACTGAGAGAGACAGAGGAGAAGAAATGCAGATACACGAACAGGGTCACAGAAAGAGAAACAGAGAAAGAGAGAATGAGATAGGAGGAGGGAGGGAGCGCAGAAACAAAGAGGGCCTCGTCCCACACTGTCCTTCCAAACTCAGGCTTTCCTCGTGGGCCCTTCCCTCAAGGTCTAAGTGGCAAAGAGGTCACTGAAGGAAGCTAAGTCCTCTCTTCCTCAGCGGTTCTGAAGGCCCTCTGGCTATGCCCGCTGGTCTTCCTAAGCCCTAAGGTGTGACCTTAAGCCCTTGGGCTTCCCAGCCCAGCTTCCTCCTTTCCAAAATGAGAGGACAAACAGGAGTTAAGAGGGTTTGAGAGCCCCCGCCCCACCAACACACCCAAGACACCCCCCTCCGCTCTCCCATTTATTTTCTTGACAACCAACACCCCACTTAGCCATACAGAGTCCCTAAGAAGCACAGGCGGGCCGGTGACAACTGTTTAAATCCAGCGCCCACATGCCGCTGGGATATTCTGACCCACTCTGGGCTGCCCCCATAAACCAGCGCGTGTCCGGATCCAAACGCACTGTGAACTCGAAACCTCTGTCAAGCTGCCCATTCGAGGTTAAGTTCAAAGACAGACGACAAAGGAAACGGATAAAGCGTCCAATACAAGAATTACCCATTTCAGACGCACAAGACGAAGAGCACAGGCGGTGTCAGGACATGTTAGGATCCGTCCCCAACTCCGCCGTCTTCATCCCCACAAAGCCACGAACAACTGTCCCCCGGAGCCCAGCTGCTCCTGCAGCCCATGGAGAAATCTGTACATTCCCCGCCAAGGACCCTGCCGCTGGGCACACGGGGAGGCTGGCCTGAGGGACCCCGCGCCCGTGTCCCTGGGGCCGCTGCCTGGGAGAGCGCACGAGGTACTCTAGGCGAGATGTCCTACAGGAAGTTTTGTGACGTCGGACGGCCCAGGCCCCAGAGTGCTGTGTGTTCTGGGGATACAGAGTGGTCTTCCAGAGGAGCCCTCGGCGTTCCAGGGAAGGCCCCCAGCCAGTCCGGGGGACTCGCCGGGGCTGGAGGGTGCGCTCCAGTTCTCCGAGAGGCCCCCGGGGAGACCCAGGGCGCAAGGGCAGCCCCGCGCGGGGATCCCGCTGCAGGGCCCTCCCCAGGAAGCGGGCACCCGGGGCCCTTTGTCCTACTACGGGGTCCCGGCCGCGCCGCGAGCCCCTGTGGGCCGAGTTCCCGCGCGCACTCACTCACCCATGGTGACCAGCGCGTCGCAGTCCTGCAGGCGGTAGGCAGGCGCCTCCGGCGACCGCGCCTCGGGGCTGGGGCAGAGCGCGGGCGCCCAGTCGGCGGCATCCTCCGTCACCTCTCGGGAGTTGCTCTCCGCCGCGGCCGCCTGGGCCGGCCCGGGCGCCTCCATGGGGAGGCACTCAGGTCCGGGGCGCCGGGCCAGGCCGGAGCGCTCGGGAAGCCGGACTCCCCGGGACGCAGCCTCGGAGGGCGGCGCGGCAGCCGCGGCAGCATCAACGGAGGCTCCCCATGCGCGCCCTCGCCTCTGGGTGCGCGGCTCGGCACGGCTGACGGAGACACAGAGACAATGGCTGGGCGGTGCTCACGGCACTAGCAGCAATAGCCCCGGGAGGGAGCAGCCGCTGGCCTCGCGGGGCGTGCACCGAGTGCTGGATGGCTGCGAGGAAGGCGGGGGCCCCAAGCATTCCCGGTCTCACGCCCGCCGCCTCCTCCAGCTCGGTGGCCGCGTGCGCGCTGTTGGGGCGGGCGGAAGCAGCCTGGGCGTGACTACGCCTCTCCCCGCCCCCACCCGGCCGCGGGGCTTTGGGGGGCGTCGCCTTCGCGTGGGCTCCGCCCGGGCGGCGACCCAGCCGAGGAGTCGGAGACCCGGGCGTGCAGGCGACTCCAGTCACCAAGGGCAGGGGCGGCGCTGGGGAGGTGCCCACGCCCCCTCCGCGCCCGGGGCGCCCCCGGGGTGGGACCCAGGATGACTTCTCCCCGGAGTCGCACTGGCGGGCCACCCGCGTTGCTGCACCCAAACCCGGAAGATGGGGAGGCTGGGTGGCCCGGGGACAGGGAGGGCGTGGCTCAGCAAAAGTGAAGCTCAAAAATAGAAAGTGAAATTGGCGTTTGGTGAGGAGAGGGGCTGGAATTAGCCTGGCTACTCAGGACGCGCGCTGCGCGCGGATCCCCAAGAGGGGCTGCCGGGTCTGGGGAACAAGGTCAGCGCCCTGGTTTCGTCGTAGGACTGGTGATTCCACATTTTTACTTGGAAAGGGGGAGAAAGGGTGGGCTTGACTCTGTGCGTTTGTTTGCAGCTTCCTGTGGATCTAGAATTCTTTCCAAATAAACATTTATTTAAAGAACTAGGGAAAGACAGATTTGAGAGGTCGCCCGACCAAATGTAGCGTGTGAAACTTGATTGGTCACTGTTTAAACACCCCGGCGACAACCTGATAAAGAACTGTGCAGACACATTTCAATTTCAGAAACGCAAAGATTTTTTTTTTCCTAGCGTAAGTGTGGCTTAGGCAATAGTTGGACATACTTATATTTAAAACTCTTATCCGTGTGGATTTGAAATGCAAATATAGCTAGATATTTGGTCACCCCTTTCCCCAGGGAAATGCAGACAGTGCTTAACTTGCGGGCCTGGCACGGCCTAGACGCTGCTCCCCTGACCCGCAACCAGGGCGCCCCAGGCTGTCGGTTGGCCAACCACACATTGAGCAGCAAGGGGTCAAACTGGAAACGCCTTTGTTTTGAGGGATCTCAGCGATTCTGCGACTGAAAGCGGTCTCCAGTCCCTCAGTCCTCAGGTCAGGGGGGCTTTCTGAGAGCCAAAGCGGCCTCTAAGTTAGAACGGACACATTTTTAGGGGGACCAGGCCGAGCCATCCTTGCACAGCTAACCGGGAGTGGGAGTCAGGAAGTCTGAACCTGGCTCAGGCTTTGGATTTCTGGCCCCTGGCTGCTAGCCTCGCCCAGCCTCCACCTGCATTTTGTGGGTAGCATATCCCCCTAGTGGTGACGCCCGCTCTCTATGCGCTGCAAAATCCTGAGCTGGAATGCAAAACATATGCGACACCAGCAGGCCCCCGCCATCCCCTGAGCCTGGTTAGGACAGGTCACGGCCCTGCCAAGCTTCACCAGCAAGCCGCGCAATCCCTTGATCCTGGTTAGGACAGGAAACGGCCCTGCCAAGCCCTGCCTGGCCGAGGGGTTCAGGACCAGCAAGGAACGCGCACTCAGGAAAAGTTCGTGTCTCCCCGCGGAACGCGCGCCCTCTCCACTAGGGCCTGACCTTGGAAATGTAAGGCTGCGGCCTCATAAAGTCCTTTTAATCAAGGCCCGGGTTTCACACCCAATTAAGCATATGTCTTTGCCTGCAAATTGCACGCAGGAAGAAGAACGTGGCACAGATTTGCAGCGTTAACACTCTGCTTGGGCTGCTGGTTGGTCTGATTCCACCGAACCCACCCTGAACTTGACCACATACCTACCTCTTCTTATAAACAGACCCTGCACATTTCACAACACCTTGCTTGACAAAAGCTGCTTTGAAAGGATCACAAAAATCCTTCAGAAACCACAGCATAAAAATCCTTGAGAAACCACAGCCTATTACTTGAGAGACAAAAAAGGAAAGTGCCTATGAGTTAGACATGGAAGAGTCATTATCGCCTTAATGAAGTGGCATTATTTTGCAGGGGGGTCAGGAAATGCTGAACTCTGCCATTCCAAAGAAATAAGTCCCTGACCCTAAACCAGAATGAGCTATAAATTTAATACCATGATAGGTACAGGTGTTGTTAAATATGAGAGGAATCAAAATTGTACAATCTGGCCGAGCGCAGTGACTCACACCTGTGATCTTAGCACTTTGGGAGGTGCGGGGATTCGAGACCAGCCTGGGCAGCATCGGAAGCCCCCCAGCGCCACCCCCCCCACCCCCAGCCCCCATCTCTACCAAAAAAAAATCATTTAACAACTAGTCAGGTGTGGTGGTGCACACCTATAATCGCAGCACAATCAGAGGCGAAGGCACAAACATGCCATGAGCCCAGGAGGTCAAGGCTGCAATGAGCTGTGACTGTGCCACTGCCCTCCAGCCTGGGCAACAGAATGAGACCTGGACTCAAAAAAAAAAAAAAAAATTCATACCATCTGTGAGGGGAGCTGAACATTCTTTAAGCATGCGTACCGTACGTCGGTGTTTGTGTGTATATGTGTGTATATATAATGTATATATAATATATAATATCCATTACATATCTATACTGAGTTAAATATAATACATTTGCGTTAATGCATGCGTACATAAGTATGGATATATCATATATGATATATATTTTGCATAGATGATATATATATTTCTATATATGCTAAGATAAAATTTTTGTTCTATTTTTATCTTTTATTTTTTCTTTTTATATATTGAGGAGGTACAAGTGCAGATTTTCTGTTTCTGAGTAATTTTGCTTAAGATAATGGCCTCTACTTCCATCCATGTTGCTGCAAAAGATATTTCATTTTTTTTGCAGCTGCCTAGTATTCCATGTGGTGTGTGTGTGTGTGTGTGTGTGTAACATCTTCTTTTCTGGGCGCAGTGGCTCACACCTGTAATCCCAGCACTTTGGGAGGCCAAGGTAGGTGGATCACCTGAGGTCAGGAGTTCCAGACCTGCCTGGCCAACATGGTGAAATCCCATCTCTATTAAAAATACAAAAATTAGCTAGGCATAGTGGCAGGCACCTGTAATGCCAGCTACTAGGGAGGCTGAGGCAGGAGAATTGCTTGAACCTGTGAAGCAGACATTGCCGTGAACCACAATCATGCTGTTGCACACCAGCGTGGCAGAGACATGGTGGCGTGCACCTGTAATCTCAACATACTTGGGAGGTCAAGGTGGCAAAGTCACTTGAGCCTAGGAGTTTGAGGCTGCAGTGGGCCATGATCACACCACTGCCCTTTAGCCTGGGTGACAGAAAAAGACTCCATCTCTTCCAAATAATAAATAAATAAAAAAGGATCTGACTCAAGTGAATTCCAAATAACAAGGCCAGTGTTTTATAGGATACAGGAGAGTTTGTTAAGAGTTTTCACACACTTCTTTGCTTTCCCACATTGACATTATAGGGATCTAAACATTTAAAGGAAACCTCATTAACATATTACAGAACACAGTGGGTGTCCATGGTTATCTTACTCTCCGTTTCTTTTTAAATGGAGATGGGGTCTCACTATGTTGCCCAGGCTGATCTCAAACGCCTGGCCTCAAGTGATCCTCCCATCTCAGTTTCCCAAATCTCTGGGATTATAGGCAAGTGCCACCACATCCAGCTAATTAAATCTTTTTTTTTTTAGAGATGGGGTCTTTATATGTTGCCCAGGCATGTCTCACAAACTCCTAGGCTCAAGCGATCCTCCCACCTCAGCCTCCCAAAGTGCTGAGATTATAGGCATGAGCTGTTGCATGATGAATTCACTCTTAAGTCATCTTGCTTATTGACTTGCTTCAATACTCATCATTAATATTATTCTTTGAGTAAAACGTTACCTGTAACGTTCAAACATAGAAAAACCCTGTCTCTATTAAAAATACAAAAATCAGCCAGGTGTCGTGGTGCATACCTGTAATCCCAGCTACTCCAGATGCTGAAGCAGGAGAATCGCTTGAACCTGGGAGGTTGCAGCGAGTCGAGATCGAGCCACTGCACTCCAGTCGAGGTGACAGAGTGAGACTCCATCTCACACACACACACACAGACACACACAAAATTTAAAAATAAAAATAAAGTAATGGGAAAAACAGTGATTACTTTTGCGCCAACCTATTATTTCACACCTGCCTCTTGAAGGAAACCCATTTCCTCATCTGATAAAACCATAATTACTACTGCAAATATAATGGTTCTCCATGATGGCAGAGAACCAGGTGGGCAGAGACTATACTCTTGGACAGCAACAGTTAGTAAATTCTGCCCCTGACACTTTTCCTCTAGAGATCCCCTGCGACTCTGTTTGAAACCTCATTCCTTGTTGGTTCTTGGGGATTACGGTGATATCATTTTCATGCCACCTTCTCTAAGAAAGTTACAGCTAAATAGAAGGAATACATTCTAGAGTTCTATAGCACTACAGAATAACTATAGTTAAAAATGATATATTATAGGCCAGCGAAATGGCTTACACTTGTAATCCCAACATTTTGGGAGGCCAAGGTAGGAGGATCACTTGAGGCCAGGAGTTTCCGACCAGTCTGGGGAATATGGTGAAACCCCGTCTTTACAAAAAATACGAAATTAGTTGGGCATGATGGCTTGTGTCTGTATTATCAGCTACTCGAGAAGCTGAGGTGGGAGGATTCCTTGAGTCTGGCAAGTTGAGGCTGCATTGAGCTGTGATGGCACCACTGCACTCCAGCCTGGGTGACAGAGACCCTGTCTCAAAAAAAATTTATATATATATATGCGTGTGTGTGTGTGCGCGTGCGCACGTGCGCGTATTTATGTGTATATATGTGTGTGCGCGTGTGTGTGTGTGTGTGTATATATATATATATGGGCCAAGCTCCATGGCTCACTCCCATAATCCCAGCACTTTAAGAGGCCAAGGTAGGTGGATCACTTGAGGTCAGGAGTTCCAGACCAGCCTGGCCAACATGGTGAAAACCCGTGTCTACTAAAAATAGAAAAATAAGCCAGGCGTGGTGGCACGAGCCTGTAGTCCCAGCTACTTGGGAGGCTGAGATGGGAGGATCAGTTAAACCCAGGAGGTAGAGTTTGCAGTGAGCCGAGAGTGTGCCACTGCACTCCAGCCTGGGAGACAGAATGAGACCCTGTCTCAAAAACACACACACACACACACACACACACACACATATACACATACATATATACATATAAATGTGTGTGTGAATGTGTTTGCATATATATATGTTAGATATATGTATTATGTAGTCTCAACTGTCTAGAAGGAGGATATCAAATCTTCCTAGAACAAAGAAGGAATAAATGTTTGAGATGATGGATATGGTAATTACCCTGATCTGATCACTATACATTATATGTATCAAAACATATACACCATGAATATGTACACTTACTATTTGTCAATCAAAATAAATAAATAAAATATAAAAATGTTTTAAGTACTGATACTGCTGGCAACACTATTGTCAACAAGCAGCATGTCTTTTTCTGGTTATGCATCTGTAGACCTTCCATTTCCTTCTGTCACTTCAGAAGCACATAATCGATTATTTGCACATTGAAAACATTCAAAAAATTTGTTTTCACCTAGGCATGATGGCTCATGCCTATAATCCCAGCACTTTGGGAGGCTCACGTAAGAGGTTTGAGACCAGGAGACAGAGACCCACCTAGGGTCTCCAGTCTCTGGTGAGACCTGGTCTATAGCAAAATAAAAATTTTTTTACAATTATTGTAGCTTTAGCAATTTTGCAGCTTGCATTTTTTTCTTTTCTTTCTTTTTCTCTGTCTCTTTTTTTTTTTTTTGGCAGGTCCTTCCAGGAACAAAACCTTGAATTTCTCTTTGTTCAATGAAGAGGTTGGGCCAGGGACCTACCTAGGTCTCAGTATCACATTCTAGGCTGCTGCTACTGCTGCAGGAAGGCTCTGGAATGCACTGTACCCAAGATAGGGCATGAACTTGCCACAGGATGTCTGCCTCCAAACTGTGACCTCACCTGGAGCTGTTGCTACCAATTTTCTTGTGCTCAAAGTCTTTTCTAGACTGCCTCTGCATCCAACAATAGGACCTACACCCAGTTTACAAAGACAGCAGCTGACTCCTCTGTGCTAGTTGAAATTGGTCATGAAAAAGGGAGCCAGTTATTTTCTCAGGGGCATTGTTGGGTGGCTGCAGGGCTTGGGGTTCCCATGGTGGTCCATTTGTTATTCTGAGTGTCTGTGGTATAGGTTTGAGGGCCGGCCCTACTTGGGATACTTGGGATAGGTTTATAGGACCAGAGGGGGCTGTGTTTTTCCATACCTAGTCATCCCTCTCTTCAGCTGCTTACCACGAAAGCTTGGGAAAATTACAGTAAACATTGCTGAGGCCAGGCAAGGTGGCTCACTCTTGTAATCCTAAAACTTTAGGAGGTTGAGGTGGGAAGATTGCTTCAGTCCAGAAGTTCAAGAACAGTCTGGGCAATATGGCAAGACCCTGTTACTATAAAAACTTGAAAATTAACCAGGCATGGTGGCACATGTCTGTAGTCCCAGCTGTTTGGGAGGCAGATGTAGGAGGATCACTTGAGCTTGGGAGGATCGCAATGAGCTATGACCACAGTGCCGCACTCCAGCCTGGGTGGCAGAGCAAGACCGTTTCTCAAAAAAAAAAAAAAAAAAAAAATTAAGTTAAAAATTAAAACAAGGGCTGGGCATGCTGGCTCATTCCTATAATCCCAGCACTTTGGGAGGCTGAAGTGGGTGGATAATTTGAGGTCAGGAGTTCAAGACCAGCCTGTTCAACATGGCAAAGCTCCATCTCTACTAAAAATACGAAAATGAGCTGGACATGGTGTCAGGTGCCTGTAACCCCAGCTATTTGGGAGGCTGAGGCATGAGAATTGCTTGAACCCAGGAGGCAGAGGTTGCAGTGAGCTGAGATCATGCTGCTGCACTCCAGCCTGGGGGACAGAGTGAGACTCTGTCTCAAAAATAATAATAATAATTAATAAATAAAATTGCTGAAAATAGAATCAAGAAAAGGACAGGACAAAATTATTTGGTTAATAAGCTCAATTTCTTTCTGCGCTAATGAATAATAATTTAATAGTATAAACGTTGCCTTTTGTCTTTCCATGGAGGGTAAGGGTACTTATATTTTTCTTTTTTTTTTTTTGAGACAGAGTCTTGCTCTGTCACCCAGGCTGGAGAGCAGTGGCACAATCTTGGCTCACTGCAAACCTCAGCCTCCTGGGTTCAAGCAGTTCTCCTGCCTCAGCCTCCTGGGTAGCTGGGATTGCAGGTGCACACCACCACGCCCAGCTAATTTTTATATTTTTAGTAGAGAGGGGGTTTTACCATGTTGGCCGGACTGGTCTCGAACTCCTGACCTCAGGTGATCCACTGGCCTCGGCCTCCCAAAGTGCTGGGACTATAGGTGTGAGCCACCACACCTGGCCTGACATTTTTCATTAACTGTGATGAGAGCTGGATTGACTTCTATTCTGAAAGAAAAATAAGAGAGTTGACAAATTGCAAGCTTTTCCTTCTGAGAGACTCATGCCTGTTATAAATGAGCTACATTCTTACTGATGGGCTTTGTACAGATCTTTGGGAGAAAAACAAGTTTTTAAAGATCAAATTAGCCAGGCATGGGGGCACGAACCTATAGTCCCAGCACTTTAAGAGGGAGAATTGCCTGAAGCCAGCAGTTCAAGACCGGACTGGGCAACATAACAAGACTCCATCTCTACAAAAAATAGAAAAATTAGCTGGCATGATGGTGTGCCTGTAGTCACAGCTAACAGGGAGGCTAAGGTGGAAGTATTGCTTGAGCCCAAGAGTTCGAGGTTGCAGTGAGCTATGATGGCACCACTGCACTCCAGCCTTGGCAACACAGCAATACCTAATCTCTAAAAAATAAAAATAAATAGAGAAATAAAAGAGACCAATTAAAAGGTAAATAGAGCCATATATAGTTTTTATATAGGCTGGAGAGCAATGGTGCAATCTCGGCTCAACGCAACCTCTGTCTCCTGGGTTCAAGTGATTCCCCAGCCTCAGCTTGCTGAGCAGCTGGGATTAGAGGCAGGCACCAACACACCTTCCTAATTTTTTGTATTTTTAGTAGAGACAGGGGTTTCACCATTTTGGCCAGGCTGGTCTTAAAACTCCTGACCTCAGGTGATTCACCCACCTTGGCCTCCCAAATTGTTGGGATTACAGGTGTGAGCCACTGCTCCTGGCTGCTGTATATAAATTATTACGGGGGTGAAAGATGCAGTAATTCTTGTTCCTGAAAAAGCACCCAATATTATTTTCAGAGCTGTAAATTTTGCAAGAAGATGTGAATTTTGTAACATTCTGTAATCTACAAGGCTAGAGACCACAAACCAGCATGTTTTATGAAGCTTGTCTCAAACTTGACTATTTACCCCAGGAAGGAGACTCCACTGAGAGAAAGTGAAATTATGTTTGCATGGAAAATAGTATAGCAAGAAATCCATTGTTGAAACCACAGTGAAGAAAAAAGAATGCTGTTTTTGTGGGTGTTTTTTTAAGTTGTAAAAGTTCTGTTAAATCTAAAGCATTTTCACCTATTTTTGTTTGCACATGTTTAGGTACCATTGTAACAATTTTACAGATGGGATTGCTGGCATTTGCAACTCGTTCTTAGACAAATCCAGGAAGACAAACAGTAGGCTTCATTTCTCTAAAGCCTTCTTAAGCTCATTTCAATAAATCTTTAAAATGTTACCCGAATAACTAAGAATATCTTAGTTTCTTGGGGAAGGTATCAGCAAACACAGCTTTTTGCCAGAAGTAGCAGCTTCTAAACTGCAAAAATCTTCTTTCTAATGTAACAATTCCTCCAGAGTAATCTTGCTTCAATGAGGAAATTACTTTGCATAAATAAACAGTTCATTAGGTGAAAGCTAGACGAGATTTTTTGTTGTTGTTGTTGTTGTTGTTGTTGTTGTTGTTTGAGACGGAGTCTCACTCTGTCGCCCAGGCTGGAGTGCAGGGGTGTTGATCTCAGTTCACTGAAACCTCTACCTCCTGGGTTCAAGCGATTCTCCTGCCTCAGCCTCCTGAGCAGCTAGGATTACAGGCGCACGCCACCAGCTAATTTTTTAATTTTAGTAGAGACGGGATTTCACCACATTAGGTCAATCTCGAACTTCTGACCTCAGGTGATCCACCCACCTCGGACACCCAAAGTGCTGGGATAACAGGTGTGAGCCACTGTGCCCAGTGATAGTGCATCCAGAATTTGTGGGTTCTTGGTCTCACTGACTTCAAGAATGAAGCCACGGACCCTCGCGGTGACTATTACAGTTCTTAAAGATGGTGTGTCTGGAGTCTGTTCCTTCAGATGTTCAAATGTGACCCAGGTTTCTTCCTTCTGGTGGGTTCGTGGTCTCATTGACTTCAGGAGTGAAGCTGCAGACCTTCGCAATGAGTGTTACAGCTCATAAAGGCCGCAGGGACCCAAAGAGTGAGCAGCAGCAAGATTCATTACCAAGAGCAAAAGAACAAAGCCTCCACACATTGGAAGGGCACTCCAGCTGGTTGCCCCTGCTTGCTGAGGCAGCCTGCTTTTATTCCCTTATCTGACCCCACCCACATCCTCCTGATTGGTCCATTTTACAGAGAGCTGAATGGCCCATTTTACAGAGAGCTGATCAGTCAGTTTTGACAGGGTGCTGACTGGTGCCTTTACAAACCTTGAGCTAGACAGAGTGCTGATTGGTGCATTTGCAATCCTTTAGCTAGATACAAAAGTTATCCAAGTCCCCTCTAGATTAGCTAGACACAGAGCGCTGATTGGTGCATTTACAAACCTTGAGCTATAGACACAGAGTGCTGATTGGTACATTTACAATCCTTTAGCTACACACAAAAGTTCTCCAAGTCCCTACCAGATTAGGTAGACACAGAGCGCTGATTGGTGCCTTTACAAACCTTTAGCTAGACACAGAGTGCCGATTAGTGGCACTGGCTGCCCGTCAGTCCCGAGCCTCTGCGAACCTGCACTTCTCAGCCCTCATGTGGTCTACGGAAAGGGCGCCGCTGAGCAGGAGGCGGAGCCTGTCGGTGGGGGCGGGGAGGGGCGGGGCGTGCTCGGGCTGCGCCGGAGTCCACTGGGCGCTGGTGCTTCGCCGGCGGCAGGACCCGAGCCCCGCCCCGCGGGGAGGCAGCCGCCATGGCGATGGGTATGGAATGGGGCCGCAGCCTGGGCACCAGGCGTGAGCGCGCCCCGCTGCGGCTGCCTCAGCCCCCCACGAAGCGTCGGGCAGCTGGGGAACATGGCTCCTGAGCGGCTCTGCACGGTTCCTAAAGTGCCATCAACAACAGTACTGGCAGTGGAAGGGATCCCCGCGGCCCAAAGAAGAACCCCAAGTTGGACAAAAAACCCCGAGATGGACAAAATATTAGAACCAAGCACACTCCTGCAATCCACTGTGGCATCTGGGTTCGAACCAAAAATAGAGGTCATTTGGGTTCACCTTGTTGTACCTGAGCGAGTTAAGAGAAAATGCCACACTTTGAGACCAATTAAGAGTCCGTTTATTTAGCCGGAGGCCAAGACATGGCTAACGCTCAAAATTCTCTCGGCCCCAAAGAAGGGGCTAGATTTTCTTTTATACTTTGGTTTAGGAAGGCGGTGGGGGGGGGGGGGGTCTAGTTAAAACAATTTTACGGAAGTAAAGTAGGCAAAAAGTTAAAAGGATAAATGGTTACAGGGAAGTAAACAGGTGCAGGGGCTTTAAGACTATTATAAGGTGATAGACACGGGGCTTTGGGCGTTATCAATCAGATTAATTCCTGGAAACTGTGGATATAGCTTGCCACAGTATCTTATCGGTTAATTGCATTCTTGGATGTGCTGGGAGTCAGCTTGCACAAGTTAAGTCCTTGAGGAAGGGGCTGCCAGTGAAAGAGCCGAGATGGAGTCTGTCTGCTTCTCTTAGCTAGCGAGAGTCCTTTCAGGTGGAAACAAGGCTAGGTGAGTAAAGTAAAGGGAGAGTCTAAAAACGGTGTTAGTAAAAACCAGGTTGGGCATTACAACCTCTCAATAGATTTAAAAAAAAATGTAGACCATGCTGCTGAATTGTTTTGCTTAATGTATAAAGATATTTGAGCTGATTCACCCCTTAGCATTTAGTGTCACATCAATATTCTTTCATGAGTGTGCGCTTGCATGTGCTTTAACTGAGCAAGGAATATCGCAGTGAGAAGAGAAACAATGTTCACTGCGTGGGCCTCTGATCTTGTCAGAACAACCAGACCTGATTGTGAGTAGTTTGTCCAGTTCCACCCAGCTGGGTGCTGAGGTTCAGTGAACATCAGTGGCTCTTACTATTATTACTCATGCCATTTCTTATCTTGGAGAGATGCTGTTCGAAGAATTTAGGACCTCTCTAACTCATCTGATTTTTATTGATCTGAAAATTCTTTCAACATACTGACATAAAGCCAATTGAGAAGCATCCCCAAATGCTATGAATAAAACAACATTGCTATCTGCATTAAATTAATATCCCATGTAAGCATAGTTTGAAAAGAAAAAAATAAGGCTTACACATTCAAAACTGATTGTGGTTATTATGTGGATAATGTTAATAAAATAACTCAAAATGTTGAAACAATGTATAATTAGCATCTGTACTACATAAGTCAACTTTTATTAAAACAAGAGTAATTTAACATTTGTTTTTTAAGAGATAAGGTCTCACTCTGTTGCCCAGGCTGGAGTAAAGTGGTGCTGATCATGGCTCAGCCTTAACTGCCAGGGCTCAGCCTCCTAAGTAACTAGGACTACCGGCACTCACTACTGCACCTGGCTAGTTAAAAACAAATTTTTTTTTTAGGATTGGAATCTCGCTGTGTTGCCCAGGCTGGATTTGAATTCTCGGGCTCAAGCAATTCTCCCACCACAAGTGTTAAGATTATAGGCATGAGTTACTCCACCTGGCCCTAAGACAAGAGTAAATGAGGCAAGTGGTATAAATATGGAATTAGCAGACACAATGAATAGCCCTTCTTTGATTTAATAAAATCAAATGGAGGGCATGGTGGCTTATGCCTGTATTCCCACCACTTTGGAAGGCCAAGGAGAGCAGATGACTTTAGGTCAGATGTTCGAGACCAGTCTGGCCAGCATGCCAAAAACCCGTCTCTACTTAAACTACAAAAATTAGCTGGGTGTGGTGGTGCACATCTGTAATACCACCTCCTTGGAAGGCTGAGGCATGAGAAATCGCTTGAATCCAGGAGGTACAGATTGCAGTGAACTGAGATACTGCCACTGTACTCCAGCCTGGCAAAAGAGCGAGACTCTGTCTCAAAAACAAAGATGGAACTGATATCTCTTATTAATTTAACCCAGAGTTTAGTCTTTATCTTCTTATTGAGCTCCCCGGGTGATTCTATTTTGCAGCAAGAGTAAAGCCTGCCAAATTAGGTCTATCCATGCAGTTGCTTTGGGTTTCAGTTTGGAACGCTTTTACCATGGAAAGGGTTCCTGAAACGTGCTTTGTTATGAGTCCCCAACACTGTCTTTGTTTGAGTGTCAAGGCTGTATATATTAAGCTCGTGTTACCAGCTGAATCCTGTCCTGCTCCCGCAAATGCATATGTTAAAGTTGTAATTCCTAGGATTACCAGAAAGGGGTCCAGATCCAGATGCCAAGAGCATGCTCTTGGATCTTGTACAAGAAAAAATTCGGGGTGAGTCCATAAAGTGAAAGCAAGTTTATCAACAAAGTAAAGAAATAAAAGAATGGCTACTCCATAGACAGAGCAGCAGCATGGGCTGCTGGTTGCCCATTTTTATTGTTATTTCTTGACTATATGCTAAACAAGGGGTGGATGATTCATGGGTTTTCCAGAAAAGGACTGGGCAATTCTGGGAACTGAGGTTCCTCGCTTTTTCAGTTTAGGATTAGGATTAGGGCTAGGGTTAGGGTTAGGGTTAGGGCCATTGCCATGGCATTTGTAAACTGTCATGACACTGGTGAGAGTGTACCACAGAGGACTACTAGAGGTCACTTTCATGGCCATCTTGGTTTTGGTGGGTTTTGGCTTACTTACTGCAACTTATTTTGTCAGCAAGGTTCTTTATGACCCATGTCTTTTGCTGACCTCCGATTTCATCCTGTGTCTTAGAATGCCTAACCTCCTGGGAATGCAGCCCTGTAGGCTTCAGCCTTATTTTACCCAGCCCTTATTCAAGATGGAGTTGCTCTGGTTCAAAGACCCTTGCTGCTAGGATGTGAGAATGTGATCTTATTTGGTAAGAGACACAGAAGCCGTAATTAGTTAAGGTGAGTGAGGCATGATGGTAGGCTATAATTCAAAATGACTGGTATTTTTATAAAAAGAGGAAAATTGGACCCAGACACACACACACACACACACACACACACACACACACACACACACACGCAGAACACCATGTGATGTAGGCAGAAATTGCAGTGACACAGCTACAAGTAACTCCAAGGCTCTCCAGCAACCACCAGAGGCTCAGAGAGAGGCATAGAATACATTCTGTCCTGGAGCCTGTTGTTACCAGAAAGGGGTACTGATCCAAAACCCAAGAAAGGGTTTTTGGATCTTGCACAAGAAATAATTCTGGGCAAATCCACAGAGTAAAGTGAAATCAAGTTTATTAATAAAGTAAAAGAATAAAGAATGGCTACTTCATAGACAGAGCAGTGGTGTGGGCTGCTTGACCGAGTATACTTATAGTTATTTCTTATTTATTATTATGATTTTTTTGAGGTGCATTCTCACTCTGTTGCCCAGGCTGGAGTGCAGTGGCAGGATCTTAGCTCATTGCACCACTGCCTCCTGGGTTCAAGCGATTCTCCTGCCTCAGCCTCCTGAGTAGCTGGGACTACAGGAGCCTGCCACCATGCCTGGCAAATTTTTGTATTTTTAGTAGATATGAGGTTTTACCATGTTGGCCAGGCTGGTCTCGAACTCCTGACCTCAGGTGATCTGCCCACCTTAGCCTCCCAAAGTGCTGGAATTACAGGTGTGAGCCACCATGCCTGGCTTAAGCACCTGTGTATTTTTATTTTTATTTATTTATTTATTTTTGAGACAGGGTCTTGCTGTGTTGCCCAGGCTGGGGTGCAGTGGCATAATCTGAGGTCATTAAAACCTCCACCTCCCAGGCTCAAGAGATTCTCCCACCTCAGCCTCCTGAGTAGCTAGGTCCTTATAGTTATTTCTTGATTATATGCTAAACAAGGGGTGGATTATCCATGAGATTTCCAGGAAAGGGATGGGCAATTCTCAGAACTGAGGGTTCCTCCCCTTTTTAGACCATATAAGGTAACTTCCAGGTATTGCTGTTGCAGGACTTTCTCCTTAGTTCAGATAAAAGCCAGGTTCTTGCCACATGGCCATGATTAGGCTCGCAGACATTTTGAAGAGTGAGAAAAATGGAATTTATTGGGCAAAAAGGAAAAAAAAGAGAAACGGGGACCCTCAGCAAAGCGAGAGTCCCTGCTAGCTGGTCTGCCCCTCACAGATTGAATCCCGGATTCCACCTGAAACAGAAGAGGCCAGGCTCCTCCCCGCTGCAAAGGGTGTGAACTCCGTGGCTCCAGCCCATTTTCCCAGTGCCCGCACAGTGGTCGGAGTTTCTCATACTTGACTGTCTCATTGCCATGGCATTTGTCAACTGTCGTGCTGCTGGTGGGAGTGTCTTTTAGTGTGCTAATGTATTATTATTAGCGTATAATGAGCCATGAGGATGACCAGAGGTCACTCTTGTCACCATCTTGGTTTCGGTGGGATTTGGCCGGCTTCTTTACCGCATGCCGTTTTATCCACAAGGTCTTTATAACCTGTATCTTGTGCCGGCCTCCTGTCTCATCCTTTGACTAAGAATGCCTAACCTCCTGGGAATGCCACCCAGTAGGTCTCAGCCTTATTTTACCCAGTGGCTACTCAAGATGGAGTTGCTCTGGTTCAAATGCCTCTAACACTGAGACAGAGAAGGCACTTCCTCTGTAGGGACCTGAGACCCGTAAAGCATGGAAATAAAGAAAAATCTTGAGTTCCGTCAAAGAAAAGTTTCCCTTTTTGCCCAATAAATTCCATTTTTCTGTCTCTTCAAAGTGTCTTGAGTGCCTTCAAAGAAAAGGCACCTAGCTAGCCATGAGAAATCAATGAGCAACTTGGTAAGTAAAACGGTAAAAGTAACTTAAAACAATAGCCAGGCAGGCACGGTGGCTGATGCATGTAATCCAAGCATTTTGGGAGGCCAATGCAGGCAGATCACCTGAGGTCAGGACTTTGACACCCAGCCTGGCCAACATGGTGAAATCTGTCTCTACTAATAATACAAAAAAATTAGCTGGGCATGGTATTGCATGCCTGTAATCCCAGCTACATTGGAGGCTGAGGCAGGAGAATCACTTGAACCTGGGAGGCAAAGATTGCAGTGAGCCAAGATCATGCCATTGTACTCCAGCCTGGGCAACAATAGTGAAACTATGTCTCAAAAAAAAAAAAAAAAAAAAAAAGCCAAGGAAGCTAGAATCATGAGATACTTGGTTTTCTATAACAACTAAAGATGGCATCAGCCAG
Organism: Homo sapiens; assembly: GCF_000001405.40. NCBI lineage: Eukaryota > Metazoa > Chordata > Mammalia > Primates > Hominidae > Homo > Homo sapiens. Next base: position 7,258,419 of record NC_000024.10, on the reverse strand, counting down.
GTGCGGTGGCTCATGTCTGTAATCCCAGCACTTTGGGAGGCCAAGGCTGGAGGATCACTTGAGGTCAGGAATTTGAGACCAGCCTGGCCAACATGGTGAAACCCCATCTCTACTAGAAATACAAAAATTAGCTAGGTGAAAGATACAATGAATCTTTCTAAGTTTCTCTTCAAAAGGTTTAGGCTGTTAGCTTCCTTATTCTTTGTTCTGAAACTCAACTTTCTTGTTTGTCCTTGCCCCTAGTTAGTGTTAACAGCCTACCCGCTTCCCATCAGCTCTAATCAATAACTCACTCTGTTCCCTTGGTTACCTGTACCCATTGATCCCCTGAAACTGCACTTCTCACACACTGCACCTTTGTACCTCAAACTCCCCTCCCCTTCTATATTTAGGAATATATATTATGTACAAGTAGCCAATCAGGTCAGCTCAGATTGTGCGGTCAGACCCCAACCCATGGGGGAGTGACACAGAGATAGGGACTGCATTAAGGATAAAACCTCTCTTTTATCCTTTGTTCTCTGTGCTCTTGTGATCTTGATTGATGCGAGTGGCACCCTTCTGCAGAATTAAATTGCTTTGCTGAGAGAACTTTTGCCTGAGTGCTGGTTTCACTTTGTGGCACCGAGCATTTATTTCTAGAGCATTTTATATCCAACACCTGGCGTGGTGGCCGACCTAGGGGGCTGAGGCAGGAGGTTGAACCTGTGAGGCAGTGGTTGCAGTCCAGCCTAGGGGACAAGAGCGAGACTCTGTTGAGAGAAAGAGAGAAAGGGAAGGAGGGAAGGAAAGAAGGAAGGAAGGAAGCAGGGAGTGAGGGAGGGAGGGAAGGAAGGAAGGAATTTTAGCATACCTCCCCAAGTTGTTTTCTAGAAACCCAGACCCCAGCAAACGGATCTGCTGGCATAGCTGTCAGGTAAGGGGAACTGAGGACTGAACTCTTACCAATGTACTTTGTCCTAAATTCTTTCCTGAGGGACCTGGAGGAAGTTATGCCCACAGACCAGAGCTAATAGTTTTTTCTGCTGACTCCAAGCTTTTAAACAAAATTTCCCTTCCTTAACCTATCACAAGTCAGAGATCTTTGCATCTACCTGTGTCCTGCGGGTCCCCTTTGCTTCAAGATGTTCTGCCTTTTTAGGTCAAACCACTCTATAATCTTCATGAATTACTTTATGACTTTGCCTGTAACCTTTGGCTCCCACCTTGAAAAACCCTCACCTGTAATCCACTGGGGAGAGTGGGTTTTTTTTTTTTTTTTGAGACAGAGTCTTGCTGTGTTGCCCAGGCTGGAGTGCAGTGGCACCATCACGGCTCACCACAGCCTTGACCTCCCAGGCTCAAGTGATCCTCCTGCTTCACTCTACTGAGGACCTGGTACTACAGGAGTGTACCATCATGCTCGGCTAATTTTTTAATGATTTGTAGAGATAGGGTCTTAGTATGTTGCCCAGGCTAGTCTTAAACTCCTGGGCTCAAGTGATCCACCCACCTTGGCCTTCCAAATGCTGGAATTATAGACATGAGCTGCCTTGCCAAGCTAGGAGGTCAGGTCTTAAGTGTGAGCTGCATGATTCTCCTTGCTTGGCACCCTACAAATTCATGCCCTCCTTTCTTATGCTGCAAACCTTGGAGTAGATATTTGGTCTTACTGTGCTGGGCCAAACCTTCAGAAGGAACCAACCCCACCGACACTTTGATCTCAGACTTATTCTGGCCTCAGAACTGTAAGAACAGTAAGTTTCTGAGGTGGAGCTCACCTAGTCTATGATACTTGGTGAAGGCAGCCATGGGAAATGCATACAGCTCATTTGCACAAAAGGCAGAGAGTTTGAATCATTTGTAGAACTGGAGATGGGGCTTCCTCCAGGTGGAACTACTTGTGAAAGTTAGAGGTGTAGAAAGGAGAGAGGGCATTTGCGGGTGTCTTTGTGAGTGATGCTAAGGACAGATATTAAGGAAGACAGTTGCAGAGACAACTACTCACAAGATGAAGGAAGTTAAAAAGTCAAAGGATGATCAGAGTTCATTTTCCACACAAGAGTCAGACTCAGATTTTTTTTTTTTTTTTTGAAATAGGGTCTCCCAGGCTGGAGTGCAGTGATGCGATCACAGATCACTGCAGCCTCGAATACCTGCGCTCAAGGAATCCCCCTGCCTCAGCCTCCCAAAGTGCGAGGATTATAGGCGTGCACCACTGCATACAGCAGAGATTCAGAATATTAGTGGGAACTGGAGTCCCAGGTCCTCCATGGAGTTGCTGGAGGCCAGCTATCAGGCAAGCTGCAGATCCCATGGAGATGGTTGTGGGCACGTTTGGCAATTTTACATTCTAGGTCATCTCGGCCACGTGATGGGAAAAGTCTTCAGTCCCAGCAGACCACCAGGATTGGCCTTCACAGAGCGGAGGGCTGGAGAGTTGAGGATGAGAAGTGAATATAGGGCTATGTCAAGGGGCAGTGGAAATCCGTGATGCCATTCTTTAAAATCCTGAAGCTTGGCCAGGTGGGGTGGCTCATGCCTGTAATCCCAGCTCTTTGGGAGGCCGGGGTGGGCAGATCACTTGAGGTCATGAGTTCGAGGCCAGCCTGGCCAACATAGCAAAACTCCGTCTCTACTAAAAATACACACACAGAAAAAAATTTAGCCAGGCATGGTGGCACACACCTGCAATCCCAGATTCTTGGGAGGCTGAGGCATGAGAACATAGTGAGACCCTGTCTGTACAAAAATTAAATTTTAAAAAATTAGCCAGAAGTAGTGATGTGTGGCTGTAGTCCCAGCTACTCAGGAGGCTGAGTGGGGAGGATCATTTGAGTCCAGGAGTTGGAGGCTGCAGTGAGCTATGATGGTGTCTCTGCACTCCAGCCTGTGTGACAGTGAGACCCTGTCTCTAAATAAACAATGCAGAAGATGGGTGATTTCTGCATTTCCATCTGAGGTACCGGGTTCATCTCACTAGGGAGTGCCAGACAGTGGGCGCAGGTCAGCCGGTGCGCACACCGTGCACCAGCCAAAGCAGGACGAGGCATTGCCTCACTTGGGAAGCGCAAGGGGTCAGGGAGTTCCCTTTCCTAGTCAAAGAAAGGGGTGACGGACGGCACCTGGAAAATTGGGTCACTCCCACCCAAATACTGCGCTTTTCCGATGGGCTTAAAAAACGGCGCACCACAAGATTATAACCCACACCTGGCTCAGAGGGTCCTACGCCCACGGAGTCTCACTGATTGCTAGCACAGCAGTCTGAGATCAAACTGCAAGGCGGCAGCGAGGCTGGGGGAGGGGCGCCCGCCATTGCCCAGGCTTGCTTAGGTAAACAAAGCAGCCAGGAAGCTCGAACTGGGTGGAGCCCACCACAGCTCAAGGAGGCCTGCCTGCCTCTGTAGGCTCCACCTCTGGGGGCAGGGCACAGACAAGCAAAAAGACAGCAGTAACCTCTGCAGACTTAAATGTCCCTGTCTGACACCTTTGAAGAGAGCAGTGGTTCTCCCAGTATGCAGCTGGAGATCTGAGAACGGGCAGACTGCCTCCTCAAGTGGGTCCCTGACCCCTGACCCCCGAGCAGCCTAACTGGGAGGCACCCCCCAGCAGGGGCACACTGACACCTCTCACGGCAAGGTATTCCAACAGACCTGCAACTGAGGGTCCTGTCTGTTAGAAGGAAAACTAACAAACAGAAAGGACATCCACACCAAAAACCCATCTGTACATCACCATCATCAAAGACCAAAAGAAAATAAAACCACAAAGATGGGGAAAAAAACAGAACAGAAAAACTGGAAACTCTAAAACGCAGAGCGCCTCTCCTCCTCCAAAGGAACGCAGTTCCTCACCAGCAACGGAACAAAGCTGGATGGAGAATGACTTTGACGAGCTGAGAGAAGAAGGCTTCAGACGATCAAATTACTCTGAGCTACGGGAGGACATTCAAACCAAAGGCAAAGAAGTTGAAAACTTTGAAAAAAATTTAGAAGAATGTATAACTAGAATAACCAATACAGAGAAGTGCTTAAAGGAGCTGATGGAGCTGAAAACCAAGGCTCGAGAACTACGTGAAGAATGCAGAAGCCTCAGGAGCCGATGCGATCAACTGGAAGAAAGGGTATCAGCAATGGAAGATGAAATGAATGAAATGAAGCGAGAAGGGAAGTTTAGAGAAAAAAGAATGAAAAGAAATGAGCAAAGCCTCCAAGAAATATGGGACTATGTGAAAAGACCAAATCTACATCTGATTGGTGTACCTGAAAGTGATGGGGAGAATGGAACCAAGTTGGAAAACACTCTGCAGGATATTATCCAGGAGAACTTCCCCAATCTAGCAAGGCAGGCCAACTTTCAGATTCAGGAAATACAGAGAACGCCACAAAGATACTCCTCGAGAAGAGCAACTCCAAGACACATAATTGTCAGAGTCACCAAGGTTGAAATGAAGGAAAAAATGTTAAGGGCAGCCAGAGAGAAAGGTCGGGTTACCCACAAAGGGAAGCCCATCAGACTAACAGCGGATCTCTCGGCAGAAACCCTACAAGCCAGAAGAGAGTGGGGGCCAATATTCAACATTCTTAAAGAAAAGAATTTTCAACCCAGAATTTCATATCCAGCCAAACTAAGCTTCATAAGTGAAGGAGAAATAAAATACTTTACAGACAAGCAAATGCTGAGAGATTTTGTCACCACCAGGCCTGCCCTAAAAGAGCTCCTGAAGGAAGCGCTAAACATGGAAAGGAACAACCAGTACCAGGTGCTGCAAAATCATGCCAAAATGTAAAGACCATGGAGACTAGGAAGAAATTGCATCAACTAACAAGCAAAATCACCAGCTAACATCATAATGACATGATCAAATTCAAACATAACAATATTAACTTTAAATGTAAATGGACTAAATGCTCCAATTAAAAGACACAGACTGGCAAATTCGATAAAGAGTCAAGACCCACCAGTGTGCTGTATTCAGGAAACCCATCTCACGTGCAGAGACACACATAGGCTCAAAATAAAAGGATGGAGGAAGATCTACCAAGCAAATGGAAAACAAAAAAAGGCAGGGGTTGCAATCCTAGTCTCTGATAAAACAGACTTTAAACCAACAAAGATCAAAAGAGACAAAGAGGGCCATTACATAATGGTAAAGGGATAATTTCAACAGGAAGAACTAACTATCCTAAATATATATGCACCCAACACAGGAGCACCCAGATTCATAAAGCAAGTCCTGAGTGACCTACAAAGAAACTTAGACTCCCACACATTAATAATGGAAGACTTTAACGCCCCACTGTCAACATTAGACAGATCGAGACAGAAAGTCAACAAGCATACCCAGGAATTGAACTCAGCTCTGCACCAAGCCGACCTAATAGACATCTACAGAACTCTCCACCCCAAATCAACAGAATATACATTTTTTTCAGCACCACACCACACCTATTCCAAAATTGACCACATACTTGGAAGTAAAGCTCTTCTCAGCAAATGTAAAAGAACAGAGATTATAACAAACTATCTCTCAGACTGCAGTGCAATCAAACTAGAACTCAGGATTAAGAATCTCACTTAAAACTGCTCAACTACATGGAAACTGAACAACCTGCTCCTGAATGACTACTGGATACATAACGAAATGAAGGCAGAAATAAAGAAACCAACGAGAACAAAGACACAACATACCAGAATCTCTGGGACTCATTCAAGGCAGTGTGTAGAGGGAAATTTATAGCACTAAATGCCCACAAGAGAAAGCATGAAATATCCAAAATTGACACCCTAACATCACAGTTGAAAGAACTAGAAAAGCAAGAGCAAACACAATCAAAAGCTAGCAGAAGGCAGGAAATAACTAAAATCAGAGCAGAACTGAAGGAAATAGAGACACAAAAAAACCCTTCAAAAAATTAATGAATCCAGGAGCTGGTTTTTTGAAAGGATCAACAAAATTGATAGACTGCTAGCAAGACTAATAAAGAAAAAAAGAGAGAAGAATCAAATAGACACAATAAAAAATGATAAAGGGGATATCACCACTGATCCCACAGAAATACAAACTACCATCAGAGAATACTACAAATACCTCTACGCAAATAAACTAGAAAATCTAGAAGAAATGGATACATTCCTCGACACATACACTCTCCCAAGACTAAACCAGGAAGAAGTTGAATCTCTGAATAGACCAATAACAGGAGCTGAAATTGTGGCAATAATCAATAGTTTACCAACCAAAAAGAGTCCAGGACAAGATGGATTCACAGCCGAATTCTATCAGAGGTACAAGGAGGAACTGGTACCATTCCTTCTGAAACTATTCCAATCAATAGAAAAAGAGGGAATCCTCCCTAACTCATTTTATGAGGCCAGCATCATTCTGATACCAAAGCCGGGCAGAGACACAACCAAAAAAGAGAATTTTAGACCAATATCCTTGATGAACATTGATGCAAAAATCCTGAATAAAATACTGGCAAAATGAATCCAGCAGCACATCAAAAAGCTTATCCACCATGATCAAGTGGGCTTCATCCCTGGGATGCAAGGCTGGTTCAAATCAATAAATCAATAAATGTAATCCAGCATATAAACAGAGCCAAAGACAAAAACCACATGATTATCTCAATAGATGCAGAAAAGGCCTTTGACAAAATTCAACAACGCTTCATGCTAAAAACTCTCAATAAATTAGGTATTGATGGGACGTATTTCAAAATAATAAGAGCTATCTATGACAAACCCACAGCCAATATCATACTGAATGGGCAAAAACTGGAAGCATTCCCTTTGAAAACTGGCAAAAGACAGGGACGCCCTCTCTCACCACTCCTATTCAACATAGTGTTGGAAGTTCTGGCCAGGGCAATCAGGCAGGAGAAGGAAATAAAGGGTATTCAATTAGGAAAAGAGGGAGTCAAATTGTCCCTGTTTGCAGATGATATGATTGTATATCTAGAAAACCCCATTGTCTCAGCCCAAAATCTCCTTAAGCTGATAAGCAACTTCAGCAAAATCTCAGGATACAAAATCAATGTACAAAAATCACAAGCATTCTTATACACCAATAACAGACAAACAGAGAGCCAAATCGTGAGTGAACTCCCATTCACAATTGCTTCAAAGAGAATAAAATACCTAGGAATCCAACTTACAAGGGATGTGAAGGACCTCTTCAAGGAGAACTACAAACCACTGCTCAAGGAAATAAGAGAGGATACAAACAAATGGAAGAACATCCCATGCTGATGGGTAGGAAGAATCAATATCGTGAAAATGGCCATACTGCCCAAGGTAATTTACAGATTCAATGCCATCCCCATCAAGCTACCAATGACTTTCTTCACAGAATTGGAAAAAACTACTTTAAAGTTCATATGGAACCAAAAAAGAGCCTGCATGGCCAAGGCAATCCTAAGCCAAAAGGACAAAGCTGGAGGCATCACACTACCTGACTTCAAACTATACTACAAGGCTACAGTAACCAAAACAGCATGGTACTGGTACCAAAACAGAGATATAGATCAATGGAACAGAACAGAGCCCTCAGAAATAATGCCACATATCTACAACTATCTGATCTTTGACAAACCTGAGAAAAACAAGCAATGGGGAAAGGATTCCCTATTTAATAAATGGTGCTGGCAAAACTGGCTAGCCATATGTAGAAAGCTGAAACTGGATCCCTTCCTTACACTGTATACAAAAATTAATTCAAGGTGGATTAAAGACTTAAACATTAGACCTAAAACCATAAAAACCCTAGAAGAAAACCTAGGCATTACCATTCAGGACATAGGCATGGGCAAGGACTTCATGTCCAAAACACCAAAAGCAATGGCAACCAAAGCCAAAATTGACAAATGGGATCTAATTAAACTAAAGAGCTTCTGCACAGCAAAAGAAACTACCATCAGAGTGAACAGGCAACCTACAAAATGGGAGAAAATTTTCACAACCTACTCATCTGACAAAGGGCTAATATCCGGAATCTACAATAAACTCAAACAAATTTACAAGAAAAAAATGAACAACCCCATCAAAAAGTGGGCAAAGGACATGAACAGACACTTCTCAAAAGAAGACATTTATGCAGCTAAAGAACACATGAAAAAGTGCTCATCATCGCTGGCCATCAGAGAAATGCAAATCAAAACCGCAATGAGATACCATCTCACACCACTTAGGATGGCTATCATTAAAAAGTCAGGAAACAACAGGTGCTGGAGAGGATGTGGAGAAATAGGAACACTTTGACACTGTTGGTGGGACTGTAAACTAGTTCAACCATTGTGGAAGTCAGTGTGGTGATTCCTCAGGGATCTAGAACTAGAAATACCATTTGACCCAGCCATCCCATTACTGGGTATACACCCGAAGGACTATAAATCATGCTGCTATAAAGACACATGCACACGTATGTTTATTGCGGCATTATTCACAATAGCAAAGATTTGGAACCAACCCAAATGTCCAACAGTGATAGACTGGATTAAGAAAATGTGGCACATATACACCATGGAATACTATGCAGCCATAAAAAGTGATGAGTTCATGTCCTTTGTAGGGACATGGATGAAATTGGAAATCATCATTCTCAGTAAACTATCGCAAGAACAAAAAACCAAACACCGCATGTTCTCACTCATAGGTGGGAATTGAACAATGAGATCACATGGACACAGGAAGGGGAATATCACACTCTGGGGACTGTGGTGGTGTTGGGAGAGGGGGGAGGGATAGCATTGGGTTATATACCTAATGCTAGATGACCAGTTAGTGGGTGCAGCGCACCAGCATGGCACATGTATACATATGTAACTAACTTGCACAATGTGCACATGTACCCTAAAACTTAAAGTATAATAAAAAAAAATTAACTAGAATATTTGGTGGAGTTAAAAAAAAATTGACAAAACAGTTACACTGTATTAGGTATTATAAGTAGAGATGGCTTAAAGTGTATGGGAAGATATGCCTGGGTGATATGCAAATACTGCATCGTTTGCTACAAGGGGCTTGAGCATCCTTGGATTTTGATATCAGTGGAAGTCCGAGAACCAACTCCATGAGGATATTGAGGGCCAGCTGCACACACAGATGAGAAGGAATTAGGCCAATCAGTCAGTCTTCTCTGAAAGAAGTCTTTGTTCTGCCAAAAAGACAAAGCCAGTGTTTTCTCAGGCTGGCAAGACCCTCCCACTCCTCTCCCTCGGGGAGAGCAGACCTGGGTACCTACCACCTTTGAGCTGGGGTTCTCTGCCTATAGCCCTTCCCCAGGGCTCTCTGCCCCAGCCCCCTCCTCCTCCAAGCCAGCACAGGCCATGCACCCCGTCCTCTGCGCAGAAGAGCCTGGGATGCAGGGGGAACAGTCAGAGAATAAACCGCGTTCAAAAATTCAGGCCTGGTGACTTCTGCCCCTTGGAGCGGTCTTCCCACATGGGATTGTTTGTGCCATGTTTGGTCTTTTACCCATGTGGTTGGAGATACTTTGAGTACAAGGTCAAAGGGACTCACTTCCGCGGGCCTGTTTTTGTCTTCAGCAAATGGCTGGATTCCCTGTTTAGGATCTGGGGACATCTCGCTCTTGCTTCCAGCTCTCCAGTGCATGGATACTTTCCTAAAAGTAGACAAAATGTCAGTTCTTTCCAAATTCACTGCAGAGAATGGAGGAGAACAGAGTAGCTTTCCCACATGGAGAAGTTTTCTCTTTTCTGCCCAGCGCCCATTGTATTGACACAGACAGTTTCCATTTCCCAAGAAAACGTTTTCAAGCTGCCTTCGTGACTCCTTGGAACTCAAATGCGCAGCTCAGAAGCCGTGGGATGCAGCGGATGCGTCACTAGAGGTACTTGAAAACTTCAGTAACACGCTTATCCTAAAGGAGAAGAAATGGCACAGAAAAGTATGCTAAGCGTCCCACTCAAGAAGTTAGAAAAGGAACAGCAGAATTACACAGAACAGTAGAAGGAAATAAGTGAAAACCAGTAGAATTCACAAATTAGAGAAGAAAATGAGAGAAGATGGAAGTAGCTGAAGTTAGAAATCTTTTTAATTTTAGTGAAATTAATTTTAGTAGAATCGCCTCTTTTAAGTGTTGAAAAGCATTTAAGCATTTAATTGCTTCTTTTAAATATTCATTTAAATAAAATTAGTTTAATTATATTTAATTATTTTATTATATTACTATTTTATTATTTCATTTATTAGTTAATTTTATGTATTTATGTATGTATTTATTTTTATTTATTTATTGAAACAGTCTTGCTTTGTCACCCAGGCTGGAGCTCAATGGCCTGTTCTCAGCTCACTACAACCTCTGCCTCCTGCCTCAGCCTCCTGAGTAGCTGGAATTATAGGTGCCTGCCACCATTCCTGGCTAATTTTTGTAGTTTTAGTAGAGACAGGGTTTCACCATGTTGGTCAGGCTGGTCTGGAATGCGTGACATCTATTGATCTGCCACCTCAGCCTCCTAAAGTGCTGGGATTACAGGTGTGAGCCACCATGCCTGGCCAATTTTATGTATTTTGGATATAATTAGTTTAATTTTATTTCCTATTAATATTTAATTTTAATAAACTTCATTTTACTTTAAATCAAATTTTAGTTTGTAATAACATTAAAAATAACTGCAATAAAAAGAGTACAATGAATAAAATCTGCTAAGATTGCAAATAAAAAGAAACAGAATATGCCAATGAATAATATTAAGAAGAAAAAAGAAATATGACTCCAGATGTAGCTGAGTTTATAAAGAAAATAAGATGATACTAGGAATAATTGGCCAGGCACAGTGGCGGCTCATGGATAATTCCAGCACTTTGGGAGGCCAAGGCAGGTGGATAACTTGAGGTCAGGAGCTTGAAACCAGCCTGGCCAACAGGGTAAAACCCCATCTCTACTAAAAATACAAAAATTAGCTGGGCGTGGTGGCAGATGCCTGTAATCCCAGCTACTAAGGCGGCTGAGGCAGGAGAATCACTTGAACCTGGGAGGTGGAGGTTACAGCGAGCCAAGATCATGCCACTGCATTCTAGCCTGGGTGACAGAGTGAGACTCTGTGACAAAAAAAAGAAAAAAAAGAAAAAGGAATAACAATCCCAATGTACTTAAAAACTTCAGATATAATGAACATATTTATGGAACAGTATATTTTACCAAAACTGACTCAAGTAAATATACAATATCCAAATGGTATTGTAGAAATTTAATACAGTTGCAGCCATAAAAATAATGAGATTGAGAGGTGAAGTGAGCTGGACTTCCTGGGTCGACTGGGGACTTGGAGAACTTTTCTGTCTAGCTAAAGGAATGGAAATGCACCAATCAACACTGTGTAAAAATGCACCAATCAGCACTCTATGTCTAGCTAAAGGCTTGTAAATGCACCAATCAGGACTCTGTAAAAACACACCAATCAGCGTTCTGTGTCTAGCTAAAGGATTGTAAACACACCAGTCAGCACTCTGTAAATGGACCAATAAGCAGGATGTGGGCGGGGCCAAATAAGGGAATAAAAGCTGGCCACCTGAGCTAACAGCCACAACCTGCTCGGGTGCCCTTCCACACCGTTGAAGCTTATTCTTTTGTTCTTCACAACAAATCTTGCTGCTGCTCACTCTTTGGGTCCGTGCCACCTTTATGAGCTATAACACTCACCAAAAGGGTCTGCGGCTTCATTCCTGAAGTCAGCGAGACCACAAACCCACCCCGGAGGAACACACAACTCCATACGCACCACCTTTAAGAGCTGTAACACTTATTGTGAAGGTCTGCAGCTTCACTCCTGAAGTCAGAAAGACCACAAACCCTCCAGAAGGAAGAAAATCCAGACACATCTGAACATCTGAAGGAACAAACTATGGACACACCATCTTTAAGAACTGTAGCACTCACCGGGAGGGTCCACGGCTTCATTCTTGAAGTCAGTGAGACCAAGAACCCACCAGAAGAAATAAATTCCAGACACAAGATCATGTCCTTCGTAGGGACATAGATGAAGCTGGAAGCTATCATTCTCAGCAAACTAACACAGAAACAGAAAACCAAACACCACATGTTCTCACTCATAAGTGGGAGTTGAACAGTGAGAACACCTGGATGTTGGGAGAGGAACATCACACACTAGGGCCTGTTGGGAGGTGGGCAGCAAGCAGAGTAAGAGCATTAGAACAAATACCTGATGCACGTGGGGCTTAAAACATAGAAGACAGGTTGATAGGTGAGCAAACCACCATGGCACATGTATACCTATGTAACAAACCTGCATGTTCTGCACATGTATCCTAGAACTTAAAGTAAGATAAAATGAAGAAATTTAATACATTGAGTGAGTGGTTAAAAAACTTCTCACCAAGAAAATGCTAGACCTATCTGGTATTATCAGGCAGCAGTAAATTCAAGTATTATTTAAATTCCTCCAGACAAAACAAAAAGAAACAATATCTGCAAACTATTTTGAGGCCAAGAATAATCTGATATTCAAACTCAGCAAACACAACAAAGAAAGCATGGGAAAAGAAGTTATAGACCAGTCTCATCCTTTGTGAGGTACAAATGTTAAGCAAGTTTCAACAATAGACAATCTATGATTGTACTTTAAATATCTACAAATTAAAGGAGAAAAGAAAAATATTATTATTATTATTTTTTGAGACAGAATCTCAGTGTCGCCAAGCTGGAGTGCAGTGGCGCAATCTCAGCTCACTGCAACCTCCACCTCCTGGGTTCAAGTGATTCTCCTGCCTCAGCCTCCTGAGTAGCTGGGACTACAGGTGCATGCCAGCATGCCCAGCTAATTTTTGTGTTTTTAGTAGAGATGAGGTTTCACCATGTTGTCCAGGATGGTCTCAATCTCTTTACTTCGTGATCCGCCTGCCTCAGCCTCCCAAAGTGCTGGGATTACAGCCGTGAGGCCCCGCGCCAGGCCAAAATATTTCTTATTTCAATTGATGCAGTAAGTAGCTGTGATAAAATTGAACACCCATTTAGGATTTAACAAACTAGGAATAAATACAAACTTCCTTAATCTAATAAAAGCTTTCTATGGAAAAATGCATGTCATACTAAAGAGTAGGATGTTAAATGTGGTCTCTTTAAAGTCAGGAACATGTGGGGCATGGTACCTGATGCCTTTGGGAGGCTGAGGTGGGTGGATTGCTTGAGCCCAGAGATTTGAGACTAGTTTGGGCAACATAGAAAGGCCTCATCTCTACAAAAAAAAAAAAAAAATACAAAAATTACTAGGTGTGGTGGCATGTGCCTGTAGTCCCACCTACTTGAGAGGCTGAGGTGGGAAGATTGCTTGACTCTGGAGGTCGAGGCTACAGTGAGCTATGATTATTCCACTGCACTGTAGCCTGAGTGAGAATAAATTAAATAAATAAATACATAAAATTAAGTAATATTAAAAAATCAAGAACAATTCAAGGAGGAACATTCAGAAGAGGAAATCTAAATTACAAAGTAACAAATGAAAGCTGCTCAGCTTCAGTAGCAGTCAGGGAAGGAAAGTTAAAACGACAATTGCTATCTCCCAGTATCAAAGCTGAGCAGAGAGAGATGCAATGGAATGTATACTCTGCTGGCAGATGTGGAAAGTATTGCTGCTGCTTTGAAAAACCACGTGGAATTACTTAGTAAAGATGAGGACTTGGAAATGAGACAGCGGTTCCACTCTGGCTTCTTACCATACAAAAGATTATACAAATGAGTAGTAAGAAATATACATGAAATTAACTTGCTTATAATGTCATTGCTTATAGTATTAGAAGGTGGTTGTATTATTCCACTTCCATGCTACAGATAAAGACATATCCAAGACTGGGTAATTTATAAAGAAAAAAAGGTTTACTGGATTCACAGTTCCATATGGCTGGGGAGGCCTCACAATCTTGGTGGAAGGCAAAAGTCACATCTTACATGGTGGCAAGCAAGAGAGAATGAGAGCCAAGTAAAAGGCTTTTCCCTTATAAAACCA